>NC_000003.12:139160119-139463149 GCF_000001405.40 Homo sapiens
CAGAGTCTAACTTATCTCCATCCTGCACAGGTTTAAGTAAGGTGCCAAGCAGCACATAATACCAAATACTAATTGCAGATTTAAATCAAACAACCAGCGATTTTCCTGAGTACCTACCATGTGCTCAGAAGGAATGACCACCCTATCTTCATAGACTTTATGCATATTAAATAACGGATTAATTCTGCCACCTATTCCACTAAAGACTGTGGTGGATCAGCTCCTTGGGGAAAGGAAGTATGTCTATCTTAGAGATAAGGCAACTAAGGCAGAGAAAACAAGTAATTTTCTCATGTTCACACAACTTATCTTCTTCACTTTTGAAGCATGTCTTGCTCCAAGGTGGCTAGCAGGTATTTGGCATACAGTAGGTACTAAAAAAAAAAAAAAAAAAAAAAAAAAAAAGAGGTAGAGAGGATAAATGAATCTACTTAAAAAGATAATTTAAAATATCTTTGGCGGATACTTGGAAAAAATATCTAAATTAAGTTGGAAAATGAGTCCAAAAATTCCAAAGTAAGTTGGAAAGCTCACTTTGGCAGAAGTCTGGAGGATAGAATGATAGAATGGGTGGGGCCACAAAATGCAAAGGGATTGGGATTACTGGCTTGTTTGAACTCCAGATAACAGAACAGTGAAGGTTTTCCTTGATAGAAGACAGGGCCATGGCTTTGGGAGGACTGAAGAGGTAACGGGGGCTTCCCGGGAAGTTCCTCAGGTGGGCTCTGATGTTAGGTTGAGAAAAGGCAGGAAGGATGCTCAAAACCCTCCCAGCTCTGGCTGGGCCATGCACCCAGATTCTCTTTCCTCTGTTCCCTGAGGGTAGCAGACATGTTTTTGTGCCACACCCAAATCCCTTGGGCCTTTTCATCTCAATGTACTCCAGCTGATTTTCAACTCCCGCTTACTCAGGAGAACAACAGACAAGATCTAGGAATAGCAACAAGGCTGGCAGGAGAGAAAGTGGAAACAGATACTGTCCAGGCTAGCAGGGGCCATATACCTTGTAGATCAAGAGTAGGGCTTTGAGTTTTACTCTGAGATGGAAATGCGGGAGGGGGGTGTGAGCAGAGAGGAGTGATTGATGGGATTATGTGCTGCTGTGTGGATTCACACTGTAGCAGTCAATGGTGGAAGTGAGGACACCTGGTAGTGGGGTGGGGCGGGGGCTTTGTTGTGATTCAGGTGAGAAGGCTTGGTGCTTGGGCCAGTGTGGAGTGATTGAGGTGATGAGAAAAGTGGTTACAGTCTGGATGAATTTAGAAGAGAGCCCACAGGATTGAATGATTCCAAGGTTTTGGGCTTGAACAAGTGAAAGAATGAAGAGGTCATTAACTAAAATGAAAAGACAATGGAAACCACAGGTTTAGGGCTACTTTGGACATGTTAAATTTGAGATGCCAGTCACCAAATCCTGACAACTTCCTGCTAGGCATTATTACCTACTTTTAACCAACAAGGAACCTGGAATCCATGGAAGAGAAGCTGCTTCCCTGAAGTTACACAGCTAGGGAGTGGTGGGGATGGGACGTTTTACGCCTGCTTCATGCCAAAGCCCCTGCACCAGCTACTATGTTTTTCCTATCTTGTGGGAAGCTGGCTTTCCTCATGTTTGTCCTAAACTTCCTTCCCTCTCTCAAGCCACTTCTCCTACTCCCAGAGCCCCCACATTACGGACAGCCCCCTTCTTACAGTACTACTTTTAGTCTCACCCATTCCTCAGTGGCTTTACCCATCATAACTGTGAGTTTGAGACTCCATGGTGGAGAGTCATTTCTGTTATTTTATGTGCCTATGGTTGTTTTGTCTGTTTTTCTCCAACTTATTATTGGTCATGGATTTCTTGTCTTTGGTTCCTGGTTTTAGCTCAAGAACCCACTATAATGTTAATATCGTTCCTCGGGGAAAGGCCATTTTAACTTCACTAGTCTGTTTTTAACCAGTTTCCAGGAATGCCCCATGGACAAATGAAGGGCATAGGGGAAGAGGTGTCAAGCCTGTATGCCCCTTTGCCACCTGTTGGCCTCTGCAGAGACTTGATTCTCCCTCTATCTCTGTATAAAAGGGCTCAGCTATTCTGTCTGGATCTAGAGGCTTTCAAGTCTAAATGTCTTAGTGATGGGAAACAGAAAAAGTGTTAAATGGCTCACCTGCTAGTACTCAATGATAGTTACAGAAATCCTCCTGTGTGTGGCTATTAGATGGATTGCTGAGTTGATGAGAGGAGGAACTCTGGGACCTGTGCCTCTGGGAAAGCAGAATCTTTCAGAAGACTGGAAGAGAAAATCTGAAGGCAGCAAATCTCAGGTGTGTAAACTAAAAGGTATCTGAGACAGGTCTCAATCAATTTAGAAAGTTTATTTTGCCAAAGTTAAGAACATGCTCATGACACAGTCTCAGGAGGTCCTGATGACACGTGCCCAAGGTGGTCAGGGTAGAGCTTTCTTTTATACATTTTAGGGAGACATAAGACATCAATCAATATGTGTAAGATATACATTGGTTCAGTCCGGTAAGGCTAGACAGCTTGAGGCAGGGGGTTCCAGGTCATAAATGGATAAGAGACTAAAGTTATATTCTTCTGAGTCCTTGATCAGCCTTCCACTAAAAACACGATTTAGTCTGTCTCAGTGAATCTGCACTTTTACATAAACAATAGGGCAGAGGAAGCAATCAGATATGCATTTGTCTCAGGTGAGGCACAGAGGGATGATCTTGAGTTCTGTCTGTCCTTTGTCCACAAGGATTTTCCTTGTGGGCAAATTGTGAGGGAGGTACGTAGCTTCTTAACTCTGTAGCTATCTTATTTAGGAATAAAATGGGAGGCAGATTTGCCTGACACAGTTCCCAGCTTGACTTTTCCCTTGGCTTAGTGATTTTGGGGTCCTGAGATTTATTTTCTTTTCATAGGTGCTAGAACATAAAGTGAGGACTGAGAAGCTGGAAAAGAGAGATGGCTGATGCTGAGTGCTCAGAGGTGGCTTCTGGAAGAAAAAGACTTGAGCTGAGATGGTTCAAACAGGCAGGAGTGAAGGCATTCCAGGCTGGGAGCAGAGTATGAGCAAAGGCAGGGAGATTCCTGGCAGTGACTGTAAGTCCTGAAAACGGCTGTGACAGTCTTCCCGGTGAATGGCAGCAGCTCCAGAGTTTGCACACGGGAGGGATTCGGGGGCAATTTTGATGAAGGGGAATGTGTTTTTATAGCACACACACAGTTTCTTCTTGGACTGTGTGCTGACTGGAAGTAGGAAATAGGGGGAGAGGGTAGAGCAATCTGATGTAGATGAGGGTGGAGGCAAGGGCCACCACAATTCACTCTGTGGTGGCATTGAAACACACACTGTGTGTGTATCCACAATTCAGTGATTGCACACTTAAAAATTAATTGTAAAACTTTAATAACACACACACACACACACACACACACTTGCACACACACACACACACAGTGTGTTTCAATGCCACTACAGAGTGAACCGGATCTAAATAGGACCCACCTATTGTGATTGGTTGATATATCAATTTCAAATCTGAAAATACCCCCTTTCTTTCTCCTCTTCCCTCACAATTTATTTTTTGAAGAAACTAGATCATTTGTTCTGTAGTGATTCAAGCAGTCTGGGTTTGGTGGTTGACATGCTCCTTTGTCCCCAGTATTTTCTGTAATTTGGTAGTTAGATCTAAAGGCTTGATCAGATTCAGGGTCAGATTTTGGGGATCATTAATTATAAGAGGTGCTGTGTAGTTCCAGTGTAATGTTTGTCTCTTCCTCTTTGTGTTGTTGAAGCCATTGCTCATCCACTGGATCTGTTTCATTAGAGGCTGCAAAATGCTGATTTTCCAATTTTATTGTTCCCTCCACATTTATGAGCTGGAATACTTCTATAAAAAGAAACTTCCCCATATCAACTATTTGGGTACTCTGAAGTGTAGTTCACATAGATAAGGCAAGAGAAATGCTTGATTTGGTTACCAATTTTCAAAATAATGAGTTGGTTCCTAGCATCCTCCAAAGTTGACCAATGAATTTTTTATATCTTTATGATCTCATGTATTTTAATGTATTTGATGCTTTGTTATTTCATGGCTCATGTTGTTCTTATTTGGGAATTTGGAGTTTTGAGTTGGTGGCATAACCACACAGAGAGGAGCCATTGCTAGCTACTCCCCAAACACGGTAATTTTACTGTATGTCCCTAGTAGAATATACCCGATAGACAAAAGGAACTAAAAAAGAGCTTACACTATTTTCATTAGTTATATTTTTGTTGGTATTATTAGTATTGCTAATTTAAAACTTTTGCATGTGCCATGGTAGGATAAGGCAGGTAAGTAATTATACAGTATTGGTGCTTTTGGGAACCATGAGTTTCAGCAAGAGAGAAAGGAGATACATGGGCAAAAGAAAGAAAAAGTGAGGTTAAATAGAACCTGTCTAGTTTTAAATTTGAATAGGAAGTATCAACAGGGGCTCAGAATTTATTTTATCTTAAAAAGAAGAATTTCGTAGCTCTGTCCTCCAAAAAGTTCAGAAACAATGATTAAACCAGTATCACCAAGCATTACTCTCAAGCACCACGATTATGATCTCTGAAAAGAAACGTCTAAAGAGGATTTTTTTTAAGTTGGAATTTAAAAAAAAGCAAATCAGAGCAATGACATGGTCATCTATGAGCTACATTGAAGCCCCTAAAATATTATAGGGTTGGTAGGAGAAATCCTCTGGCAATACTCAGCAGACAGTGATCCATACAGGTCAAGGAATAAGGCAGGCCAGGCACAGTGGCTCACACCTGTAATCCCAGCAATTTGAAAGGCTGAAGCAGGTGGATTGCTTGAGCCTAGGCGTTCAAGACTAGCCTGGACAACATAACGAGAACTTGTCTATACAAAACACACAAAAATTAGCCTGGTGTGGTGGCGTGCACCTGTAGTCCCAGCTACTTGGGAGGTTGAGGCTGGAGGATTGCTTAATCCTGGGAGGTCGAGGCTTCAGTGAGCTATCATCATGCCACTGCACTCCAGCCTGGGCAACAGAGCAAGACTCAGTCTTGAGGAAAAAGACTCACACTGAAGTAACAGCAGATTCCAGGTCTGAGGCAGGAAATGCACAAGATGATTTAGATCAGAAAGAAGGAAGGCATCAGTGATGAATAGGGTTGTATCAAAAGTATAAATTAACACCTTAAATTATTACCATCAGGAAAGACTAAACAATTCCTATATTCTCCATTGGCTAAGGATAAAATGCAGTTGCAAAAAAATTCTAACAGTTTTGGAAACATCAACTGATGGAAGAGAACTGACACATGCAAATGAACCAAGAGCTTCAATTATGTATACTTAGTTCCCCTGATCAACTCTCTTCATCCAGCTCCCTAACTGTATTTTTATGACAGCAATCATGGCAGTAAAATCATTTCTCAGTTTGCCTTGCAGTTGTTGATTAAGAGTATTGAGCCTTGACAAAAATATTCTAAACAAAACATCTCTGTGAGCCACTCATTGACATTTTGGTGAAAAATGACTTTATTCACCTTAATGAGTCTTCTGCTCTTAGTCATAGCACTGTTGATATTTTCCTCTGTGTTCTGTGGAATACTGTGTTGGTGGAAAAAAAGATATTTTCCTCTACACCAATCTCAAGTTTGAAAACCTAGAGAAGCATCTTATTAAGATAGCACACGTCTGTGTGGTAAAGCAAGCTTTCAGAACAACTTCTCATATTATTAAAAACTGGCCCTAAGTGACAAGAGTTTAAACGCTAAGTTTTCTATACTACATTTAAATGAAAAGTTTACCACTTCGAACTCAAGAGCAGATCTTTCACAGTGAGGTATGTTTCATGTGTGTGGCAGGTTCCAAGAACATCATTGTGTGCAAACAGTGGTTCACATTTTCTGCCATTTTTCCCATTAGAGATTTGGCTCACCTGTGCTGGGAGTCTGTGCCGTTTCTTCCCAGTTGATGCTGATCTTTTCAAATTTACACATTTTGTGAAAATATCTTCACCTATTGTTTTACCAACAATCACTTTATAAATTGACATGACTTCATAGACACTAGAGTTATGGTGAACAAAGACTGGTAAAAGGGCCAAATCATTAATATGTGTGTTTTTATAACCATGGTCTCCCCTCAGTTCTTAAGTCTGTCTTTTTTAACCCATTAAAACACACTGGTAAGCAGTGTAGCTCAGTGAGGGCACCCTTTCTGGTTGCGTGGTCTCTTTTGATGCAAATAGAGATGTGGTCCTATATACAGTGAAGCTTCTCACCCACTTCATTTTTTCTATTCAAGCTCCAACTTCTGGAACATTTCTGAAACAGACTCAAAACTTTAGCAGAACTTTTCATTCTTTTTCTTTTTTTTTTTTATTATACTTTAAGTTCTAGGGTACATGTGCACAGCATGCAGGTTTGTTACATATGTATACATGTGCCATGTTGGTGTGCTGCACCCATTAACTCGTCATTTACATTAGGTATTTCTCCTAATGTTATCCCCCTCCACCCCACCCCATGACAGGTCTGGGTGTGTGATGTTCCCCGCCCTGTGTCCAAGTGTTCTCATTGTTCGATTCCCACCTATGAGTGAGAACATGCGGTGTTTGGTTTTCTGTCCTTTGCTGAGAATGATGGTTTCCAGCTTCATCCATGTCCCTACAAAGGACATGAACTCATCCTTTTTATGGCTGCATAGTATTCCATAGTGTATATGTGCCACATTTTCTTAATCCAGTCTATCATTGATGGACATTTGGGTTGGTTCCAAGTCTTTGCTGTTGTGAATACTGCCGCATTAAACATACGTGTGCATGTGTCTTTATAGCAGCATGATTTATAATCCTTTGGGTATATACCCAGTAATGGGATGGCTGGGTCAAATGGTATTTCTAGTTGTAGATCCTTGAGGAATCGCCACACTGTCTTCCACAATGGTTGAACTAGTTTACAGTCCCACCAATAGTGTAAAAGAGTTTCTATTTCTCCACATCCTCTCCAGCACCTGTTGTTTCCTGGCTTTTTAATGATCGCCATTCTAACTGGTGTGAGATGGTATCTCATTGTGGTTTTGATTTGCATTTCTCTGATGACCAGTGAGATGAGCATTTTTTCATGTGTCTGTTGACTGCATAAATGTCTTCTTTTGAGAAGTGTCTGTTCATATCCTTCACCCACTTTCTGATGGGGTTGTTTGATTTTTTTCTTGTAAATTTGTTTAAGTTCTTCGTAGATTCTGGATATTAGCTCTCTGTCAGATGGGTAGATTGCAAAAATTTTCTCCCATTCTATAGGTTGCCTCTTCACTCTGATGGTAGTTTCTTTTGCTGTGCAGAAGCTCTTTAGTTTAATTAGATCCCATTTGTCAATTTTGGCTTTTGTTGCCATTGCTTTTGGTGTTTTAGTCATGAAGTCCTTGCCCATGCCTATGTCCTGAATGGAATTGCCTAGGTTTTCTTCTAGGGTTTTTATGGTTTTAGGTCTAACATTTAAGTCCTTAATTCATCTTGAATTAATTTTTGTATAAAGTATAAGGAAGGGATCCAGTTTCAGCTTTCTACATATGGCTAGCCAGTTTTCCCAGCACCATTTATTAAGTAGGGAATCCTTTCTCCATTTCTTTTTTTTGTCAGGTTTGTCAAAGATCAGATGGTTGTAGATGTTTGGTATTATTTCTGAGGGCTCTGTTCTATTCCATTGGTCTATATCTCTGTTTTGGGACCAGTACCATGCTGTTTTGGTTACTATAGCCTTGTAGTATAGTTTGAAGTCAGGTAGCATGATGCCTCCAGCTTTGTTCTTTTGGCTTAGGATTGACTTGGCAATGTGGGCTCCTTTTTGGTTCCATATGAACTTTAAAGTAGTTTTTTCCAATTCTGTGAAGAAAATCATTGGTAGCTTGAAGGGGATGGCATTGAATCTATAAATTACCTTGGGCAGTATGGCCATTTTCACGATATTGATTCTTCCTATCCATGAGCATGGAATGTTCTTCCATTTGTTTGTGTCCTCTTTTATTTTGTTGAGCAGTGTTTTGTAGTTCTCCTTGAAGAGGTCCTTCACATCCCTTGTAAGTTGGATTCCTAGGTATTTTATTCTCTTTGAAGCAATTGTGAATGGGAGTTCACTCATGATTTGGCTCTCTGTTTATCTGTTATTGGTGTATAGGAATGCTTGTGATTTTTGTACATTGATTTTGTATCTTGAGACTTTGCTGAAGTTGCTTATCAGCTTAAGGAGATTTTGGGCTGAGATGATGGGGTTTCTAAATATACAATCATGTCATCTGCAAACAGAGACAATTTGACTTCTTCTTTTCCTAATTGAATACCCTTTATTTCTTTCTCCTGCCTGATTGCCTTGGCCAGAACTTCCAACACTAAGTTGAATAGGAGTGGTGAAAGAGGGCATCCCTGTCTTGTGCCAGTTTTCAAAGGGAATGCTTCCAGGTTTTGCCCATTCAGTATGATATTGGCTGTGGGTTTGTCATAAATAGCTCTTATTATTTTGAGATACATCCCATCAATATCTCGTTTATTGAGAATTTTAGCATGAAGGGCTGTTGAATTTTGTCAAAGGCCTTTTCTGCATCTATTGAGATAATCATGTGGTTTTTGTCTTTGGTTCTGTTTATATGATGGATTACATTTATTGATTTGCATATATTGAACCAGCCTTGCATCCCAGGGATGAAGCCAACTTGATCATGGTGGATAAGCTTTTTGATGTGTTGCTGGATTCGGTTTGCCAGTATTTTATTGAGGATTTTTGCATCAATGTTCATCAGGGATATTGGTCTAAAATTCTCTTTTTTTGTTGTGTCTCTGCCGGGCTTTGGTATCAGGATGATGCTGGCTTCATAAAATGAGTTAGGGAGGATTCTCTCTTTTTCTATTGATTGGAATAGTTTGAGAAGGAATGGTACTAGCTCCTCTTTGTACCTTTGGTAGAATTCGGCTGGGAATCTGTCTGGTCCTGGACTTTTTTTGATTGGCAGGCTATTAATTATTGCCTCAATTTCAGAGCCTGTTATTGGTCTATTCAGGGATTCACCTTCTTCATGGTTTAGTCTTAGGAGGGTGTATGTTTCTAGGAATTTATCCATTTCTTCTAGACTTTCTAGTTTATTTGTGTAGAGGTGTTTACAGTATTCTCTGATGGTAGTTTGTATTTCTGTGGGATCTGTGGTGATATCCCCTTTATCATTTTTTATTGCATCTATTTGATTCTTCTCTCTTTTCTTCTTTATTAGTCTTGCTAGTGGTCTATCAAGTTTGTTGATCTTTTCAAAAAACTAGCTCCTGGATTCAGTGATTTTTTTGAAGGGTTTTTTGTGTCTGTATCTCCTTCAGTTCTGCTCTGATCTTAGTTATTTCTTGCCTTCTGCTAGCTTTTGTATGTGTTTGCTCTTGCTTCTCTATTTCTTTTAATTTTGATGTTAGGGTGTCGATTTTAGATCTTTCCTGCTTTCTCTTATGGGCATTTAGTGCTATAAATTTCCCTCTACACACTGCTTTAAATGTGTCGCAGAGATTCTGGTATATTGTGTCTTTGTTCTCATTGGTTTCAAAGAACATGTTTATTTCTGCCTTCATTTCGTTATGTACCCAGTAGTCATTCAGGAGCAGGATGTTCAGTTTACATGTAGTTGTGCGGTTTTGAGTGAGTTTCTTAATCCTGAGTTTTAATTTGATTGCACTGTGGTCTGAGAGATAGTTTGTTATAGTTTCTGTTCTTTTACATTTGCTGAGGAGTGCTTTTGTTCCAACTATGTGATCAATTTTGGAATAAGTGAGATGTGGTGCTGAGAAGAATGTATATTCTGTTGATTTGGGGTGGAGAGTTCTGTAGATGTCTATTAGGTCTGCTTGGTGCAGAGCTGAGTTCAAGTCCTGGATATCCTTGTTAACTTTCTGTCTCGTTGATCTGTCTAATGTTGACAGTGGGGTGTTAAAGTCTCCCATCATTATTGTGTGGGAGTCTAAGTCTCTTTGTAGGTCTCTAAGGACTTGCTTTATGAATGTGGGTGCTCCTGTATTGGGTGCATATATATTTAGGATAGTTAGCTCTTCTTGTTGAATTGATCCCTTTACCATTATGTAATGGCCTTCTTTGTCCCTTTTGATCTTTGTTGGTTTAAAGTCTGTTTTATCAGAGACTAGGATTACAACCCCTGCTTGTTTTTGTTTTCCATTTGCTTGGTAGATCTTCCTCCATTCCTTTATTTTGAGCCTATGTGTGTGTCTGCATGTGAGATGGGTTTCCTGAATACAGCACACTGATGGGTCTTGACTCTTTATCCAATTTACCAGTCTGTGTCTTTTAATTGGAGCATTAGGCCATTTACATTTAAGGTTAATATTGTTATGTATGAATTTGATCCTGTCATTGTGATGTTAGCTGGTTATTTTGCTTGTTAGTTGGTGCAGTTTCTTCCTAGCATCAGTGGTCTTTACAATTTGGCATGTTTTTGCAGTGGCTAGTACTGGTTGTTCCTTTCCATGTTTGGTGCTTCCTTCAAGAGCTCTTGTAAGGCAGGCCTGGTTGTGACAACATCTCTCAGCATTTGCTTGTCTGTAAAGGATTTTATTTCTCCTCCACTTATGAGACTTAGTTTGACTGGATATGAGATTCTGGGTTGAAAATTCTTTTCTTTAAGAATGTTAGTATTGGCCCCCACTCTCTTCTGGCTTGTAGAGTTTCTGCCGAGAGATCAGCTGTTAGTCTTATGAGCTTCCCTTTGTGGGTAACCCGACCTTTCTCTCTGGCTGCCCTTAACTTTTTTTCCTTCATTTCAACTTTGATGAATCTGACAATTATGTGTCTTGGAGTTGCTCCTCGAGGAGTATCTTTGTGGTGTTCTCTGTATTTGCTGAATTAGGATATTGGCCTGCCTTGCTAGATTGGGGAATTTCTCCTGGACAATATCCTGAAGAGTGTTTTCCAACTTGGTTCCATTCTCCCCATCACTTTCAGGTACACCAATCAGACATAGATTTGGTCTTTTCACATAGTCCCATATTTCTTGGAGGCTTTGTTTGTTTCTTTTTACTCTTTTTTCTCTAAACTTCTCTTCTCGCTTCATTTCATTCATTTGTTCTTCAATCACTGATACCCTTTCTTCCACTTGATCAAATCGGCTACTGAAGCTTGTGCATGTATCACGTAGTTCTTGTGCCATGGTTTTCAGCTCCATCAGTTCATTTAAGATCTTCTCTATGCTGTTTATTATAGTTAGCCATTCATCTAATTTTTTTTCAAGGTTTTTAGCTTCTTTGCGCTGGGTTCGAACATCCTCCTTTAGCTCAGAGAAGTTTGTTATTACTGATCTTCTGAGGCCTACTTCTGACAACTCGTCAAAGTCATTCTCCATCCAGCTTTGTTCTGTTGCTGGCGAGGAGCTGCATTTCTTTGGAGGGAAGAGGTGCTCTGATTTTTGGAATTTTCAGCTTTTCTGCTCTGGTTTCTCCCCATCTTTGTAGTTTTATCTACCTTTGGTCTTTGATGATGGTGACCTAGAGATGGGATTTTGATGTGGATGTCCTTTATGTTTGTTAGTTTTCCTTCTAACAGTCAGGACCTCAGCTGCAGGTCTGTCGGAGTTTGCTGGAGGTCCACTCCAGACCCTCTTTGCCTGGGTATCAGCAGTGGAGGCTGCAGACAGTGAATATTGCAGAACAGTAAATGTTGCTGCCTGATCCTTCCTCTGGAAACTTCGTCTCAGAGGGGGCCCCAGGTGTATGAGGTGTCAGTCGGCCCCTACTGGGAGCTGTCTCCCAGTTAGGCTACTCAGGGGTGAGGGACTCACTTGAGGAGGCAGTCTGTCCATTCTCAGATCTCAAACTCCATGCTGGGAGAACCACTACTCTCTTCAAATCTGTCAGACAGGGACGTTTAAGTCTGCAGAAGTTTCTGCTGCCTTTTGTTCAGCTATGCCCTGCCCCCAGAGGTGGAGTCTACAGAGGCAGGCAGGCCTTGTTAAGCTGTGGTGGGCTCCCCCCAGTTCGAGCTTCCCGGCCACTTTGTTTACCTACTCAAGCCTTAGCAATGGCAGATGCCCCTCCCTTAGCCTCGCTGCCGCCTTGCAGTTTGATCTCGGCCTGCTGTGCTAGCAGTGAGCAAGGCTCCGTGGGCGTAGGACCCTCCGAGCCAGGTGCAGGATATAATGTCCTGGTGTGCTGTTTGCTAAGACCATTGGAAAAGTGCAGTATTAGGGTGGGAGTGTCCTGATTTTCCAGGTACCGTCTGTCATGGCTTCCCTTGGCTAGGAAAGGGAATTCCCCAACCACTTGGGCTTCCTGGGTGAGGTGATGCCCCGCCCTGCTTCAGCTCACAGTCCGTGGGCTGCACCCACTGTCCAACAAGCCCCAGTGAGATGAACCCAGTACCTCAGTTGGAAATGCAGAAATCACCCATCTTCTGCATTGCTCATGCTGATAGCTGTAGACTGGAGCTGTTCCTATTCAACCACCTTGGACCCGGCCTCTTTCTTTTTTTTTTGAGACAGGATCTCACTCTGCCACCTGGGCTGGAGTGCAGTGGTGGGATCTTGGCTCACTGCAGCCTCTACCTCCCAGGCTCAAGCGATACTCCCACCTCAGCCTCCCAAGTAGCTGGGACTACAGGTGAATGCCACTACGTCTGGCTAATGTTTTATATATTTTGTAGAGACAAGGTTTTGCCATGTTGCCCAGGCTGATCTTGAACTCCTGGGCTCAAGTGATCCTCCTGCCTTGGCCTCCCAAAGTGTTGGGATTGCAGGCATGAGCCACCACACCTGGCCCAGGAAAATTTTTCATTTGCTTTGATTTGGTTTTTCATTTTCTTTGATTTGGTTTTTCATTTTATTGCCCTTAATTGAGTCTTCTCTATTTTATGTTGTCAAATTATTTTGTGATTTTTATTTTATTTTATTTATTTATTTTTTGAGATAGAGTCTTGCACTGTCACCCAGGCTGGAGTGCAATGGCGTGATATCAGCTCACTGCAACCTCTGCCTTCCGGGTTCAAACGATTCTCCTGCCTCAGCCTCCCGGGTAGTTGGGATTACAGGTGCCCGCCACCACGCCCAGCTAGTTTGTATTTTTAATACAGATGGGTTTTCACCATGTTGGCCAGGCTGGTCTCGAACACCTGATCATGATCTGCCTGCCTCAGCCTCCCAAAGTGCTAGGATTACAGGTGTGAGCCAGTGCACCCAGCCCTTATTTTGTGATTTTCTTTTCTTTGAAATTGCATACTTTACTTTTTGAATGTCACTGCAGTAGAGATGGTTCATACCATTATTTTATATGCTTTATCTGAATTAAATAAAACCCACCTCCGCTCACTCCATGCTATTTTAGAGGGGGCTGCCCACTACCAGTTCACTACATGTGGCTTGGGCAAAGCTCTGGCTCTTGTAGCTGTTATGGTCACATGGTGGACTTCCAAGTCAACAACACATCTGTCACAGTCCCTATGAATCACTGCTATTCTGAATTTGCCTCAATAGCTTCATATTTTCACTGGTTACAGACTTGTGCTTGAGACGTCCTATTCATAATCGCTGATCCATGTTCCAAGTTGAAAACATAATGTTAAAATTACTATACTGTAAAAGGGAAATTAAAAATAACTCAAAACCCCAGAACTTCTGGTTTCTTTGTGTTTGAGAACAGTTTGCTGTGGTGGAAAGTGGAAAAATGCCCAGTGATTTATAAACACAACATGTGATCGGGGGAACAATAGCAGGCAGCTGAAGAGATCTGGGAGGCCCGTGGGTTTTTATGTAGTAAAAGTGAAAATAAAACTGGTTTCTAAGTTGGCAAACTCCTTTTTCAGATCATTTCAGGGAATTGCTGAGAAAACATATGCCCTGCCCTGCCCAGCCCTAGCCTGTGGCTGACACATTGGCCAAATTTATTTTTGCTGCAGTTGCACGCTTGTTTGCTTTAGAAGGCGTCTGCTTTCTCCGTAACTGAGAGAACGGAATTGTTCCATGTGTAGCTGCACATACCACTTTATTGTCTAATCTTTGGAAAAAATGACATACATCAACAGAAATCAGTGGGATTTTACTGATTCTACTTGCATATATAACATGAACCCTTTATAAATTTCTAATATGAACCCTATTTTGGAATTTGCTGAAAACATATTTTCAAAATTATAAAGATAATAATACTCACTGTTAAAGCTCAAACAATACAGAACTCTATAAATGGAAAATTTAAAATTCCTGTCTCTCCCCACACTCACTACCCTTACCTCTCCTACCACCCTCCGATTCCACTCCCTAGGATTAACAACTATTAACAACTTGCTATTTATTTTTCCAGATCTTTCTTTCTCTTTCTGTCTTTCTAATGGCACATATAAACACATGCAAATATGTCATTTTTAACTTAAATATAGGATGATATTATTTTGCAACTTGCTTTTTTTCACCCAGCAATATGTCTCAGACAATTCTTTTTATTGTCTCATTTATATCAATGTACCATAATTTAATCATTACTTTATTCATTTACACTTATTTCCAAGTTTCCACTATTATAAAAAAAAATTCCCCATTGAACATACTTTGTATATATATCGTTGTGTACTTTTGTGTATTGTTTTGTGGAGCAGAGTGAAATTGCTGGGGCAGTGGGCTTGTACATTTAAAAAGCAGATGAATGCCACCAGATTGTCTTCTAAAATTGTATTTATTTATGTCCCCATGAACAAAGAATGAGAACATCCTTCTACCCAAACGCTTGCCATCTGTAGTTACCATCCATCTTTAAAATCTTCCCAATCTGATAAAAGAAAATGATATTTTGTTATTTTAATTTGCTTGTTCATTCAGAAGGCTGAATATATTTTCATATGTTTATTAGTAGTGGTTCTCAACAGGGGATGATTTTATACCCAGGGGACATTTGGCAATGTCTGGAGACATTTTTTGATTGTTACAACTGGCTGGAGGGGCTGATGGTAGTGATGATGGGGATGGTGCTTTCAATAGTGCACAGACTCAAAAATCCTGTTTTATTAGCTATTTGTGTTTTTTCTGTGAATTGCTTGTTGATTTTTTTTTTGGTTGGGAAGTCTTCATATTTTAGAGATGTTTTCTTTTGTTTATAGTATGTATTACCAACATTTTCCCCATCTGATATTCTGTTTTTGATGTGCTAGAGAATTTACAATTTTTAAAGTAGACATATCTACTTGTCTTTTTCTTTTACACTGATGTTTGCTTTATTCTAATTATAAGAGTAATACATGGTTGTAACAGAAAATTTGGAAAATGCAGAGAAGTATAAAGAATCATCAGTATTTCTTCCTAGTTTTATTTCTTTCCCTCAGCTTTATTGAGGTATAATTCATGAATAAAATTTGTATATATTGAAGGTATACAACATGATGTTTAGATATACGTGTACACTGTGAAATTATTATACGACCACACCAATTACATACCTGTCACCTCACATAGTTATCTTTTTTCATGTGTGTGATAAGAGCATTTAAGGTTTATTCTCTTAGCAAATTTCAGTATATAACACAGTCTTATTAACTATAATCACCATGCTGTCCATTAGCTCTCCGGAACTTACTCATCCTGCATAGCTGAAACTTTGTACTCTTTGACCAACATCTCCCCATTTTGCCTTCCCCACTAGCTTCTGGCAATGCCATTCTATTCTCTGCTTTGATGACTTTTTTTAGTTTCCACATATAAGTAAGATCAGGCAGTATTTGTCTTTCTGTGTCTGCATCATTTCAGTTACAATGTCCTCAAGTTTCATGTTGTTGCAAATGAAAGAATATCCTTATATTTTAAGGTTGAATAATATCCCACTGATAATCTGTCAAAAAAATGTCTCATTGTGAATATTTACCACATTTTCTTCATTTGTTCATCCATTGATGGACACCTGGGTTGCTTCCATATCTTGGCTATTGTGAAAAGTGTTACAATGAGTATGGGAATATAGATATCTGTTCAAGAAACCGATTCCATTTCCTTTGAATACATACCCAGACTGGGATTGCTGAATCATATGGTAATTCTATTTTTAATTTTTTGAGAAATCTCCATACTGTTTTTCATAATGGTTGTGCCAAATTTACATTCCCACCAACAGAATGCAGGGTGTCCCTTTTCACCACATCCTTGCCAACATTTGTTATCTTTCATCTTTTTGATAATAGACTTTTTAACAGGTGTGAGGTAATAGCTCATTGTGGTTTTAATTTCCCTGATGATTAGTGATGTTGAAGATTTGTCCTTATATCTGTTGGCCATTTGTATGTATTCTTTGGAAAAATGTCTATTTGGGTTCTCTGATCATTTTTTAAATCAGGTTATTTATTCATTTTGTTTTACTACTGAGTTGTAGGAGTTCCTTATATATTTGGGATATTAGCCCATTATCAGATGTATGGTTTGCAAATATTTTCTCCTATTCTGTAGGTTGTCTCTTCATTCTATTTATTATTTCTTTTGCTGTGCAGAAGCTTTTTAGTTTGAGGCAATACTATTAGTCTATTTTTGCTTTTGTTGCCTGTGCATTTGGGGTCATATCCAAAAAAAAAATCATTGCCAAGACCAATGTCAAGAAACTTGCTCCTTATGTTTTCTTCTAGTAATTTTACAGTCTCAGGTCTTATTTTCAACTATCTAACTCATTTTAAGTGGATTTAAAAGATATCGTGTGAGATAAGGGCCTACTTTCATTCTTCTCCATGTGGATATCCAGTTTTCCCAGCATCATTTATTGAAGAGACTATTCTTTCCCCAGTGTGTACTTCTGAGACCTTTGTCAAAAATCAATTGTCTGTGAATGTGTGGATTTATTTCTAGGTTCCCTATTCTGTTCCATTGGTTTATATGTCATTTTTAATGCCAGTATCATGCTGCTTTGGCTACTATAACTTGTAGTATATTTTAAAATCAGGTAGAGTGGTGCCTTCAGCTTTGTTCTTCTTGCTCAAGATTGCTTTGGCTATTTGGTGGTCCCATATGAATTTTAGAATTATATTTTCTATTTCTGTGAAAAATGCCATTGGATTTTTGTTTTGAGACAGGTTCTCACTTTGTCACCCAGGCTGGAGTACAATCATAGTTCACTGCAGCCTTGACCTCTCAGGCTCAAGTGATCCTCCCGTCTCAGCCTCCTGAGTAGCTGGGACTATAGGTGCATGCCACCAAGCCCAGCTAATTTTTACTTTTTTTTTTTTTTAAGAGATGAGTCTCATTAAATTTCCCAGGCTGGTCTTGAATTGCTGGCCTCAAGTGATCCTTTCACCATGGCCTCCCAAAGTGCTGGGATTACAGGTGTGAGCCATCACACATGGTCTGTCTTTGGAATTTTGATAGAGATTGCATTGAATCTGTAGATTGCTTTGGGTAGTACTGACATGTAGTATTGACAGATTTATAATATTAATTCTTCCAATCTATGAACATGGGATAGCTTTCCATTTATTTGTATAATCTTCAATCTCTTTTATCAATGTTTTATAGTTTTCAGCGTTAGATCTTTCACATCTTTGGTTAAATTTATTTCTAACTGGTTTTTTTGGGAAATACTATAAATGGAATTGTTTTCTTGATTTCTTTTTTTGGGTAGTTCATTGTTAGGTATAGAAGTGCTACTGTTTTTTTTTTTTTTTTGATTTTGTAAACTGAAACTTTACTGAATTTGTTTCTTAGTTCTAACAGTTTTTTAATGGAAGCCTTCAGGGTTTTAAAAATATATAAGATCATGTAATCAGCAAACAAAGGTAATTTCATTCCTTTTTGTATTTGGATACATTTTATTTCTTTTTCTTGTTTAATTGTTCTGGTAAGACTTTCAGTACTACATTGATTAGAAGTGGTGGGAGTGGGCAGCCTTGTCTTGTTCTTGATTTTAGAGGAAAAGTTTCTAGCTTTTCACATTGAGTATGACATTAGCTGTGGGCATGTCATATATGGCGTTTATTGTGTTGAGGTACATTTCTTCTATATCTATTTTGTTGAGAGTTTTTATCATGAATGGATGTTGAATTTTATCAGATGCTTTTTCAGCATCTAAGATGATCTTGTAATTTTTGTTCTTTATTTTTTTAATAAGGTGTATTACATTTATTGATTTATCTATGTTGAAGCACTTTTGCATCCCAGGGATAAATCCTACTTGCTTACATTGAATGATCCTTTTAATATTCTGTTGAGTTTGCCTTGCTAGTATTTTGTTGAGGGTTTTTACATCTATGTTCATCAGGAATGTTGGCCTGTAATTTTCTCTTCTTGTATCTTTGTCTGTTTTTGGCATCAGGGTAATGCTGACCTTGTAAAATGAATTTGGAAATATTCCTCCTCTTTAATTTTTTGTAAGAGTTTGAGAATTGGTATTAGTTCATTAAATATTTGGTAGAATCCAGGAGTGCTGCCATCAGGTGCCGGGTTTTCTTTGATGGAAGACTTTTATTATTGATTCAATCTCCTAATCTGTTATTGGTCTGTTCAGATTTTCTATTTCTTTCTGTATTAATTTTAGTAGATTATATGTTTCTAGGAATTTATCTATATCTTCTGGGTTATTCAATTTTTTTGAAGTGTAATTGTCCATATTGGTCTCTTATTATTCTTTATATTTCTGTGGTATTGATAATGAGTCTCATCTTTCATTTCTGATTTTGTTTATTTGACTCTTCTCTATTTCTTTCTTTGTTAGTCTAGCTAAAGGTTTGTCCATTTTGTTTATCTTTTCAAAAAACTAACTTGTAATTTTGTTGACTTTTTGTATTTTTTTATAATCTCTATTTTATTTATGCTCCGATCTTTGTTATTTCCTTTTTTCTGCTAAATTTGGGCTTACTTTGTTCTTATTTTTCTAGTTCTTTGGGATGTAACATTAGGTTGTTTATTTGAGATCTTTCTCTTTTTGTGATGTAGACATTTATTGCTATAAACCTCTCTGAGGACTGCCTTTGTCGCATCCCATAAGTTTTGGTACATTGTGTTTCTATTTTTGTTTATCTCAAGATATTTTTAATTTTTCCTTTTGATTTCTGTCACCCATTGGTTGTTTGGGAGCATGCTGCTTAATTTCTACATGTTTGGGAATTTTCCAAGACTTCCTGTTATTGATTTCTAGTTTTATTCTATTGTGATCAGAAAAAAATTCTCAATATGATTTCAGTCTTCTGAAATTTAAGACTTGTTTGTAACCTAATACATGATCCATTCTAGAGAATATTTTGTGTGCACTTGGAAAGAATGTGTATTGTGCTGCCATTGAATCGAATTTTTGTATATGTCTGTAAGGTCTATTTGGTCTGTAGTGTACTTCAAGTTCAATGTTTTCTTTATTGATTTTTGTATCTGGATGATGTATTCATTGCTAAAAGTAGGGTATTGAAGTTCCCTATTATTGTTGTATTGCTGTCTATTTCTCCCTTCGATTCTGTTAATATTTGTTTTATATATTAGATGCTTCCATTTTGGGTGCATATATATTTAGAATTGTTATATCCTTTTGCACAATTGACCCTTTTATTATTATATAATTACCTTCTTGTCTTTGTGACAGTTTTTGACTTAAATTTTATTTTATCTGACACACATATAGCCACTTTTGCTCTCTTTTGGTTACCATTTGCATGGGATATCTTTTTCCATCCCTTTACTTTCAATCTATGTATGTCCTTAAAACTAAAGTGAGGCTCTTTTAGGCAGCAAGCATATAGTTGTATGATGGTTAATACTGAGTGTTTACATAGAACATCTTATTGTTATAAAAGTTTATTTTAAGCTGATAATAACTTAATTTCAACTATATAAGAAACTCTAACTTCTTCCCTCTTACATTTTATGTTATTGCTGTCATTATATATTTTTATATTGTGTAGCCATTAACAAATTATTGTGCTATAATTGTTTTTTAATATTTTGTCTTAATTTCTATGCCAGAATTAAAAGAGAATTACTATCACAGTATTAAAGTATTTTGAATATGACTGTATTCTTACTTTTATAGTGAGTTTTATGCTTTCATATTTTTATGTTGTTACTTAATGTCTTTTCATTTTAACTTGAAGAACTCCCCTTAGTGTTTCTTATAAAGCAGGTGTAGTGGTGATGAACTTCCTTAGCTTGTTTGTCTGTCATGTGTAGTATTCTTGGTTGACAGGTTATTTTTTTCTTTCAGCACTTTGAGTATATCATCCCACTGTCTCCTGGAGGGCAAGATTCAGCCTTAAGGGGGTTCCCTTGTATGTGGTGAGTTGCTTTTCTTTTGCTGCTTTCAAAATTCTCTCTTTGTCAACTTGATTATAATATGTCTCAGTGAGGATCTCTTTATGTTTAATCAATCTGGAGTTCTTTAAGCTTCATAACTCTGGATATTTATTTTCCTCTCCAGATTTGGGAAGTTTTCTGTTATTATTTATTTAAATAAGCTTTCTTCCCTTTTTCTGGGACTCCTATAATATATATACTGATTTGCGTGATGTCTTATAAGTCCTGTAGGCTTTCTTCACTCTTTTCCTCTGACTGCGTCATTTCAAATGACATGAATTCAAGCTTACTGATTGTTCTGTTTGATTGAGTCTGCTGTTGAAGCTCTCTATTAAATTTTTCAGTTTAGCCATTATGTTCTTTAGCTCCAGAAATTCTTTTTTATGGTTTCTCTTTGTTGAACTTCACATTTTGTTCATGTATTGTTTTCCTGATTCCATTTTAGTTGTCAGTCTGTGTTCTCTTGTAGCTCACTGAGATTCTATAAGACTATTATTTTGAGTTGCTTACCAGACAGTTCATAGACAGCCACTTCTTAAGGGTAAGTTACTGTTGTTTTATTTTGTTCTTTTGGTGGTGTCATGTTTCCTTGATTATTTGTGATCCTCATGGCCTTGCATTGGTATCTGCATATTTGAAGATATGGGCTTCTCTTCCAGCCTTTATAGACTGGCTCCAGCAGGGAAAGCCCTTTACCAGTCATCTTATCAGAGGATCTGGGTGAGCCAGCTATTGGGTCTGCAGGCAGGCTTGCTACTGGAGTCCTTGGGAAGTATGGGTTGGTACCTGGGTTGGTAGAGGAGGGCCTGTGGCTTGGGTTGTGTGCATGGGCCTGGTGCATGGGTCTTTGGTGTGGGCCTGGAGTCCAAGTTCACAGGGGCTGGCCTGGCACTGTGGCAGGCCTGTAGCCTGAGTCTGTGGAGGATGGCTTGGTGCTGGGAAGGGCCTGCCACCTGAGTACACAGGGATAGGTCTGGTCTTGCATCTGTAGGGGCTGGGCTGGCCTGGCATCAGGGTCCATTGGGGTAGGCCTGCAACCTGTGTCTGTCTGCAGGCCTGGACTGGAATGGTCCCGGAGCATGAGCCTATGGGTATTGGCCTGTATCCTGGGTCCATGATAGTGGGCCTGGATCTTAGGCCCATGGAGATGAGGGTGAATCCTGAGTCTGTGTGGCCAGTGTGCCACTGGGGCAAGCCTGGAGCATGAGTCCATAGTTCTACTTTATTTTTTTCTCTAGGGCATCTTAGTTTTGCTCATAAAGTCTTTCTCATTTCCTATGTTTTATTCTAGTATCTTCATAGTTTTATTTATTTCCATGTTTAATTCTTTAACTGGAATTTATTTTTGTGTGGGTATGACAAAATTTTAAGAATCTTTAATGAAAAACCTTTCACTTTCAAATCTGTAAGTAATATCGATGTTATAAAAAGATGAACCAGGTTTATCCAGTGGTGCCCTCTGAGTACACTTTCAGGGGCACAAGTGAGGAACCAAAAGACACATTTAAACTTCCTAATAGTGCCTTGAAAGCTCTCCATAATCTGTCTCCAAACATTTTTTTCCAATTTCTTCCTAACCTGCCACCTCCTTCAGAAAGCCTTTTGAGATTTCTCAGCTTGCATGGATGCTTTTTAATCACTCAGAGCACTTTAATAAGTTATGCCTCCTGGTGGTTTTGCTTTATTATTATTATTGTTATTATTATTAGTAGCAGTATATTTTAAGGAAGCTTTTTTATCTAATCAGTCAACCAGCTTCTTGGAGGCAGTTTTTATGTGTCCCAATTCAGTGTCCCTGTACACAATAGGTATTCAAAAGCATTTCTCTAAAATAAATGAGAATATGCTGCCATTTTCAGAGTCTGGGGTTAAGATACATGAGAAGATGGCAGAACATCTGTGTGTGTTGGGCAGGAATGGGGAACTGGGATCCCTTTGCTGCTCCTTTGACGGAAGGAGGGGCTGGCAAGAGGGTAGGGAAGGAGCTATAGCCAGTTTTGTCACTGGCTCTCAGTATGGCTTTGGAAAGTTTCTTCCCTGTTGTAATTTCCTCCCCTGAAAAGCAGCTGGACTTTAGAGAGACAAATATAAGCTCCATGAAAACAGGAACTACCTTTTTGCTTCACATGGTCTCCCCAGCCGCTTGCATAGCATTTGATGCTAATCATTTGCAAGATGAATGAATGAAAAAATGAATGAATGAAAGGATGGGCATGTCCTTTATGCCTTCATGTCCTGTTCCATGCTCCTGTCAGCCATTATGAACCAATTAGGACCTTTTTTCCTCTCAGTCTCAATGTAGCTTTTTCTTAGAGTGGCTACAACAAGCACTGGTAATCAATTGGTGTTGGTGCCAGGAACATCAGTTGATTACCAGGAAACCTGTTTGCAGCTCTGTATTAGGAGTCCTTGAGTTCCCTAGAGGGAGTCCTGCCAGAGCTTGTTTTGTGAGTTCTGGTCCCAAGCAGGTTCATGGCCTGCTCTCCTGAAGAACAGAGGTGCAGGTCGAGCATACACTCCCAAGTGCCTCTGCAGGTGGATGCTGCTCACGCTGCCAGGGCTCTGCTTTTTTTCATGGGCTTGGATTTCTCATAAAATCAATTTGCTGTGAGGGGCCCCTGGGCCTGGGCTTTTTGTAAGGAAATGGGAACAATTAATGGGCTTATCTGATGCAAAGTAATGCTGCTAATGATTTATTAATTATCATGAGGCTTATCTTTCCACTTCTTATTAATCAAAGATGTCCTTGAATTCTGGGGCTCCACATGAGGGGAACAGACCTAGATGCAGCCTTGTGTGAGGGTGTGTGAACTGGAGCCAGGTGCCTCTAGCTTCCCTTGAACCTGTTCCAGCCTACTCCATCCTGACAGTTATCCCCTTGGATTGTGTGTAAAGAGATGAAAGGGCAAGAGAAAAGGAGCACCATTTTGGGCTGAACACCTACTATGTGCCAGGCATTGTGCAGGGTACTTTACATTCATTATCATTTTCTACCTACAAAGGAGGGATTATTGTTTTCATTTTTTTTAGATGAGGAAACTAAGGCCAAGAGATGTTAAGGAGGTTGCCCAAGTCACACAGTTAGAAATGGAGCTTGGGTTTGCACCTGAGTATGTCTGACCCTAAGTGGATGCCTTTCAACTGGAAAGGCCTAAATTAGAACAAAATGAGTCTGGGGCAGCACCCCCTGGGCACAGCTGAGATGAGGGTCCAGCTCTACAGTATGTGTTCTGGGACCACAAAAGGAGGGGGTCACAGTTCTTTCCTTGGGCCTCAAGGCTTTTGCTATCTCATGAGCGAGGCAAGATTCATACCCAGGAAACAGGTAGGGACCTCTGGACTCAGGGAATACCTACCTGGGTGCCCACTATTCTCAGGATGCAAGCTTCTCCCAGGGTATCAGTGTGTCTCAGTACTGGTGGCAGTGCTTTATTGAGGTCAGGGACTTGTTGGGGTCTTACAGGTTCCATAGGGTGGGATAGATGGGACACTGTGGGGAAGGTGTTTAAGGAAGGGAAATGGCTTGACTAGGGAGGGTCAGAAATGACCATGGTTTATTGAGTGGGGTAGCAAAAGATTGTGTGCTGTTGAGGGAGGGACTTCTGGGGAGGCAACCATGGCAGGGCATGAGGAGGGGCCATTACAGAATTGGACCTAGAAGCTAGTAGCTCCTGCCCTCATGACCCCTTTCTGATCCCAGCAAAGCCACTGAGATCATCTGGCTAATGGTCAAACAATAACAGGTGAGACAGAGAGAGAGCGAGAGAGAGAATGCATGAGTGAATACTAGTGAGAGTTGATGTGTGTCAATGTGTATACTTGGAGTGTGTGTTCAGATGTGAGATTTGTATAAGCATTTGAATAACTGTGTGGGTGGGAATGTTCTATGTGTATGTGTGAGAGAGTGTGAACCATTTGTGTGTGTTTGCATGAGTGTGCATTAGTGTGAGTGTTTTGGTGTGAAATAGGTGTGTGTGATTGTGAGGGAACTATGTGAGTGTGTGTGAGGGAATATATGTGGGTATGGTATTGTATGTCTGTCGGTCTTTGCTCCTGTGCAAAGCTGTGTTTGCATGTGTGCTGTGGGGCTTCGGACAATCTGAATTCTTGCCCAATGTGGTAGAAGTGGCAAAAGGAACTGTGGGTGGAGAGGAGACTGAGAGGTCTCTGCTGGAACCCTAGGGGGAGGAGCTGAGAGCCTTGCCCTTTCAGGTGCTTAGCTGAGGTGCTGCTCAGACAGGGAGGCCTTCAGGTGAGCCCCCTATTCTGCCAGTGAAGTGGGAACCCTTGCAGCCTCACCTTTTGAGTGACAGGTAAGCACTTTGGGGGGCCCCAGGGAAGGGAGAGAAACCAGACCAGGAGCTCAGAGCCATAATCTTTGGGCTGTGACCCAAGCCAGCTCCCACTCCCAGCCAGCCCCCGATGGCTCTGAGGCTGCCCCCCTCCTCACCTCCTGGGTGTGGTGCAAGTAACCATGTGGCCATTGTGGCAGAGGAGAGCTTCGTGGTGTTGGTGTGACCAAAGATCCACGGGGCCCCTGGGCAGGGAGGGCAGCCATGGAGCTACATGTTGGGTAATGTCCTCCACAGCCCACTTCATCCCACCGAGGCTGGCTGGGTAAAGGTCCTTGGTTCTTGAGGTCACCTCTGTCAGCACCTCTCTGTTCCATAGGGAGGTCAGCTGGCCCAGAAACCCACATGGCTTTCTGTAACACCCAGCTATCCAAAACATTTCCTAGGACAATAATCCCTTTTTACTCAGCAGGGTGCTTAAATTATTCATGGAGGTTCATCTTGTAGACAAATAGAAGGTGGGGTAGGAGAGGCATTGGGAGCAGTGATCCTGAGCAGGCCCTGCCTTAGGCTCCATTGAGGCCTGGGTCTTCTCCCAGCCCCTTCACTCAAGGGCCCTCTGGGTGTCATGATCTTTCCTATCCCATCTGTCCTCCCCACTGTCTGTGGGGCTGGTCCCCACATGTCCTGCACCCTGCCCTTAGCCAGCCTTATTGGCTTAGGATTTAGGTCTGCTAACTTTGGGGGTCTGATGCCTGCAGCCGTCCTGAGCCGAAGTCAGGTGCCTCTCTCCTCCACAGTTGCCTGAAAGCCCTGGAAGGGTGGCTTCTGCACACTGCTCTGCTCTTGGCCTAGAGGCAGGGGGTGGGGGAGATGGGGTGGAGTGGGGGGTTTGGTGGGAAGGGCTGTTGCCCCGCCTGTATCCGGGTGGGCCTGGCTCTCTTCAAGCAATTGGGCTCCAGCTGCAAACTCCCAAACACATACTTTGGGAGGTCAGCCTGGCCTGAGGCTAGAGCATTCCATTATTTTGGTGACATATCTTTGAACCTGCTGCAACTCCTGCACCCCCAGCTCAGGCCCCAGTCTCAGCTGCAGAGCCGGGGCCTGATTCACCTCCCTACTTGCTTTCTAACTCTTCCTGGAGGAGTGCTCAGCCCTAGACTGGTTCCTGGGTAGAAACAGGGAAATGATGCAGGGAGGCTGTGCCTGGAATCCCTCCATTATGGTCATTTGGCCCAAGCACTACCTTAGCTCTTCTTTTCAAATACAAATTCCTTTGGGGGAGTAACATGTGAGCTGCTTAATACCGGAGCATGGGAGATTTTTTTCTATATTTTCCTCCAATAGTGGGCTCATGAGGAAGATGAAGAGCCCTGGAAAGGGAGAAACTAGTGTTAGCCTGTTTCATGTTTTTAAAATTTATTTTATTTTATTTATTTATTTTTATTTTCATGATCTAGCCCTGTCCCTACTTCTGATTTCAACAGCCCTGTCTACAAAAATTCCTTTCCAGATTCTCAAGTATTGTAAATGGCACTCAGACAATGTGGCCAGGAAAAAGGATACTGGGTAAGGATAGATAGGTCTGCTTTTTAACCTCTGCCTGGCTATTATTTGCAGGGTGACAATCAACAAGTCTTTTAACCTCTCTGAGCTCTGGTTCCTCAAGCTACTACATCACCATTACCAAGCCCCCTCCTGTCTGTGCCTCAGGGTCCTTGGATGTCATCTGCCTGTACTCAGGGTCACAGGGTACTCTTGGCTTGTCGTTGGGAACCCTGCTGCCTGTGGGGCTGGAGGGAAGGCTTGCTGCTTGATGTATGTGCAGATGTACTGATGTGGGAATGGTGGAGATTGCCAGCCCAGGGGATGCGCAAAGCTGAGGCTGGTTGGAGGAGCCTTTGTGGGTTCTGCTGGATGAATGCTTTCTACCCAGGGAGGTAGTTCCTTCCCCACCAAACTCACCATCTATTGTATAATAAAAGAGTCAGAATTCTGGAAATGATTCACTATAATGGAGATCGTTGTTTTGTTCTTTTGAGCAAAGGGGACTCATTCATTAAACACTTGCTACCAACTGGGTACTTTACATGCTTATTTCATCCTTATGACAAAACAGGTATTTGTGCTTTCAAGTCACAGGTGAAGAAACTGAGGCTCAGCGAGGTTAAATAACTTGCCTGGCATTATTCAAGAAGGAATTGGCTAGAATAGGATTTGAACCAAGGTCTGTCTCTGTTCATTTCTCATTGTTTCTTTGGGACTATCTGCTATTCAGTCAGGCGCTTACTCAGAGACCTTCTCTCTTTCTTGTGTTATCTTTGCCTTCTCCATCAGGGCTTTCTGAACACCGATTGCCGCACTTCCTCTCCCCTAGAATGTTAGATCTCAGGCTTTCCTGGGGTCCTGTGGTCTGGGATAAAGGGGTTGATCACTCCTTCCTACAGAGTTAGGGATATAAGATGTCATTACTGCCCAGAAGAGTTGAATTTGAGAAGAAAAATCTGAAGAAAGCAATGCTTAATCTAGAAGAAATATACTTTGTTGGTAAATTTTCAGGCAGCAGAGAAGGTAGAAGAGATTGATTCTTACATACAGTCTTCCCAGACTCTCAGACGACACTGAAACATTCCACCTTCATGGAAAGCTAGTCTTTCCCTGAGTGCAGGCTGGCCTCTGCCCTCCTTTGGCTGAGTTCCAGGAAATTTCTTTCCACTGTTTCTTCCTCATATAGAATTCTCATCCACATGCAAAAGTCATAGTCAGTTTTAGAAAATAAAAAAGAACACAGAGAAGTTACAAAAATGCAAAAGTGATCATTGCTGCAGAGAGCTGGGTCCTAGTCCTGGCTCCAGCTGGGATCCTGGTGGCCTTGGGCAGTGCTCGTTCCTTCTCTGGGTTTTAGTATCTTCATGTATAAAATGTGTGGGTTGGACCAGTCGGGACTCTCTTATTGGCAGATGATAAAAAAACAACCAAATTGACGTAGGTAGAGAAAGGAATTATATTGGCCTATATAAGTGAGAAGCCCAGGGTAGCCCTGGCTTCATGAATGGATGGATCCAGGGGCTTCCACCCACATGTGGTTAGAACTCAGTCTCTGTCTCCCTCTGCCTGTCTGTTATTTTAGAAGACGGAACAGAGAATAGACCACATTATCTCTGTCACCGCAGTAGGTCTTGGGAGTAGCTCTGATTGGCCCTACTCTGGTCTATCTCTGAACCAATCAGGCTGGGGATGAAATGTGCTGATTGGCCAGGCCTAGGTCATGTGACCTCTATTGGCTGAAGGTGGGAGGTATGGAGTCCTGCTCCATCCAAACCACATAGCCTGAGCTGGAGGCAGGGCTGTTAGCAGAAAAGGGGACGATTCTTTTCCCCTGTTGAGCAGACCCCAACCACTGCCACCTACCATTACTAGGTGAGTGATTTTTAATATCAGGAAGAACTTTAGGGCTATCTATAGATAGTGAAGTATTTTCCCCAAATCAATAAGGATTTAAATGGTCTGAGGAACCTGTTTATCACATGTAGCTGCTTTACTATTGGTATTTCACATGGTTTTCATTTTGATAATTTTTTTGATTTTGCTGATTTAAAAAGCCCAGAAGTATTGGAATAGATGATGTGTAAGGTTTCCATTTAGAATGTTCTAGTAGATTATATGCCAAAGTGAATAATTTTATTCAGTTAAGGGCATATGTTAAGTAGTAAACCTTCAGCTGCGCTCTGTCGTGTCCCTCCTCCCAAATGATCCTTCTGTCTTTATTAACATCTTTGTCGAGCTAGAGCCAAGTCTGCCCTCCCCTCACCCTCGATAACTCACTAGTTTCATGCTTTACAAGCTCTTACAGATGCAAAAGGAAACTTCAGTGCAAGCACAAACCAGGTGCTGGTTCTGGCCTTCGACAGCCCGATTGCTGAGTTACTTGGAGACAGAGGTACTTCCTAAATGCCATTTTCTGGTCTGAATAACATGAGGCCAAAAAAGGAGCTCTTAGGGACAGGCCAATCATAAGATTTGGGGGCTGAGGTCAAGAGGACAAATGGAGGTCTTCATATCACATGTCTATATATTTATCAGTTATAAGTCAAGCTAACAAAGTAAAACTTCTTTCATCCTACCTTGACAAATGTACCTTTGTAATGCCCTAAAGGGCTGGATTTAAATTTAAAATTCTCAGACCTCCCCACATGAATAATGGCAACTAGAATGGTGTGAATCCTCTTTAGAAAGTTTTCAATTTGCTTTTCCCAGATCTATCAGAGATATCACTATCTATGGCAGCTGTAGCCCTACAAAATATATTTATCAAATAATAAGACTTGAAAGTTGAAATTGTTTTTTGATCCATGGGCTTCAGAATGGATGTTGTGTTAGCAGGCATGAAAACACATTAATCTCTTTGTGCATCTTCATCAGAGTTATTGGGTAACCAGGTGCATTGTCAATGAGCAGTAATATTTTGAAAGGAATTTTTTTGTTTGTTTTTTTTTTTCCTGAGCAGTCGGTTTCAACAGTGAGCTTAAAATACTCAGTAAAGCATGCTGTTAACAGATGTGCCCTCATCCAGGCTTTGTTTTTCCATTTATAGAGCACAGAGTAGATTTAACATAATTCTTTTTTTTAAATTTATTTATTTTTATTGAGATGGAGTCTCACTCCATTGCCCAGGCTGGAGTGCAGTGGCTCGATCTCGGCTCACTGCAACCTCCACCTCCTGGGTTCAAGCGATTCTTCCGCTTCAGCTTCTGGAGTAGCTGAGATTACAGGCACCCGCCATCAGGCCCAGCTAATTTTTGTATTTTTCTGTAGAGATGCAGTTTCACCGTGTTGGCCAGGCTGGTCTTGAACTCCTGACCCCAGGTGATCCAACCGCCTCGGCCTCCCAAAGCGCTGGGATTACAGGCGTGAGCCACTGTGCCCGGCCAATTTAACATAATTTTTAAGGGCCCTAGGATTTTCTCAATGATATATGAGCATTGGCTTCAACTTAAAGTCATCGTCATGAGGTCAGGAGTTTGAGACCAGCCTGGCCGACATAGTGAAACACCGTCTCTATTAAAAAAATACAAAAATTAGCTGGACATGGTGGCACGTGCCTGTAGTTCCAGCTACTTGGGAGGCTGCCGCAAGAGAATCACTTGAACCCAGGAGGTGGAGGTTGTGGTGAACTGAGATCCCGCCGCTGCACTCCAGCCTGGGCAACAGAGCGAGACTGTGCCACAAAAAAAAAAAAAAAAAAAAAAAAAAAAAATTCATAAGCTGCATTAGCCCCTAACAAGAGAGTCAGTCAGCTTATTCTTTGAAGCTTTGAAGCCAAGCATTGACTTCCCCTAATTATAAAAGTCCTAAATGGCATCTTCTTCCCATGTAAGGCTGTTTGTTTGCATTGAAACTCTATTGTTTAGCGCAGCGACGTTCATCAGGCTGGGGATGAAATGTGCTGATTGGCCAGGCCTAGGTCATGTGACCTCTATTGGCTGAAGGTGGGAGGTATGGAGTCCTGCTCCATCCAAACCACATAGCCTGAGCTGGAGGCGGGGCTGTTAGCGGAAAAGGGGACAATTCTTCTCCCCTGTTGGGCAGACCCCCAAGCACTGCCACCTACCACTACTAGGTAAGTGATTTTTAATACCAGGAAGAACTTTAGGGCTATCTATAGATAGTGAAGTATTTCCCCCAAATCAATAAGGATTTAAATGGTCTGCATTAACCCCTGACTGACTTCAGCTAGATCTTTTGGGTAACTTTCTGCAGCTTTCGCCTCAGCACTTGCTGCTTCACCTTGCACTTTTATGTTATAGAGATGGCTTCTTTCCTTAAACCTCATGAACCAATCTCTGCTAGCTTTCAGCTTTTCTTCTGCAGATTCCTTACCACAGAATTGAAGAGAGTTAGGGCCTTGCTCTGGATTAGACTTAGGCTTAAGGGAATGTTGTGGCTGGTTTGATCTTCTTTTTTTATATATATTTTATTTTATTATTATTATACTTTAAGTTTTAGGGTACGTGTGCACAACGTGCAGGTTTGTTACATATGTATACATGTGCCATGTTGGTGTGCTACACCCATTAACTCGTCATTTAACATTAGATATATCTCCTAATGCTATCCCTCCCCCATCCCCGCACCCCACAACAGTCCCGGGTGTGTGATGTTCCCCTTCCTGTGTCCATGTGTTCTTATTGTTCAGTTCCCACCTATGAGTGAGAACATGTGGTGTTTGGTTTTTTGTCCTTGTGATAGTTTGCTGAGAATGATGGTTTCCAGTCTTCATCCATGTCCCTACAAAGGACGTGAACTCATCATTTTCTATGGCTGCATAGTATTCCATGGTGTATATGTGCCACATTTTCTTAATCCAGTCTATCATTGTTGGACATTTGGGTTGGTTCCAAGTCTTTGCTATTGTGAATAGTGCCACAATAAACATACGTGTCTTTATAGCAGCATGATTTATAATCCTTTGGGCATATACCCAGTAATGGGATGGCTGGGTCAAATGGTATTTCTAGTTCTAAATCCCTGAGGAATCGCCACACTGACTTCCACAATGGTTGAACTAGTTTACAGTCCCACCAACAGTGTAAAAGTGTTCCTATTTCTCCACATCCTCTCCAGCACCTGTTGTTTCCTGACTTTTTAATGATCACCATTCTAACTGGTGTGAGATGGTATCTCATTGTGGTTTTGATTTGCATTTCTCTGATGGCCAGTGATGATGAGCATTTTTTCATGTGTTTTTTGGCTGCATAAATGTCTTCTTTTGAGAAGTGTCTGTTCATATCCTTCACCCACTTTTTGATGGGGTTGTTTGTTTTTTTCTTGTAAATTTGTTTGAGTTCATTGTAGATTCTGGATATTAGCCCTTTGTCAGATGAGTAGGTTGCAAAAATTTTCTCCCATTCAGTAGGTTGCCTGTTCACTCTGATGGTAGTTTCTTTTGCTGTGCAGAAGCTCTTTAGTTTAATTAGATCCCATTTGTCAATTTTGGCTTTTGTTGCCATTGCTTTTGGTGTTTTAGACATGAAGTCCTTGCCCATGCCTATGTCCTGAATGGTATTGCCTAGGTTTTCTTCTAGGGTTCTTATGGTTTTAGGTCTAACATGTAAGTCTTTAATCCATCTTGAATTAATTTTTTGTATAAGGTGTAAGGAAGGGATCCAGTTTCAGCTTTCTACATATGGCTAGCCAGTTTTCCCAGCACTATTTATTAAATAGGGAATCCTTTCCCCATTTCTTGTTTTTGTCAGGTTTGTCAAAGATCAAATAGTTGTAGATATGTGGCATTATTTCTGAGGGCTCTGTTCTGTTCCATTGGTCTATATCTCTGTTTTGGTACCAGTACCATGCTGTTTTGGTTACTGTAGCCTTGTAGTATAGTTTGAAGTCAGGTAGCATGATGCCTCCAGCTTTGTTCTTTTGGCTTAGGGTTGACTTGGCAATGTGGGCTCTTTTTTGGTTCCATATGAACTTTAAAGTAGTTTTTTCCAATTCTATGAAGAAAGTCATTGGTGGCTTGATGGGGATGGCATTGAATCTATAAATTACCTCGGGCAGTATGGCCATTTTCATGATATTGATTCTTCCTACCCATGAGCATGGAATGTTCTTCCATTTGTTTGTATCCTATTTTATTTCCTTGAGCAGTGGTTTATAGTTCTCCTTGAAGAGGTCCTTCACATCCCTTGTAAGTTGGATTCCTAGGTATTTTATTCTCTTTGAAGCAATTGTGAGTGGGAGTTCACTCATGATTTGGCTCTCTGTTTGTCTGTTATTGGTGTATAAGAATGCTTGTGATTTTTGTACATTGATTTTGTATCCTGAGACTTTGCTGAAGTTGCTTATCAGCTTAAGGAGATTTTGGGCTGAGATGATGGGGTTTTCTAGATATAAAATCATGTCATCTGCAAACAGGGACAATTTGACTTCCTCTTTTCCTAATTGAATGCCCTTTATTTCCTTCTCCTGCCTGATTGCCCTGGCCAGAACTTCCAACACTATATTGAATAGGAGTGGTGAAAGAGGGCATCCCTGTCTTGTGCCAGTTTTCAAAGGGAATGCTTCCAGTTTTTGTCCATTCAGTATGATATTGGCTGTGGGTTTGTCATAGATAGCTCTTATTATTTTGAGATACGTCTCATCAATACCTAATGTATTGAGAGTTTTTAGCATGAAGGGTTGTTGAATTTTGTCAAAGGCCTTTTCTGCATCTATTGAGATAGTCATATGGTTTTTGTCTTTGGTTCAGTTTATATGCTGGATTACATTTATTGATTTGTATATGTTGAACCAGCCTTGCATCCCAGGGATGAAGCCCACTTGATCATGGTGGATAAGCTTTTTGATGTGCTGCTGGATTCGGTTTGCCAGTATTTTATTGAGGATTTTTGCATCAATGTTCGTCAAGGATATTGGTCTAAAATTCTCTTTTTTTTGTTGTGTCTCTGCCGGGCTTTGGTATCAGGATTATGCTGGCCTCATAAAATGAGTTAGGGAGGATTCCTTCTTTTTCTATTGATTGGAATAGTTTCAGAAGGAATGGTACCAGCTCCTCCTTTTACCTCTGGTAGAATTCGGCTGTGAATCCATCTGGTCCTGGACTCTTTTTGGTTGGTAAGCTATTAATTATTGCCTCAATTTCAGAGCCTATTATTAGTCTATTCAGAGATTCAAATTCTTCCTGGTTTAGTCTCGGGAGGGTGTATGTGTTGAGGAATTTATCCGTTTCTTCTAGATTTTCTAGTTTATTTGCGTAGAGGTGTTTATAGGATTCTCTGACGGTAGTTTGTATTTCTGAGGGATCGGTGGTGATATCCCCTTTGTCATTTTTTATTGCGTCTATTTGATTCTTCTCTCTTTTCTTCTTTATTAGTCTTGCTAGCGGTCTATCAATTTTGTTGATCTTTTCAAAAAACCAGCTCCTGGATTCATTGATTTTTTGAAGGGTTTTTTGTGTCTATATCTCCTTCAGTTCTGCTCTGATTTTAGTTATTTCTTGCCTTCTGCTAGCTTTTGAATGTGTTTGCTCTTGCTTCTCTAGTTCTTTTAATTGTGATGTTAGGGTGTCAATTTTAGATCTTTCCTGCTTTCTCTTGTGGGCATTTAGTGCTATAAATTTCCCTCTGCACACTGCTTTGAATGTGTCCCAGACATTCTGGTATGTTGTGTCTTTGTTCTCGTTGGTTTCAAAGAACATCTTTATTTCTGCCTTCATTTCGTTATGTACCCAGTAGTCATTCAGGAGCAGGGTTGTTCAGTTTCCATGTAGTTGAGCAGTTTTGAGTGAGTTTCTTAATCCTGAGTTCTAGTTTGATTGCACTGTGGTCTGAGAGACAGTTTGTTATAATTTCTGTTCTTTTACATTTGCTGAGGAGTGCTTTACGTCCAACTATGTGGTCAATTTTGGAATAGGTGTGGTGTGGTACTGAAAAGAATGTATATTCTGTTGATTTGGGGTGGAGATTCCTGTAGATGTCTATTAGGTCCGCTTGGTGCAGAGCTGAGTTCAATTCCTGGGTATCCTTGTTAACTTTCTGTCTCGTTGATCTGTCTAATGTTGACAGTGGGGTGTTAAAGTCTCCCATCATTATTGTGTGGGAGTCTAAGTCTCTTTGTAGGTCTCTAAGGACTTGCTTTATGAATGTGGGTGCTCCTGTATTGGGTGCATATATATTTAGGATAGTTAGCTCTTCTTGTTGAATTGATCCCTTTACCATTATGTAATGGCCTTCTTTGTCCCTTTTGATCTTTGTTGGTTTAAAGTCTGTTTTATCCGAGACTAGGATTGCAACACCTGCCTTTTTCTGTTTTCCATTTGCTTGGTAGATCTTCCTCCATCCCTTTATTTTGAGCCTATATGTGTGTCTGCACGTGAGATGGGTTTCCTGAATACAGCACACTGATGGGTCTTGACTCTTTATCCAATTTGCCAGTCTGTGTCTTTTAATTGGAGCATTTAGCCCATTTACATTTAAAGTTAATATTGTTATGTGTGAATTTGATCCTGTCATTATGATGTTAGCTGGTTATTTTGCTCGTTAGTTGATGCAGTTTCTTCCTAGCCTCGATGGTCTTTACAATTTGGCATGATTTTGCAGTGGCTGGTACCGGTTGTTCCTTTCCATGTTTAGTGCTTCCTTCAGGAGCTCTTTTAGGGCAGGCCTGGTGGTGACAAAATCTCTCAGCATTTGCTTGTGTGTAAAGTATTTTATTTCTCCTTCACTTATGACGCTTAGTTTGGCTGGATATGAAATTCTGGATTGAAAATTCTTTTCTTTAAGAATGTTGAATATTGGCCCCCACTCTCTTCTGGCTTGTAGAGTTTCTGCCGAGAGATCCGTTGTTAGTCTTATGGGCTTCCCTTTGTGGGTAACCTGACCTTTCTCTCTGGCTGCCCTTAACATTTTTTCCTTCATTTCAAGTTTGGTGAATCTGACAATTATGTGTCTTGGAGTTGCTCTTCTCAAGGAGTATCTTTGTGGCGGTTCTCTGTATTTCCTGAATTTGAATGTTGGCCTGCCTTGCTAGATTGGGGAAGTTCTTCTGGATAATATCTTGCAGAGTGTTTTCCTATTTGGTTCCATTCTCCCCGTCAGTTTCAGGTACACCAATCAGACATAAATTTGGTCTTTTCACATAGTCCCATATTTCTTGGAGGCTTTGTTCGTTTCTTTTTATTCTTTTTTCTCTATACTTCTCTTCCCACTTCATTTCATTCATTTCCTTTTCCATTGCTGATACCCTTTCTTCCAGTTGATCACATCGGCTACTGAGGCTTGTGCATTTGTCACGTAGTTCTCGTGCCTTGGTTTTCAGCTCCATCAGGTCCTTTAAGGACTTCTCTGCATTGGTTGTTCTAGTTAGCCATTTGTCTGATTTTTTTTCAAGGTTTTTAACTTCTTTGCCATTGGTTCGAACTTCCTCCTTTAGCTCGGAATAGTTTGATCTTCTGAAGCCTTCTTCTCTCAACTCATCAAAGTCATTCTCCGTCCAGCTTTGTTCCATTGCTGGTGAGGAGCTGCGTTCCTTTGGAGGAGGAGAGGTGCTCTGATTTTTAGAGTTTCCATTTTTTCTGCTCTGTTTTTTCCCCATCTTTGTGGTTTTATGTACCTTTGGTCATTGATGATGGTGATGTACAGATGGGTTTTTGGGGTGGATGTCCTTTGTGTTTGTTAGTTTGCCTTCTAACAGTCAGGACCCTCAGCTGCATGTCTGTTGGAGTTTGCTGGAGGTCCACTCCAGACCCTGTTTGCCTGGGTATCAGCGGCGGTTGCTGCAGAACAGTGGATATCGGTGAACCGCAAATGCTGCTCCCTGATCGTTCCTCTGGAAGTTTTGTCTCAGAGGAGTACCCGGCCGTGTGAGGTGTCAGTTTGCCCATACTGGGGGGTGTCTCCCAGTTAGGCTACTCGGGGGTGAGGGACCCACTTGAGGAGGCAGTCTGCCCATTCTCAGATCTCAAGCTGTGTGCTGCGAGAACCACTACTCTCCTCAAAGCTGTCAGACAGGGACATTTAAGTCTGCAGAGGTTACTGCTGCCTTTTGTTTGTCTGTGCCCTGCCCCCAGAGGTGGAGCCTACAGAGGCAGTTTGAGCTTCCCGGCTGCTTTGTTTACCTAATCAAACAACTAACTCAGCAGTGGTGGGCGCCCCTCCCCCAGCCTCGCTGCCACCTTGCAGTTTGATCTCAGACTGCTGTGCTAGCAATGAGCAAGGCTCCATGGGCGTAGGATCCTCCGAGCCAGGTGCAGGATATAATCTCCTGGTGTGCCGTTTGTTAATCCCGTTGGAAAAGCGCAGTATTAGGGTGGGAGTGACCCGATTTTCCAGGTGCCATCTGTCACCCCTTTCTTTGACTAGGAAAGGGAATTCCCTGACCCCTTGTGCTTCCTGGGTGAAGCGATGCCTCACCCTGCTTCAGCTCATGCACGGTGCGCTGCACCCACTGTCCTGCACCTGCTGTCTGGCACTCCCCAGTGAGATGAACCTGGTACCTCAGTTGGAAATGCAGAAATCACCTGTCTTCTGTGTCGCTCATGCTGGGAGCTGTAGACTGGAGCTGTTCCTATTCAGCCGTCTTGGCTCCACCTCGGCTGGTTTGATCTTCTATACAGACCACAAAAACTTTCTCCATATCAGCAATGAGGCTGTTTAATCTTCTTATCATTCATATGTTCACTGGAGTAGCACTTTTAATTTCCTTCAATAACTTTTCCTTTGCAATCACAACTTGGTTAACTGTTTGGTGCAAGAGGCCTAGTTTTCAGCCGATCTCAGCTTTTGACATATCTTCTTCATTTTGGACATATCTTCAAACTTAGCAATTTCTAGCTTTTGATTTAAAGTGAGACATACCACTCTTCCTTTTACCTTGAACACTGGCCTAATTTCAATATTGTAGGGTCATTAACTGGCCTAATTTCAATATTGTTGTATTTCAGAGAATAGGGAGGCACAAGGAGGAGAGAGACAAGGGAATGGCCAGGCGGTGGAGCAGTCAGAACATACACATTTATTGAGATTAATTAAGTTTGCCTTCCTATATGGGCATGGTTCATGGTGCTCCAAAACAATTACAATAATAACATCAAAGATCACTGGTCACCATAAAGACATAATAATAATAAAAAATGGAAATATTGCAAGAATTTTTAAGATATGACACAGAGACACTAAGTGAGCATATGATGTCGGAAAAGTGGTGCTCATAGACTTGCTTGATGCGGGTCACTGTAAACCTTCAAGTTGTAAAAAAAAAAAAAAAATGCACTACCTGCTAAGTGCAATAAAGTGAAACACAATAAAATGGCAATTGTCCATAGTAGTTAGGTCTCAGCTAGTTGCTAACAGAGTAATAGGAAGGTATATTGGAGGTTCCAGCTGAACTGCTGAGATATTATAAAATGGAGGTTCAATACCAATGTTAGTGGTGAGGCTGTGCAGGGTGTGCATTTTTCAAAGGGACTCCTAGACAATTTGTTTCATGACTCTAAAAACCCCTCATCCTGGAGAGAGTTGGAGAAGAAATATTTTGGTGAAAGTTGCTGGAGTGGGGAGGTGGGAGGTGTCTGCTCCCACCTCAGGCTGGTGGGAAGGGTGTCAAGGCTTACTCAGCCCAGCAGGGTCATATGGCACCGAGCAGGGAGTTGTATTCTGCATTCTCAGGATTTGTGAGTGTTTCCCATGGACCAGATTGGGCCATGTACACAAGAACTGGCTGAGAGCCATTTGTTCTGCTGCCTAAGAGTTCTACATGGAAGGGGTCACTGAAACCAGCTATACCACATGTGGGATCCAGACCTCATCTCCTGGCCAGCCTTGGAGAATCATCTTTCTCTTTCCGAACACCTCTTCCCTCTTCTCTGTCAGGACTCTGGGCATAATCCTCTCAATAAGTCTGGGGGCAGAGCCTGCTAGTTGCCCCAAGGATCCATTCTGCCCTTATTCCACAGCAATAAGATTTGTAGCTGGGCACATAGCTGTATAGCTGGAGACTATATTTCTTAGCTTCCCTTGCAGCTGAGGGGTGACTTTATCACTAAGTTCTTATCAATGGATTCTGAGCAGAAGAGATGTGTGAGGGATTTGTTGGTAATTATTTAACAACCAGCTCTTCAGAGAAAATAAAGCCTTGACTGTAGTGTTTACGAGTTTCCATGGTGTCAGTGTTCTAGCCATGGCTGACTTCAAGCTACAAATGTGGATTGAGGAGAGATGTGCACAGTCATCTCTTGGAGCCAGTGAGATCCAGCACACCACTGGGGCGGCTTCTGGCTCATGCCCTTTAAGGACCCAGGCTTGGGCCTAACATGCTCTTTACCTGCTTCCTTCATGCTGGCTGTGATGCAGACATGGTAGAGAGCCATCTTGTGCCATGTGGAAGAGGGCAACATTCCAGGGATGGCAGACCAACAAGAGAAAGGGAGCTTGGGCCACAGTGACTATGGGGGCAGAGGGGCTATTTTGGTTCACAAATTTGCATGAGGGTAAAATAAACATCAATCTTATTTAAGTCATTTTGGTTTTAGGGTTTTCACCACAAATAGCTGAATGTCTGAAGTTTAATTCACCCAGGAGTCCATAAAAATAGAAAGAGAGGTTGCCATTCAGCAGCTTCTGCTTCCTGCCTGGCAGTACCCAACTCTCCTGAGGACTGGAGGGGCACCAGGTTCAGGGCCTAGTATGAGAGAGGGAGAGGAAAACATGGACTTTCTGTCTCAGTGGATCATGCTGTCCAAATTGTTGTAGTCCATCCCTCCAGGAGGCTGTGGGTTTCTAGTGAGACCCTGATGCCCAGAAGGCACATTTTGTCACACCCTAGACATCAGAGATGTGTGACAGGTCCAGATTTGGTTTCACTTTGGTTCATGGAGAGGCTTGATCTTTTCTTTGTGCTAGCAGCCCAGTTGCTGTCTGTCTTCTCAGCTTCTGCCTGGTCTCTGACTCAGTCTGCCATTTCCTCAGGGCATGGCATCCCACGTACATTGCTGATGATCACCCAGCCACCATGTGAGGTTCAATGCCTGAGGACTATTCTTGCCACTGGACAGATGAGCAAACCAAAGCCCAGATAATCTATCTTGCTTGTGTAATCTCTTAATAGTCTAACTTCTTTAACTGGCTGTGGGCTCCGGGGAGGCAGGGATCATGTCTGGTGTGTTTGCTGTTGTAGCCTCAGTGCCCACCTCAGTGCCTACTTTGGGGCTGGCATTCAATGAAGGTTGATTCTCTTAATAAAAAGAATCCTTGTTACCGGTTTTTTTTTTTTTTTTTTTTTTTTTTTTTCCCAGAACTCAAGCAGAATTGTGGTTCTCAGCCTGGTGTACTTTCAAGTGCAAGAATTACTGGAAGCACATTGGAGATTTTGCCCCCCTCCTCCCCCAGGGGACTTGGGGCAATGTTCACTTGGGGCAATGACACTTTCAATTGTCAAAACTGGGAAACAGGTGCTACTGGCATCTAGTAGTTAGAGGCCAAGAATGCTGCTAAACATCCTATAATGTACAGGATAGCCTCCTACAACAAAGGGAACTATGACAAAAATTATCCATTCCAAACATGAGTGGTGTAGAGGTTGAGAAACACTGGTATTAATAGAATTTGCAGCCTCTGGGGATGGAGAGTCCCTGCAAAAGTTGCAGTAGCAGAGGCAGCAGCAGGCTCTTCTGTGGCCAGAACCAGCCCTTTTCCTTCCTAAGGGGGTTTCTGCAAAGCTCAGATCACAGACAGGCCTTGCTGGGGCAATCTTTCTTAATGGGCTGTGGCTGACTTAGCTCCTGCTTCACGAAGTGTGTTGTAAGTCCTCCTGACTTACTTAAAGCTGGTAGAAACGTTGTTGGCATGACATGCCTGCATGGCCATGTGAAAGATGCATCAAAAGGTAAAAAAACAAAACAACCCCACCCCCCTGAAAACTACCTTCTCTTTGGCTTAATAATTTCTTTTCCAGGAATAAAGCCAAAGTAAATAATTGAAGAAATACATAGCAATTTATCTTGGGGATATTCAGGGCAATGTTGTTTATAGTAGCAGTAAGTCAGTAGGGAATGCTACATTGTGATACACTCATATAATGTGCATTGAGGGTTGCATTTAGCTTCAAGAAACCAAGAATGTGACCAAAGGGGCTTTAACAGATGGATTAATTTATTGCAATAAGAAGTCCAGAAATAGATCATTTCAGGCTGATGCAGCAGCCCAAGAATATCATTAAGAACCCAGACTCCATCTAATTTTGTACTTTCATTCTTAAGGTTACAAGATGGCTTCCTCTGAAGGTATGACTTTAGCATGATGGAGGGGAGGAAAGAGGAAAAGGGCAAAAAGGCATGAGTCTATCCATTTTTATGAACTTTACCTGAAGACACACCCAGTGATATCTGCTTTCAGCTATCGGCCGCAACTGTTCCAGGGCTACTCCTAACTGCAAAGGAGTCTGGGAAAGTAAGAATTTTTGGCTTTCCAGATTCTTTAATAAGAAAGTTAGAGGAGTAGGAAGGAGGTCATAAAACCAAATGCTGTCAAGTAGTCAATTTGTTGTATCTGCCACAACAAAGTAGACTTTAGAAATTGTTTGGTAACATGAAAATTTTCAGGCAATGTAAAGTTTGGCCAAAAAAAAAAAAAGATTCAAAAGCATAGCCACAATATTATTTTAATTTTCAAAACAAAATGATATTTTTACATTTGTTACAGAAAAAATCTGGGAGAAAACCTACTTGTGAGGGTGACTCTGGGATTTTTAAGTTCTTTCTCTCTCCCTCTACTTTTTAACATGACCTTTTAAAATAAGTTTTGTTTTTCAAACCCCAAACTGGCTAATCTTTACCAAAACACTGAAGGCCAGACCCCTTCCTAGACTCAGGGCTTCCTAGATGCTGTGCTTTGATGTGGTGGCCCAGGGCACCATCATTCCCCAGAGCTAGGGCTGATCTGGGGGTATAGCAGTCCCCACCGCCTTGTTCCTTAGGCTGCTCCTGAGAGCTGTCTCGTGGAACTTCACTCCTGTGCCTGTTTCAGTAGGACTGATGTGCTCCTACCAAGGGATCTCACACTAAGCTGTTATCAGTCACTCTACCAAGTGGGAGTGAGATTCCTGTGTCAAAAGTAGAGACCTTTGACCCTGGAAGTAGAGAGTAAGCTGAGGCAGAATCTCCAAGGCAGATAAAGAAATTTAATGACTGGAAATGAGGAAAGCAAGCAGGTGACGGGTTGTCCTTCTGGCCTTGTCTGGGGTTGCCTTGACCTAAATGAATGGAGGGAGTGGTAGGCAGGGGCGGTGGGTGGGTACCATCTCCAGGGTTGGGAGGCCTGGGTCTGTCACCTCACCTCTCTGATCCTTAGTATAATAGCAGACAAATCGGTCACCTTCATTGAGCACATCTACATGTTAAGTTCTCAGCACTCATTGAATACTCCCAGCACCCCCATGAAGAGGGTGCTCTTATGATTACGATGTCACAGATAAACTTCATGAGGCAGCAGAAAATGGCTGCCCTGAGGTTTGCTGCCTGTGTTCAGGCTCTTCCCTCATGAGCAGTATGACTTGGAAAGTTATCTAAGTGCTCTGTGCCTCAGTCTCCTCTCTAAAATGGAGATAATAATAGAGTCTACATTATGGGATTGTTATGAGGAATAGTTGAATTAATGCGTGTAAAAAGCCCAGCACTGGGTCTGGCAAATCAAGTCAATAAAATGTCAAGTTCTATGAATATTAGAATTTTGTGCAGATCAAAAGAAATAAAGTACATCAAATGACAGATACATAGAATGTGTACAATAAATGTGTCTACCTCATATGCCTCGCACCTGCTTCGTTCACTCCTGTGATAGATAGATGAGGAACTAAGGCCTGGAGAATAAAAAGGGATTTTCCAAGGTCACACAGTGAGAGTGGGGCAAATCTAGGTTCTAAAAACGAGTTTCCTGCCTTCTAGCAAAGAGCAGGATACACACAGCAAACTTCCCTGGGAAACTTAAAACAGGGAAAAATGGAAGTTGGCAAAGCACCTGGGGACAGGGGTCCTGTGCCACCCCAGGGTAGGAAATGAGCCTCAGGAAAGACTGAGAAGTCACCTGACACCACACCACATGGACCTCCTGTTTCTGTCCGCAGGGAGGGGCCACATGAGGCCTCCCCTCAACACCCCCTCAGCCTCAGGTAGCCCTTCCCTGGGGTCAGACTGGGTATGCCTGAGCCATCTCAGACCTGGTCTCTCCTGGAACGAAAGGAATGCTCCTTGCTGTACTTGGGTTCCCTGAATAGTCACTGACTTTCGTTCTCCACATCCTGCTTTCTCAGGCTCAGCCCGGGCTGGCTGTCATGTGTCAGCTTGGATGACAGACAGCTCCAGAGCCCCACCACCTGGCCTTTCTCAGTAGCCTGGCCAGGAAACCAGATGTAAGGTGAAATTCAGCAGCCACTGACATCAAAGGCACCAAACTGATGTCACAGCTCCTGGGCCACTGGGGATCATTTGTTGACAGGATGACTTTGTAGGGAGACAACTCTGGGAAAGCCTGGTCTTCCCCCAGCCCCAGTCCCTGTCCTCACCCAGGGCTGATGGCCACAATATCAACTTTCTCTTGGAGGGCATGCAGCTACATGGTGTGTGGTTTCAGGACTGCTACACACAGTACACCGTGCAGAGTTGCTGGGCAGTCCCTGAGGTTAGCTAGGCCAGGCCCAAGATGCTTCTGGGTTGGTGAATGGCAATAAATGTGGTGTGAGACTGTTTTGAGCATTTTGTAAAGCTGATTAGAAAGCCAATGCTTTGCCAAAATGAGGAGTACCAGGTTATCTAAGACAGTTTGGCATTTGGCTGAAATTGCACCAATTCTATGTGGTCCCAGAGGTTAGCCCATCCTAGTCAACAGTACTGATTGGCTTTGATGACATTAGAATTCCTAAAATATAGGGGATAAAATAAGAGAAGTCCTTTATGGTGAGAAGGTGGTGACCCCCAGATTGCATCATCCCTGAGATTCTTTCTGCTTCTGAGATTCTAGTACTGAAATTGATTCTGAGTTCTGGGTGTTCAACCTGAGGTATACACAGGAGAGTGTAGGGTACTAGACAATCAAGAGGTTAACCTGCCTTACCTGCCTGTGATATTATCTACACCTGGAGATGTTTGGTTGAAAATCAGTAGATAATTTAAAACGTTATTTTTCTATGAAAACTTAATCCAAACTCTGCTTTCAATTGTTTGGACACCTTGTCATCCTTTTTGAATGCACTGGCCCTTTATCCTTTCTCTAACCCCTTCAGAATTACCCTGAAGAAAACATCTAGCTAATTCATATTAGACTTAACCCAATGGAAAGAATTTCATTGGTAGAATTTCAGGCTCCTAGAACAAGGTGGGTGCAGACTAAGGGCGGTGGGGTGGTGGTCACCTCTAGCTGGGGAGAAGGTTGGATGTCCCTGGTAGGCCTTGGGGTGGGGGGAATTCTGGATGTTTGCTGATCCCCCATCCGGTGCTCTGAGGCTCAACCTTCCTCTTCTCTTAGGTGGTGAAAGGGAGATTCATTTTCCTAAGGGGGCTTTGGGGCCTGGTCAGTGTTCTCTATAAGGGTCCCCAGGAATTCTTCCACTCAGGCTGGACTCAGTCATCTGCCAAAGGCCAGGAGAGTTGGCTGGGTTCAGGCCCAGAGTTGCATCAACCCCGTCATACCTCTCTGATCTAGCTACTGACTGTCCCTGTGTCCCTCATGGAGGGCAGGTCTCTCTTGGAAGGCAAGAGAGACAGAGGAAGGGCACTAGACCTGCTGCAGGGAGCTTGGGCAGGACTGACAGGGGACTCTTCATGCTTGTCTTCAAGGCTTTTCAGCATCGGGCTCTTTTCTGAGAGACAGAATGGCAGGTAGGCAGATGAGGAGCACTGGGGGCTGCCAAGGCCCTCCCCAGCTCTGCCATGCTGTACATCCACAATCTAAGGGCTGGGAACCTGAAGGCAGTTCTTGTAAAAGGAAAATGTGGAGTCTTCTCAGGGGCAGAGGGGCACTGTAGTTTAGAATACAAGTCCAAGCCTTTCCTGCTTGGCAAGGGCTGTCTAGTGTATCTTACATCCTTCCATCTAAGACAGTTTTGCATTTGGCTGAAATTGCCCCAATTCTACATGGTCTGCATTTTTTTCTGGAAACCCTATAGGGAGAAGAATGAGAGAACAGGGAGTAGAAAAGAGAGAGTGGGTGAGAGTGGCTGCCACCAGAACAGGAAGGGCTTGGACTTGTGTTGATGCTGTTTGCCAGCCCAGAGAGCACAACCTAGGTGTGCTGGCCAATGGCTGGAGCCTGGAGACTTGAGAAAATATTAATATCTGACTAAGGAATGGGCTCTTTCTTCTCCCACTCCTAAGTCATGCTTCTGCCCCAGAACTCTGCCTATGGGCCTCAGACAGGGCACTGAGGTGTATCCCAGCCTTCTCTACAGCCCTAGCCATAGCCAATGGGAGCTGACAAGCAGCCTAAAAACACACAGCAGCCTGACGCCCCACTAATCTCCGCATCATCTGTGGGTGAATGTTTCCAACAGAGGTGGAGGAGATGATAAAAGGAGCAGTGTTTCTGCATGCAGCACTTCTATTGAAGCATGTTTGCATGGCAATTTGCATCAGCACATTTTTAATATCCATAAACCCATGCCGGCAAGGATGGGAGCAGCCTTGTGCCAAAACTTCAGGCTTTGCAAATGTCTGGACTTAGGAGGGAGTGGCCAGTAAGCAGGCAGGAGGCTGTCTTACTGGCTGGATTCCTCCAGCATGCAGTGTCCACACCACATGCCCTTCTGGGGTTTCCTGAAGCCTCTGGCCCAGCTCCTCAGAGTTGCCATATCTAGGCAAACCCCTATCCAAATAGCTACTCTTGCAGTTTGGTCTCAGAAAGCATGCATGTTTCCTTAGGGCAAAGTTGTTTATCACTCAGAGTTGAACTAACAACTTTCACTCCTGATTGATGGGGCTGATAGTCAAAAAAACACTGCTTCCTAATGATGGCAGATATTCAAAGTGCTGTTCCACAGGACATCACACGCATGGTGAGAGGGCCAGGAATGACCCAGAAGGCAGCATTTAGTCCCTCAACCTTCCCATAATGTTTCTAGAAATGTTTGAGGAGCAGAAGTTGCTACCAAGAATGATAAAACTTGGTCCCTGATCTCAAAAGTCAGTTGGGAAAAATGAAGGTCTCAAGGAGTCAGTTTGGAAAATAAAGGACAAAATGGATAGAAAGGACAGTTATAGGACAGTGAGTGGTATGTGAAGAGAACAGCAGCTACTTCCCTGAATTGAGGAATAGGTTGTCATTCCCACTGAGGTTATCAGAGAAAGCTTTGTGGAGACAGGGTCATTTGAAGGATGGGCCACTTTCCAGTGTCAAGGTGAAAAGCATAGAGTCCTATTGCTGAGGATGGGGCAGTGACAAGTTGGGACCTTTGGCCCAGTATGGGTATGGAGTTTGGATCTGGAAGAAGGAATGGTGATAATGAGAGAGGAGTATTCCCAACTAAAGGCTCTGAGTGCAGAAATGTAGAAAACACCCAAGGAAACTGTTAGCTCCAAGAGAAGCCCCACCTGCTTGTCTGGTTTGGCTCCACTTGGACACCAGAATCTTTCCTCTAACACCCAGGTAGTATCCACTTGGTCCAGGCATTTTATTTGTCCATGTCTAGAGGGAGAGGTTCGTTAATTCCTGACTTTACAAAGACCACATATGGTGTAGTTGGGAGTTACTGAACATACCACAATGTGCTATGGGGTTAATTACCAATGTCTCACCCAGACCCTCCTCACCAAGGAGCTGGTGGTGGCCTTCAGTTAGCAAGACCTAGAAAAAAACACAGCTCTAGTGTGGACAGAAGGGCTTGTCCTCCAAATTCTGTTGACCTTTTTGGGTCTGTCCTGTGACAATTTGTGTCCAGATTGCAACATCTAAAGGTGTTAGTGTTTATGAGTTTTTGTAGATAATTCTCAAGCCTGCTAATGAAGTTACTTGAAGTTTCCTCAAAAAATGGAATGATCCTAAGGAAAAAAGTGGTTAGCTTTCTGGGACTGGGCTAAGAAGGGCACTATATGTGGTGGGCTTTCCTGGGCCTCTAGATCACTCAGGAATACTCCCCACCCCATTCCACTCTCCCTGCCATCCTGCATAGTGATGCCCATCTCCTGTCACCTGCTCTGGGTTTGGAGGAAGGGAGAGAGTAGGTGTGTGTGGCTTGCAGAGTCCAATTTGAATACTGAGATGGCACCTGAAGGTCCCAGGGACTTTCTGGGAGAAAAGGCAGAGGAAAGGGAGGTCCTTTCCTGACTTTCCTTCAGGCACAGTTCAACCATCTGCCTCTGGGGAGGTTAGTGATGGGGAAGATCGAGGCCCCTAGAGAAGCCATCAGTTTTCCTCACAAGAGCAAGGAGATGAAAGAAACAGCTCTGAATCCTAATTCTTGGGGAACACCAACATTAGCCAAAATGGATACATACATACGGACACCAAGATAATAATTTATTAAAATTGGATGGGAAAAAGGATACTCCTTCCTAATCTCTGTAGACAAAGGCCTTCCAGTAATAGCCTTTCACTGACTCTTCACCAACTTCATCCATATAGTTTTTTCCATTTCCATGTAGATGTTCCAAGAGGGAAATTATAATAATCCCAAGCATCTTTCATTTTAAGGCCTTCCAAAGAGTTTATCATGTTGTGAATTGTGGTACTATTTGTGCTCAGTAGCTCAGTAGATATAGAAAAAGCAATTGATATATTTCAGCATCTATTCATGATGAAAACACTCAGCAAACTAAGACTAGAAAAGAACTTCCTTAATCTTATAAAGCATTCAAAAATCATTATCAAAAATCCTATACCTGACATCATACTCAATGGTGAAATATTGGACACTTTCCTCCTGAGGTTGGAAGCAAGACAAGTATGTCCACTATCACCTCTTCTTTTAGCATTGTACTGAAAGGCCCCAGTGCAATAAGATACAGTCATCCCATGGTATCTATTCGGGATTGGTTCCAGGATTCCCTGTGAATACCAAAATCTATGGATGCTCAAGTCCCTATATAAAATGATGTAGTAGTTGCATAAAACCTATGCACATTCTCCCATATAATTTGAATCATCTCTAGATTACTTATAATACTTAATACAATGTAAGTGCTATGTAAAGAGTTGTTATTCTGTATTGTTTAGGGAATAATGACAAGGAGAAAAAGTCAGTACACGTTCAGTACAGATGCAACTATTCTTTTTTTTTCTCCAAACGTTTTTGATCTGTAGTTGGTTGAATCTACAGATGTGGGACACAGGGATATGAAGAGTTGACTGTATAAGGATTGGAAAGACAGAAGTAAACATGTTTTTATTTGCAGATGAAATGATGGCATATGTAGAAAATCTAAGTGAATCTCTAAACTACTGATAATTATTAATATAAATAAGTACATTTAGTAAGATCACTGAATCCAAAAGCAAAATATAAAATATTATTTCTATTTATATAACTAGCAACAAGCAACTAGAAAGTAAAATTTTAAAAATGATACTATATATAATTGAATCAAAAGTTAAATTCCTAGAATAAGCCAACTAAAGATGTAGAAGACTGAAAATCATAAAATGGTGTTCAGAGAACTTAAAGAAGATCTAAGTAAATGGAGAGATGTTTTATGTCTATGGATTGGAAAATTCAATGTTGTTAACATATCAGTTCTTTCCAAATTCATCTATAGATTCAACTCAACCCTAATCAGGATCCCAGCAGATTTTTTTTGGTAAATATTGACAAATTGATTCGAAACTTTATATGGCAAAGCAAAAGACCTAGAGGCGTCATTAAATCTTGAAGAGTAAGAACAAATCTGAAAGATTTTCACTACCAGATTTCAAGGCTTACTATAAAGCTGAAGTAATTAGAACAGTGTAGTATCAGCATAAGGATTGGAAAATAAACTAATGGAACAGAATAGGAAGACCCACTACGTAGCCCCTTGATTTACAACAAAGGATCCACTGCAACTCAGTGGGGAAAAGATGGTATTTGCAAAAAAAGAATTATGCTGAAATAATAAGATATCTGTATATAAAAAATAAACAATTATCCCTACCTCATGCCCTGTAAAAATTTATTCAAGATGGACCATAGATGTTAATGTGAAAGGTAAAGTGATAAAGCTTCTAGAAGAAAAGAGGAGAAAATTTTCTTGACCCTAGGATAGGAAAAGATTTCTTAAACGGAACACAAAAAGCACAAAAAAGCATACCAGTAAAAAATTTAAAAAGTAAATGACAAGCCACAGATTGAGAGAAGATATTCACAATACAAATATCGAACAAAGGACTTCTATCTAGAATGTATAAAGAACCCTTAAAAATCAATAAAAAGATAATCTATTAAAAAAGAGAAATGCCTGAACAGATATTTTTTCAAAAGAAGGTCTCCAAATGGCTATAAAAAGCTAAAAAATTTTCAACATCATTACTCATGAGGGATATGTAAATTAAAATCAAAATGAGAAAACTCTACATCTTCATAGGACTGATAAGCTAACAATACCAACAACCTTATAATACCAAGTGTGGACAAGGTTATGGAGCAACTGGAACTCTCCCACACTGCTTTTTTGGAGTATTAATTGGTTCAACCATTTTGGAAAACTATTTGGCATTATTCATAACAGTTAAATGTATGCCTACCTTATAGCCAGCAATTTTACTCTGAGTTATATACCTAAGTAAATGGAGACATGTTTCATGTCAAGATAAAGACAGGTATAAGAATGTTCATAACAGCTTTATTTATATAGCTAAAAACTCAAAACAACCTAAATATTCATTTACAAGAGAATGGACAAATCAGAATATATTCATACAATGGAATACCACATATCAGTAAAAGAGAATGAACTTCGGATGCACACAACAACATGAATGAATCTTATAGGCATTATCTTGAGCAAAACAAGCCAGACATAAAGGAGTACATGCAGTACAATTGATATGAAAGTGTAAGAACAGGAAAAACTGCTCTATGGTGATAGAAGTAAAAAGTCAAACAGAGTTGAGCTCTAGTGGGATGGGTGGTGCTGACTGGGGCAGGGTATGAGATAACTTTCTGTGATGCTGGTCATGTTATATATCTTGATCTGGATGGTGGTTCCAATGTGTAGGCAAAAGCAAAAATTCATTGAGCTGTACACTTAAGATTTGTATGCTCTATTATATGCTATACCTCAATAAAGTGAAGTATAGCAATACCTCCATAGAAAATATTTTTTAAAAAGAGGAAAAAGAAAATGTTCAATTGACCCAAAATATCGAAACATGGGCTTTAGAAATCTAGATTTGAATCTGATTCTACCATTCACTGACTGTATCAACTTGAGAAAGTTACCCAACCTCTCTGAGCCTCATTCCTCTCATCCGAATATGGAGATAATAATATCTACCTAATAGGTTTACTCTGAGGAGTAAATTAAATAAGCACGTAGCTCAATGTTTGTCACATTGTTGTTAAACAAAAAAGAAAGAAAAAAAGCCAGTTGATGAGCAGGATGTGCTTATTGGCCATCTGTATATCTGTTTTGGAGGAATGTTCATTCAAGTTCTTTTTTCATTTTGAATCAGGCTGATTTGTTGTTGTTGAGTTTTAGGAGTTCTTTATATACTCTGGATATTCATCATTCATCTCTTCTTAGATACATGATTTGCCAATATTTCCCCTCATTCTGTGGGTTGCCTTCTTATTCCATTGATACTGTCTTTTATGTACAAAATTTAAAAATTTTCATGAAGTCCATTTTTTTTGTCTTCAGGAATTTTGTTTATTCTGATCTTACATTACTTATTATTCTTCATGATTAGTTGGAAAAGGAAATGCATATCTTTTTTAATTATACTTTAAGTTTTAGGGTACATATGCACAATGTGCAGGTTAGTTACATATGTATACATGTGCCATGTTGGTGTGCTGCACCCATTAACTCGTCATTTAACATTAGGTATATCTCCTAATGCTATCCCTCCCCCGTCTCCCCACCCCACAACAGGCCCCGGTGTGTGATATTCCCCTTCCTGTGTCCATGTGTTCTCATTGTTCAATTCCCACCTATGAGTGAGAACATGCAGTGTTTGGTTTTTTGTCCTTGCGATACTTTGCTGAGAATGATGGTTTCCAGCTTCATCCATGTCTCTATAAAGGACATGAACTCATCATTTTTTATGCCTGCATAGTATTCCATGGTGTATATGTGCCACATTTTCTTAATCCAGTCTATCATTGTTGGACATTTGGGTTGGTTCCAAGTCTTTGCTATTGTGAATAGTGCCGCAATAAACATAGGAGTGCATGTGTCCTTATAGCAGCATGATTTATAATCCTTTGGGTATATACCCAGTAATGGGATTGCTGGGTCAAATGGTATTTCTAGTTCTAGATCCCTGAGGAATCGCCACACTGACTTCATGAAGTCCATTTTTAATGATTGTTTTGTTGCCTCTGCCTTTGTCTGTCATATCCAAGAAATTGCTGCCAAATCCAGTGTCATGAAGTTTTTGCCCTGTGTTTCTTGTAAGAGTTTTATAGTCTTAGCTGTTATATTTAGGTCTTTGGTCCATTTTGAGTTAATTTTTTGTGAATGGTGTTAGGTAAAGATCCAGCTTGCCACTTTTGTATGTGAATATTCAGTTTGCTGAAACATTTGTTGAAAAGACTGTCCTTTTTTTGAAACGACAGTCATTTGTTGAAACGACTTTCAACATCATTTGTTGAAAAGACTGTCCTTTCCCCATTAAATGGTCCTGGCACCCTTGTCAAAAATTATTTGACCCTATATTCAGGATTTATTTCTGGATTCTCTATTCCGCTGGTCTCTATATCTGTCATTATACCAGTACCACACTGATTACTGTAGCTTTGTAGTAAGTTTTGAAATTGAGAAGTGTGAGTTCTCTGGCTTTGTTCTTCCTTTTAAAGGTTGTTTGGGCTATTTGGGGTCCTTTGAGATTCTATATGAATTTTAGGATAGATTTTTCTATTTCTACCAAAAACATCATTGAGATTTTAATAGGGATTATATTAAATCTATAGATCACTTTGGGTGGTATTGATATCTTGACAATATTACTTCTTCCAATACATGAACATGTGATATTGTTCCATTTATTTGTATCTTCTTTAATTTTTTAATCAATATTTCGTAGTTTTTGGTATACAAATATTTCACCTCCTTAGTTAAGTTTATTCCTGTTTATTCTTTTTGGTGCTATTATAAATGGAATTGTTTTTCTAATTTTCTTTTTCAGATAGTTCATTGTTAGTATATAAAAACACAACTGAGTTTTGCATGTTGATTTTGTATCCTGCAAGTTTACTGAATTCATTTATTATTTCTACAGTTTTTTAATGGAGGCTTTAGGGTTTTCTATGTGTAAGATTATGTCATCTGTGAACAAGGATAGTTTTACTTCTTCCTTTCTGATTTACATGACTTTTATTTCTTTTTCTTACCTAATTGTTTTGACTAGGACTTCCAGTACATATGGCAAGGAGTGGGCATCCTTGTCTTGTCTCTGATCTTAGAGGAAAAGGTTTCAGTTTTTCACCATGGAGGTGATGTTAGCTGCGGCCTTTTCATAGATAGCCTTTATTATGTTAAGGTATTTTCAAAATATATTACAAAGATACAGTAATCAAAACAGTATGGTACTGGCATAAAGACAGACCTGTAGACAATGGAACAGATGGAGTTGTTTCATTATATATCCATGGATAAATAAATCCATGCATATACAGTCAACTGATCTTTGACAAGGATACCAAGAATACATGATAGGGAAAGGATAATCTCTTCAACAAGAGGTGTTGGGAAAACTGGATAGTCACATGCAAAAGAATGAAATTGGACCCTTTATCTTATATACAAAAATCAACTAAAATAGATTAAAGGCTTAAAATGTGAGGTGTGAAACTGTAAAACTTGTAGAAGAAAATGAAAAATTTCATGACATGAGTCTTAGCATTATTTCATGTATATGATACCAACAACACAGGCAACAAAAACAAAAATAGAGAAGTAAGACTACATTAAACTAAAATCTCTGTACAGCAACAGAAACAACTAACAGAGTTAAATATTTTCTAGGAGAAAATATTTGCAAACCATCTATAATAAGGGGTTAATTTCCAAACTATATAAGGAGCACCTGTTACTCAATACAAAAAAAAAACCTAATAACTTGATTTAAAAATGGGCTAAAGACTTGAATAGACATTTCTTCAAAGAAGTCACACAAATGGCAAATAGGTATATAAAAAGATGTTCAGCATCACTAATCATTATGGAAATGCAAATCAAAACCACAATGAGATACCATTTCACATCTATCAGGAGGGTTATTATCAAAAAAACAAAAGGCAAGAAGTGTTGGTGAGGATATGGAGAAGTTGGAAGCTTTGCATGCTGTTGGTAGGAATGCAAAATGGTGCAGCAGTTATGGAAAACAGCATATAGGTTTCTCAAAAATTTAAAACTAGAACTACATATCCAGCAATGCCACTTCTAGATATTTTGAAGTCAGGATATTGAAGAGATATTACCACCTTGTGGAGGGAAAGTTAAATATTAAATTTGAACTCAATTGAACATAGACAGAAACAATGGTCACCAAGTCCCACAACAGTTTGTGTGAGCCCCTTGAGACACTCATCCAGCACTGTTTCGGAGAAATCTCTATTTCAATCTATTCCTATATGTTAGTTATTGAAAAACAATAGACAATCGCAGAAACAAGCTGACCTTTTTGTGTTCCTTGAGCCCAGTCGCGAAGGGCCTTTGTGACTGGGCCTCATGCCAAACAACTTGTTATAAAAAGAGCTAGGGTCCCAGATTGTACTGAAACTTCATGAGACCTTTTCTCGTCTGTGCACGGATGAGTGGCCGATTCTGGAGCTCAGGCTGTTGCTTCCCAGTCTGCTGGTGAATCCTCCATAGTCTGGTGAGTGTAAATATATATCTCTCTTTTCCCTTCTCCTCTTCCCATTGCAATTTCCTTATTATATCATTTGCTTATTACATCATTTGCTTATTATATCATTTGCTTATTATGTCTGCATTGTCATTTACAGGGGTTAAAGCTTGTTTAGCCTTAAAGGTATTGTGTGTGTGCCTTTTCTTTTCCCCTTGAGCATTTCCCGCACAGAACACACTCCCATGTTCATTGCAGCACTATTCACAGTATCTGAGATTTGGAAATAGGCTAAATGTTCGCGGATTGATGAATGGATAAAGAAAATATGGTATATATTGTATATGGTATACAATGGAATATTATTCAGCCTTAAAAAGGAAGGAAATTCTTACAGTGTTACAACACGGATAAAACTTTAGGACATTATGCTAAGTGAAATAAGCTAGTCACAAAAAATAAATATTGTATGATTCCACTTATGTGAGTTACTTAGACTAGTCACAGTCTTAGAGACAGAAAGTAGGATCATGGTTTCCAGGGGATGGTAGGTAAGGAGAATGGAGAGTTAATTAACTAATTAGTTAATCAATGGGCAAGAAGTTTCTGCTAAGTAAGATGAAGAAGTTCTAGAGATCTGTTGTGCAACATAGTGCATATAGTTAATTATGCCGTATTGTATACTTAAAATTTTAGTAAGAGGTTAGATATCACGTTAAGTCTTCAAACCACAATAAAATAAAATTTTAAAAAAATAATAGTTTGTTTTAAAGGGAACTCCAGGGGAAAATAGCATTAGGTATCCCCTACTCCCCTTGTCTGAGGCCTCCAGGAGTTGGGAATGTGGAGACCCTGGGTTGATGACATCTAATTGGGAGTGTCCAGTTGGGTGGGAGAAAGGGTGATGGCTCCCTGCCACCACCCCCCCAATCCTCCCACCTACAAAGAGAAAAATAAGAACCAGAGGCCCTAGGCACGGCCGGGAGGTCTTGTCCTGACAGCTTCCTCCTGGAACAATGAGCTGACACTGGATAGTCTGCAATCACCCGCCAGTTACTCTTCCTGTCTCAACTCAATCAGTTTTTCAGGAATCGGGAATGAGGTGGGGTCTCTGAATGTGCAGGTTCCGGTTGGACAACCTCAGAGCCCTTAAATGCATTCCAGTTCTGTGGCTTCTGAGCTGACTGCTTTGCTTGCCTGGTTTTAGAGGGATGCTAAATAAAAAAAGATTGCCAACCAAACTAGTTGGTTTCAATTTCCTTTGCCTAAAGATGTCATGGATTGTGTTTATGCTGGTGGTCTCTAATGCTGGAGTGGCTGCTTCCCCAAGCAGCTGCTGCAGTCACATGCTTGTTGGGAGGAAAAGGGTAACTGTCAGAGAATTTCTGCCTTGCACTATGGTTAAGTCTTCCCTTTCCCAGGCTGATTTAAGTTTTTACATCATGCTTTCCAAGTCTCTGTCTGCTCCATGTTAGCTTCTGGAGGCAGAGAAGGAAAAGCATACAGTCCCTATCCTCTTAAGAACTCACAGTTGATGAAGATGAGCATGCCTATATCACAAGTGATAGTTAGCGTGTAGGATAATAGAATGGGCTTGGGGGAAGGTACCTGACTCCCTGATTAGTGGGATAGGACTTTGGCTGGCAAACAGGACTCCTGGATTGTAGACCTACATCTGCTACTTATTGTACATCACTGTGCAAATGGAAACCCATCCCTTAATCTCCAAGGCCTCAGTTTTGACTTGTATAAAGTGGGAGAGAGGACTATCTATTTTAGCATTCACACAGAACCATTATGTGGGGCAGAAAAGAGCTGTGAAGGTGCCTGGGGAGGGTACAAAAGTAATTTGGGTTCCAGTGTTTATCAATGCCCTGTTTGCTGCTGTCAGTGAACAAAGTGCTATTACTTTGGTGTTGCAATACAGAAATCATATCTTGAATTTTTTGTTCTCTGGGTATACCCAGAGCCCTCTTAGAGCTCCCAAGAGCAGTCTCAGGCTGCTGTTCAAGATGCACTTCAAGATGAAGGTGAGGTTGGGCCAGCTGTCCAGACAGAATCCTCCAGAGAACCATGGGGTACAACTGTCCATAGATTCAGACTTGATGGAAGGAAGCTGGGAGCTAGGATGGGAAGGGGCTTGCAGTTATACAGAGTAAGTCCTATCCTACAACTGCCCTAATTTATAGTAGAGTCTGGGTTTGTTTCCCTGTTCCTCACCCTGGGCCTTTGATGAGTATTACAGTGTTTCTGCCTGGATGAAGCAGTATCAGAGGAAGCTGGAGTTAGAGGGTCACAGGATGAGCAGTGCTTCTGAGGGCAGTTCAGGGTGACAGGAGGAGGACTGATGCACCCTGAGGAGGGGTGACTCTCAGGTCAGAGGGTCAGGAGGCAGGGACCAGTTTAGAGGAAAACTGCCTTCCCAAGATGCTGTTCTCCATCCATTGGAACCCTTATACTTACTCATCTGTCTCCTTCTCCACTTTCTTTCTCTTCTCCTTGCCCTTCCTCTTTCCTTTCCCTTCCTTTTCCTGTCTCTTCCCCTCTCCTTTTCTTTCCCTCTCTCCTCAAAACCAGCTCTGCACAAATACCCCAACTTCTCCAGGTATGCTCTGTCTAGAAACAGCAGCACAAGCATCTCTTCCCATATTTATTCATTACAAGTATATTTTTGTTACCTCTTTGATTATAGTTACAATAACGGCTTTAAAATTCTAGTCTGCTAACTCCAACAACTGGATCTTTATTGTCTTGTCTTTTCTTTTGGCAATTAGTCAAGCTTCCTTGTTCTTCATGTTGTAATTTTTTCATATCCTGGACATTGTGAATGTAATATTTTGGATGCCCTGGACTCTGTTCTATTCTTATGGATGGTGTTGATTTTTTTTGGTTTGTTTTAGCTGGTAATTTGCTTGTTTGGATTCAAACTGCAAACTCTGTCTCTGGGGCAGCAATACAAATCTCAGCTGAGTACTTTTGTTATAAGCTGGGCAGGTTTGAGCCTATTCCATGCATGCAAGGTTCAGCAATTAGCCAGAGTTTAGCCAGAGTTTTTACATAGAATTCATGGCTCTTTGTCTTTGGCTCTCTACTTTCTAGGATTACTCCTTTACTTTTTGGCAGCTGAGGTTTCTCTGAGCTTTGTTCTCTGGTTCTCTAAGTCAGAAAAACTATAGGTTTTCAATAAGAGTGTGAGTCACCCTACAGGCTACTCACTACTCAGTGTGTATTCAAGATGATTTTGAACTATCTACAAGCTGAAAGCCGTAAAAATGGGAAATATCCTGGGCCCCATTCCTTCTTCCAGATGTCAGCTTCCCTCCAACATCTGCCTGCTTTCTAGTTCCTTTGGATAGTTGCATTTTTTATTTTGTCTAGAGTTAATAGTTACAATTGCTGGGAAGTTTGGTCCAGTGGGTCTGTTGACCATATCATAAGCAGAACTCCTCCTACTATTTTTCTATTTTACCATTTTTAGAAGGTGGCTTCATTTTTCAAGACAGTCTCATGGTCGCAAGATGGCTACTGCAGCTTCAGCCATTATGCCAACATTCCAGGCTGGAAGAAGAATGAAGGAGGAAGAGTAAGATGTGTTTTTCAGCTACAGCAGCCATCCTTTAGAAGGTTTTTTCATTATTCTCACCTAACAACTTTTATCTATATCCCATTGATCAGAATTTAATTGCAAGGTTATAAATAAAATGTAATTATTAACCTGGGCACATTCCTATTCCCAATAGGATCAGAGTTAAGTTATTATGGTAAGAAATAAGGGAGGATTACTCTCAGAAAGGCAATTAGAAGATCTCTCATTTCATAGACATAATATGAAGTTTAAAAATGTTAATACCTATTAAATGCTTAGTGTCATTCATGGAACTTCATAAATCTTGCTTTTAGTATTGATAGGAATTTCATAATAGACATAATAAGCCTAGGCCATGATGAAAATCCCAAAGAGAGATAGAGCCCAATTTGGAGTAGAGGGGTGTCAGGGAAGACTTCCTGGAGGCAGTGACTACTGAATCTAAAAGACAAATAACCATTAATCAGATAAGAGAGGAAATGAGTCCCAGGCAGGAGGAACAGCATTGAGTAAAGGCTCAGAAGTAAGAAACAACCTATTGTGTGTAGGGATATACTAATATTCTGCATAAAGTATGGAATGGTGAAAGAAGAGGTGGCAGAGGTAGTCAAGGACTAAGGCACAGAAAGGGGCTGATTCATCTCCAGTGTCTAAGAATGTGCTCAGAATATAGGGGGCGAGTCTTATGTGTGGTCAGGTAGCAGTTGAGTTGGAGAAGTACATGCACACACACAGCTGAGTTCACCTAACCCCACAGGACTCCCGTAAGAGAGATGCCTGGTAGGAAGCGAGCCCTGTGGCCCAAATACTGTAGACATTTTCCTCCCTGGGAGTTCAGGACAGAGGTGAAGCTGTGGCCTGGGTGGTCACTGTGGCCTCCTGAGAGATCCAGACCTCACATGCCCCATAACTCTTCTCAAGGATAGGAACTTTCAAAAACATGCTTGACAAGTTTGGTCAAACAGGAAGACAAGAGCTGATAGTGTGGGAAGGAGGCAAGGGTGGTGGCTCGCTGCCTGGGCCTTTTCCAACCTCCTCTTCCCACCCTCACCCTAGACCAGATTTGGTCCTGAACTCCCAGAATCCCTCAAGTGTGGGCTTGGGAGGGGAGCATGCACCTATGCACCAGAAGTGCCTGGGAGGAGTCTGCGGGCTCCGCCTCTGCCTTTGCCCCAGCATCCTCACAGTGTCAGCCAGGAACTCTCTTCTTTTAGCTTATTCTGTTTCTGCTGAAAGCTCCTCCTGGCTCACAAGTTCTAGATCTCTGTGTCTCTCCTGACCCCTCTCTGCAGTATTGTGTACCATTCAGTTTAGTTCACATTCATTGCACACTTATGAGGTTCCAGGGCCCTATCCTGGGCCTGGAAGATATCTTTCTGTGATGTGTGTGTGTTTGTGTGTAGGATTAGTTATTAGATATTAGAACATAGTAGATCTACCTTGTCCTTCTTTATGCTGTGGAGAAATATTTGTGGTTTTGGCCATTCCTTCATTAGTGGGTGTGTAGGCTGTTTCTGGGTCTCTGGTATTCCCATAATGCTGCAGTAGCATGCCTGTGTGTACCTCCTTTGCACAGGCCTGCACAGGGGTGAATGGCTCAGCGAGGCCTGGCAGTGAGAGGGGAATGGCGGGGAATCTAATGGCAAGCTGTCCTCTGGAGCAACTGTACCAATTCACATTCATGTGTGTCATGACTATCAACCCACCTCCCCACATTCTTTAATATATTTTACCATATATATTTAAAATGTTGTCAATAGAATTATGTTTTTATTTGCTTGCCTTCTGCACCAGACTCTGAGATTCTCAAGGTCGGGGACTATTCATGCCTTGCTCAACTTGAAGATATTTTAAAAATTCCATTTTCCTCCTCTATTGATTTAGAAAGTTTATACTCTCATTTTAGTGGTTACTCTTAAAGTTTTAACATGTGTCTTTGACAAGGTAGCAAAAAATAAAAGTTTTAACATGTGCCTTTCACACTGAAAGGCAATTATCCTCTTGCCATCTTCCATACCTTGCTTGTTATCAATGTCCACTAATTTAGTTTCAAGTCATTTTTTATCCCAACATGAACCTTTATTGTTACTGTTCAATAGAACTGATACTTGTTGAACTTTGCCCACCTATATACTATTTTCTTTGTTCTCAAGTCCCTTGTGTGTATGAGATCTTTCTGGAATCACTTTCCTTCTTCCTTTGGTGCTTTAGTGAGGGCATATAGTAGTCAACTTAGTTCTTGGTCTGAAATGGCTCTTGTCCTCTTATTCATAAGTGAGTGTTATGTTCGGTTCAGAATTCTAGGTAGATAGTTATTTTCCCTTAGCACATTGAAGATGTTATTTCACTGCCTTCCTGCTCCCATTGTTGTGGTTGAAAACATTGCTGCTTGTCTGCTTGTTCTTGTACAAGTGATCTGTAGTCTTTTTCCTGTAGTATTTTTAAAGATTCTGTATTCTACAGTTTCCCTATGATGTGTCTACACGTGAATTCTTTTGTTTTGTTTTTTTTGATGGAGTCTCGCTCTGTTGCCCAGGCTGAAGTGCAGTGGTGCGATCTCGGCTCACTGCAAGCTCTGCCTCCCAGGTTCACGCCATTCTCCTGCCTCAGCCTCCCAACTAGCTGGGACTACAGGCACCCGCCACCACGCCTGGCTAATTTTTTTGGTATTTTTAGTAGATGTTAGCCAGGATGGTCTTGATCTCCTGACCCCATGATCTGCCCGCCTTGGCCTCCCAAAGTGCTGGGATTACAGGCGTGAGCCACTGCGCCCGGCTGAGAATTTGTTTTTACTTATCCTGCCTGGGTTACTTGTGGTTCCTGAATCTCATTATTTACGTCTTTTATCAATTTTCAAAAATTCTTAGCCATTATTTCTTCATTATCTCAGAAGAAATTCTAAATGTCTTCTTCAGGAACTCCAATTAGACATAGTTTAGATCTTCTCATTCTATCCTCCATGCCTCTTAGTCCTGCTTACATTTTTCATCTCTCTCTCTCTGTGCTGCACTATTAGTAATATCTTTAGATCTGCCTCCCAACTCACAAATTCTCAATTGCTTAACCAATTTCATTGGGCCTTAAACTTCAATAATTTGAGTTTCTATTTTAAGAGGTTTTATTTATTTACTTTCCAAATAGGCCTGGCCATTTTTAATAATCTCTGTTCCTTGCTGAGTTTTTTCTTCCCTGTTTTACTTCATTAAACATTTTAAAAATATACCTATTTTATGTATTATATCTAATCATTCCAATGTCTCAGGTCTTTCTGGGTATAAGTCTGCTATTGGTTGCTTGTGATGATTCTCACTTACTGTTCCTCATGTGTCTTATAACTTTTTTTTTTTTTTTTATTGTGAGCTCTACTTGACTGCTCTACTCCTGCAGGGAACCTAAGGGACCTGGGTTGATGACGTGCTCTTCCAGAAAGAAGTTGCTTTTGCCTCTTCCTGTTGTCCCAGAGAACCACCAGCCTGGGGATGCTTTAATTCCTTGACTTGGGGTTTCTTGAACTGGGCAGGTAGTGTAAATTTGAATCCTCGACCTGCAGGGTGAGGCTATGGTTATGAATTGTCAGTGGAGGCTTTATTCTTTTATTTTCCTTTCCCTACTTGGATCTGAGCCTAAGATAGCCTAGTTGTTTCCCTTTGCTGTGTGCAGATTCCTTTTCTAGTCTATCCTTGTACTTAGGATGTAGCTCTTCAAGAAGCCCAGCTTCTGTTGTGGGAGTGGGGCAGGGTGGGGGAGCCTAAGACCTTGTATCCTCTGTTGCCAATAAACCCTGTCTCAGCAAATGCCTGACAGCTTTGCTGGGGCAGCGTTGGCTCCACAGGCTGGAGTCCTGTCTCCTCTCCACTTCTGACATTTAGAGAGTTCTTATTTTACTACAAGTTCAGTTCTGCATTTAAAAAGATGTTTGATGTATTTCATCTAGTTTTCTTTTTGTATTAGGAGGTTTGTTTGTATGGCCCCTGCTCATCCCCCCTCCATCAATAGAATATCTAATTCACAATACCACCAGAAGCAGAAATCCTTATGAGGATTTTGAAGTATGACTAGGATTCCAGTGCTCCCCCAGGGTTCTGTGGTGGGCACCTCTGTGGCATAGTCTAGTGCCCAAACCTTTGTGTCTTTAATTGTTTTGTATTGCTGATATTTTACTCAGAATTTTTAGCTCTTTGCAAATTCCTCAGGCTTGGTATGTGGTTCTAGGCCAAGTGTGCCTTCCTGCCACAGAGCATTTGTGTGGCTCAGCCCCATGATGACCCCTTCTGCCTCTAGTCCAGTGTTGGCCCACAAGTCATAGGAAGCATCCCAGACCCTTCCACAAGGGGTAAGTATATGACTTCTCAGCAGAGGGATGTGTCTGTACACCTCCTGCCCTGTCTCTGCCTCCTCAGTCTCTCTGAGATGTGGACCTTGGTCTCAAGACTCTGTTTCCCTGTTGGAAAGCCTGCCCTCCCTGTTCCCTCACCTGGACCCAGGTTAGCACCTGCTGTAGCACTTGAGATGTCATGGTTAGAGATCTGTTCCCTGCGATTGTCCCTTCTTAGAACCCATCTAGAATACAGATCTGTTCATTTTTTATTCATTATTAAGATCTTAGTGTGAATGAATTTGTCTGATACTGTAATAATAATGGTAATAACCAGTATTTATCAAGTTCCTATAGTGCACTAAGTGATATTTATTGAGACCCCACACTGACAGCACAGATAGGGAAAGATTAATCTGTAGATCAAGATATGACCTGGAGTCGGGGGCTGGCCAAGGGATCACTAAGATGGGTTCCAGGTGTGATGGAGTTCATGAGGTCCCTGGGGGGCTTGGAAAGGGAGGGGGACAGGCAGATCTTTGTCATTCATTCAGTCAACAAACACTCCCTGAGTGTTCTGAGTGTCAGGCATTATGCAGGCTGCTGGGGATGCTGATAGGAATAAAGTCTGGCCTCTGCCCTCAGGAAGCTTAGAAGAGCCTGGCATGGCAAATTGCAGCATGTCACCCAAGATCATCTATCCTAGTCCTTCATTGTACAGATGAAGTAACTGAGGCACAGATAGGGGAGGGAACTGGCCCAGGGTTGCACAGCAAGTACTTTCCTCACAGAGATAGTGAGGCTGGCCATGGGGAGGTGCCCTACATCTCCCCCATCCCCTAGAAGTCATCTGCCCAGCAGATGATCTGGGCTGCAGTATGGAAGCCTGGGTCAGCTGTAGACTCTGCTCCCCCAGGGTCCTGTGGTGGTACTCCTATGGCTCTCAGAGGCCGTTGGGGCTGGGGTACAGTGGGGGCCCCTCTGCTTTCCCTCAGTCCCCAGGAAGGGCAGACTGCTAACTGAAAAGGCTCTGCTGCAGCCTAAGCTGAGGGGAGGGCCTTCCTCTCCCATCCAAATGAAACCCATGGTACAGAGCCGTCTTTATCATGTCCCAGCTGGGACTGCCTTGAGCTTGCTGGGAGTTGCTGGGGCTGGGAGCGAACCTCAGGACAGGCTGACACGGCAGAGAGGAGATAATTTCAATCTGCAGCCTCCAGATTGAGGGAGAAATGTAAACACAGGCTGCTGAGCCAGCTGGGCACCCCACTGGCTGGCCCTCCACAGAGCCCGCTGTGTAGGGAGTGGGGTTTCGTCTGTGACCTGGTTTTTCTCAGGTCACATGTGAGAGGGTGGCTGCTTTGGCTGCTGAGGTCCCTCAGGCCAGCCTCATCCTCAGTGAACCTGAATAATGCACTTGGCCTGACCAGCAGACGGGGAGGTGAGAGTCCCAGCCCAACACCAGACAGAGCTCCATCCGATCCTAGCTCCATTCCACACTTCGCTGTGGAGCATCCTTCAGCAAGTCACTTGATTTCTCTACACCTCAGTTTCCTCATCTGTAAAATGGGGGTCATTTTAGGACCACCTTCATGGCAGTGTTTGATTTTTATTCATTCTACAAATGTTTATTGGGTACTACTTAAGTTCTGGGGAGCATTCTAGGCATTGAGGATACAGCATGAACAAAATACAAAGCAGAGGCTGTCCCTCTACTCAAAGCTGAGAGTGAGGCTTCAGTGAGATGCTATGGCTAAAATGCTTGACACTGGCCCTGGCACGGAGAAAATGCTCAATAAATGGTAGTTACTGATTGTTATAATTAATTGAGTCAGTGCAGCCTGAGTCCATCTCCCATCCTCTTCACCCCTTCACATGGCTAACTTGTACTCAGCTTTTAGTATGTAGACGTTCTTTCCTTCAAGAAGCCTTCCCTGATTTCCTGAGCTGGATTATTTCCCTTTCTCTCCACTTTATTATGGCACTTATCACAGACCATTGTCACCTGTGCACTCTTCAAGGCCAGGCTAGATCTTGATCCATCCCTGGCACATTGCAGGTGTTCATTAAATGTTTGTTGGAGGCTGGGCATGGTGGCTAACGCCTGTAATCCCAGCACTTTGGGAGGCTGAGATAGGTGGATCACCTGAGGTCAGGAGTTCGAGACCAGCCTGACCAACATAGTGAAACCCTGTCTCTATTAAAAATACAAAATTAGCTGGGCATGGTGGCAGGCACCTGTAATCCCATCTACTCGGGAGGCTGAGGCAGAAGAATCACTTGAACCAGGGAGGCGGAGGTTACAGTGAGCTGAGATCACACCATTGCACTCCAGCCTGGGCAACAAGAGCGAAACTCTGTCTCAAAAAGAAAAAAAAATGTTTGTTGAGTGAATGAATGAATGAATGATTGTGAGTCCTAACCATAACCCCTACTCTCAGGGTACTTTAGGTTATAAGAGAGTCAAGGAAAGGAACTTTCTTGCTTACGACTGAGAATCACTTATGGGGAAACCACAGGTTAGCAGTGTGAATTTCTGTATGTGTGAGTACATGATCGTGATTGCTGACATTTATTTATAGTGTGTATGATAGCTGAACATTGTTAGGAGTACTTTAGGTTGATTTAATCTTAGCCTACTCCTATGGGGTAAGAATGATAATTTTCCCCATTTTGCAGATGAGGAAATGGAGGCCCAGGATGGTTAAATATTTTGCTCAAGGCCATCCAGATAGTAAATGTGGATGGAGTCAGGACTTGAACCCAAGTGGGACAGCTCTAGAGCCGATGCTCTCAATTCCCCACCCTGTGATTTCCCATGCCTGTGTGTGTGTGCGCGCACATGTGCTTGTGCATATAGATGTGTGGGCAGATGGGCATGCCCGTGCGTGTCTTGTGGCAAATGTATCCTGGGAAACTCCTATTATGATGGGCAGTCTCTGGCCCTGGACAGGCTCTAGAGCTTGGGGTGGCAGAAAGAAGCAAGCTATTGCTTTAGGTCCAAGTGACAGAAACAGGTAGTCTAGAAGGATGTGCTGTCATAAAAACCATAAATAAAAACCACTGTGTTTTGAGAAACCATTTGCTTGTCTCTGGGTGGACCTGATGATGTGTGGGCTGGTGGGGTGGTGACAACTGCAGGTCTGAGAGGTTGTGGACACCAAACTCAGCATGGCATATTTATTTACTGGCTAGTTTTAACATTTTTCATTACATATATCTCCAGGGACCCCAATGACATATTGAGAGGCACAGGGTCTTCTGCCATTCTTCAGGCTCTTGATACTGTTTGTTTTTTCCCCAGCTGTGGGCAGAATGATTCTTAGGAAACTGATGAATGGTGTTTGGTCAGGGGAAAAGAGCCCATGTGTTTTTGTGGGTGCATCTGTTAGGTGCAGAACTGTGTTACACTCAGGCACTCTTCCATGTGTGCCTGGCTCTACATACTCCTTACTCAGAAAGAAAGAAGCTTCCTTGATGCAGATTGTCATTTTTTCATTCAACCAACACTCCTCAAGATGCTACTCTGTGCCAAGCCTTGTATAGGCCTTAGGAATAAAATGGAGCACGAGACCCAGGCCTGGAGGAGCTGACAGTCTAGTGGGAGAGTCAGATCAGGAAACCATGACAGCCCAGGATGGAGAGGGCCCTACCTGCGGAGCATGCAGAGAGCACCTCATGGAGCAATTCCTAATGCAGCCTGGGGCAGGTGCAAGCAGGGAAAGCTTCTTGGAGGTGCTAAGTGGGATGAGTTTTGAAGGGTGAACTTAAGATAACCAGGGAAACAAAGTGAAGGGATGCTTTCATGAGTTGTAGGTAGTATAAAAGCCTGGCCTGAAGAGAGGGTCCAGGGTGCTCAGAAAATACTAAGTAGTTTGGTTTGGATGGGGAGGCATGTGTTTGTGCTTGTTGGTGTCAGTGTGTGTGTGTGCATTTGTTTATCAGGGGAGGTAGTAACTGAAGAGTTGCATTGGCAATTTCTATTTACATGTTTTCTGTGAAACACTTCTATGAAGTACAATGCATAAGGAACATTTAGTCATTCACATTTTAGTGTGAATAAATTGACCTTTTTTTTTCTTGAAGAACATCGAACCCTTGAATGAGAATAGATGCTGAATGATGATACAGGCTACCCTGTTCAAAATTAGTCATATTCCCTACTCTGTCACATTCTCTGCAACTCTCAAAACCCTCCTGGAACCTGTTGCTGTTTTCAGCCTGTATCCCCTCTGAAGCATGGCAGTCTTGTTGTCTGCCCTGCATTGTAGAAAGCTGAGGAACCTAACATTTGTCCCACACTCACCTCTGGTTAACCCTGTTGGGAGGAAGGGACCCTCCTGATACAGAGGCATGGCTTGGGCAGGCGCCACAGGTCTGAGAGAGTGAAGGGAGGCCTGGGCAGGCTGCCGGCCAGACCACCTGGCCCAGTCCCTGCTTACTGTCCCTGTGCCCAGACCTTGCCTTGCTCCCAGCTGTGGTATCTTCTCTTTGACAGATGAAAGTAATAGACCACCCCCTTCAGAGGGGGCTCCAGTAACTTAAACCATGTGGGCTCCACGGGGTAGGGTGGGATGCAAAACACACTTTTGCAGGGAGAAGGGAAGGCGTGAGGAAGAGCCATTGTCTCAGTTTTGTGTGTCCTGCCTGGAGAGGGCCTCAGGGTGGATGTTTAATGGGCTTGCCAGCTGGGCGATGGAGCCCCAGGCCTCCTGACTCACTGGCCACTTGATTGGCTGAGTGCCTGGTAGACCTAGCTTCTGGACAATCGTGGTGCATGGGCTGCAGGCACATCTCCAGAATGGGAACTTTGGGGTATACAGTCCCTTGGAAGTAGCTGAAATAAAACCTCTCCAAAGTGGTGCCATCTCTGTCAGGACCTGATGGTTTGAACTCCTGGGATGGTGGGCTTCTCTTTCAGAGCTGAGCTGACCTTCCGAGGGATCTGGGGCTGAGGCCAGGTCCTGAGCTGCTGAGGGCAAGGCCCTGAGGATAAGAACTGGGGACAGACAGCATGTTCTAAGCCAGGCTGGGTGGCCACTTGCTGGGACACAGTGGAGGATTCACTGTCAGGTAGGACTGTTGCAACAGATTATGTTAAGAAACTGTACTTGGGTTCCTATACCTTATGAGATAGCTGCACATACGTTGTCTCTTTTGACCTTACAACAAGCCTAGGTCCTATATTGAGGATTAAGTTATTTAAAAAGGGAACTTGCCCAGGGTCACAATGAGGAACGGGTAAAGGCAGGTTTTGAATCAAGGCCTAAGCCCATTTTCACTCTTTACAGTACATCTTTGCTTCTAAGGGTCAGCTCCAGGTTGCTGGAGTTCAAAGCCCAGCTGGGCCACTTTTATGTATGGTGAACTTGGGCAGGTTACTTAACTTCTCTGTGTCTCAGTTTTCTCATCTATCATTGTTAACGATAGAACTGCCTGTTAGGATTTTAGGGAGGATCTAATGAAGTAATTCAATGTGAGACCCTGAGCAAGGACCAGGCGCATTGCAATTGCTCACCAAGTAATAGCTGCCAAGGCCGTCAGTAGAATTGCTGGGGTTGTGCTGGATTGTAGATGAGCATGTTGGTGTGGATGTGATCTCAGTACCCCATCACCTGGACTAAAGGGTGTGATGAGCTTTGGCTCTTTGGCCTCCTGAGGGTCCCCTTCTCTTCAAGTCCCAAAAGATGACTTAGACACTGGGCTCCATAGCCACTTTCACACAGTCACTCTCCCATGGGGAACAGGGGAACAATGAAGGAAAAACACTGCATAATCCATTCATGGCTGGGAGCTGGCTGTGGCTGTTCAGGGCCCTGTCAGACCATGCTGGCCTGGAGCTGTCAAATCATTAAGGAAGGTTATTTTGAAGAGGTGGACTTAGTAAAGTTCATGCAAATGGAATGTTTTCTGTAATGAGGAAGCATGGTCTGAGACTACAGTGGTCTGAGAATAGCTGGCCATACATCCGAGGTGCCAGGCCAGTCTTGGTTATGTGTGATGTCTCAAAGTAATTATTAGCAGTGCCCTTTTCATTGTTAAACGTGCCCTGGTTCAGATGATAAATTATACGTCAACCCTAATTTGAGTTGCAAGCAAGGCTTTATCCACTGAGCTGGCTACCTCGCTGAGTGTAAAGGTGTGCTGGGAAAGCCCCTTTCTTCCCTGGTAAAGCCTGTCACTACAGGGCTACCAGGATCCAGATGGTGGGGCCTGTATGGGAGACATCCAGGAATAGCCACAGCACTTGGAACCCAGGCAGCAAAACTCCTGACTCTGCAGAGTGGGGGTGGGGGTGGGTGGAGGAGCCAGGAAGACGGCCTTGAGTGCAGTCCAGCTGGCAGCATGGAGGCCTGGGCCCACAGCCAGAGACCCACACTGCTTTGTCACCTGGGTAGGAGTTGGGGAGATTTTAGTTCAAAGACATATGAGATATTGGTCTGGCTTAACTTTTTCATTTTCCTGATAATAATGACAATGGTAATCATGACTACCTTTAATTAAGCCCCAACTAAGTGCCAGGTGTGTGTGTGTGTGTTTGTGTGTGTGTGTGTGTGTGTGTGTGTATTATGCACAAATATATATGTATATATAATTTAATTAAGCCCCAACTAAGTGCCAGGTGTGTGTGTATTATGCACATATATATGTGTATATATATTTGTGTGTAATACTTATATATTATATATAATCATATATACACACACTATAGATATAGTGTGTATGTATAACATATTTATACATATGTAACATATACACACACTTCTTAAAGTAGTCCAGAGATGTTGGGTGAGACAGAAAGAAGAAAAGGAACACTCTTCATATCACCCCACTAGTAAGTGGCAGAACCAGGATTTGGACCCAGGATCCAGTATGCCACTTGCACAGCCCTGCAGCCCAGGTTGGGCTTGGAAGATAAAGAGGCAGGGGAGGATGGGCTTGCTGGGGACCTTTCTGTTCCTGTTTGTCCCTTGCCCTCCCTGGGCCATGTCTGCCAGGGAAAGGCCATGCTCGAGGCCACATGAGGAGTTGCTGAGCTGTCTTTCATCCGGTCCCGCAGTTATTTGTTCAGCATGCAGTGCAAATTTCCCTGTCTCGAGACATGGAATCTGGTAAAGCTTTGCCTGGATCAATGTCCAACCCCTTTCAAGTTCTGGAGAAAGTTACTCCTCTCTAAAGTTCAGACCTGCCAGACTCAATAACTCCACAAAAATGCTTGGATGAAAATTGCTCCAAGCAATCCCAGTGGAAAGCCAGCACCTCACCCCTCGTTTAAAGTTATGATCCTTATCATAATTAATTCAATAAAGAAGTAATGTGCTTCAACCTAGGCAGAGAGAATAATTTTCTGTCCTGACTGGTATAAACTTTCAACTCGGGACATTTAAACTCTGGGTCTGAGCTCTTGCAGCAAGTAATAAATTGCAGACCCCGGCAGGGCTGCAGAACCCTGATTTAAACTGCGGTAAATAGGCCGCTATTGAAGAGAGGAAGATTTGGATTCGGGTGGGCAACTCCAATAAATAGCAGAGCATTGTTTATAAACCCTGCAGTCCCGGCTGGCCTCCGCCTTGAGACAGGCAGTAGCGTTTGCTGTTGAAAGCACCAGAGCGTTTGATCCTCACACTCAGAGGACCCACCTTGAGTCTTGAATTTAAAATCTGTTTCCTTCTATAATTGAAAGGTAGGATTAGCCTGACTTCTAAACAGACTAACACATTCTCAAGTGGAGATACTGACTTGGACCAAGCCAACTCAGCCCAGAGTTGCCTTTCCTACTCTTTCTCTGGAGGTTGCAGTGATAAAAGTTCATTCTGGATTTGTTTTGAACACGTTCAGAGTAACGAAGCCCCTGTATTGTCCCAGAAGTCCATCAGGTTTGCAGAAATTACAAGTTTAGCAATCAAAGTCTTTGGAAACAAGTTATAATAGAAGGAAAGTCAGTTTCAATCAAAACAACTTTCAGATTGCATATTATAGGAAAAGATAAATTCAACATCCATTGTTTTGTGAAAATAATTCAATGATGAGGGAGGCAGGGTTCTTTAAAGTGGTTAAATTTGGGAACATCAAGGCGGTTGTCAGACTCGTATTCTTTTGTTCCTGGCTTAAGATTTTGGATACCTCCTTTTTGAACTGACAGCAAGCATGCATTCCAAAACTCAAGAGGACCTTTCTCTTCAATTTTATGGGGTTGAAAACAATTGTATTATCGGCCCACGTTCTGCTCTGTGGCCTCAAGCTCATGCAGAGATGCACTGTGACAAGGCTTACTGCAGTGTTAGCTATTCCAAACCACGCCGGGCTTGCGTAGCGCTATATCCAAGACAAATAGCTGGTTCTGGAGAAGTGATTGAGAATATTCATGGATGTTATTCATCAAAACACACAACATACACATACTAGGCAGCCTAGACCCTTTTGGTATCATAAAAAATGTGAAGCGCTGCCCCAGGGGAGGGAGGAGGAGCAGTCCTTTGAAACTTAGATGGGGAGAAGAATGTAGGAGAGAGGATGGGGCAGCTAATCAACTATTTCAGGTCCAGGTACACCCCTTACATCCTTTTTGGAGCATAGACAAATATACATAAATATGTGGATAAATAAAATAATTGTGTGCCACATATATCAATCATTTTCTGTGGGTTTGTAAAGAAAATATCTAATATTCTGTTTGTGCCTTGCCTATATTTGTGTCATCCATTCGAGGCACCGAGTATAAAATAGAAAATGGAAGCTGATGTTACTTTAGCTCTTGACATGGTCAAATATTTCTATTGATGGTGACTCTGGGTCTTTTCTTTCTAGTCATTTTTTTTTAAGTGAGAAAAACATCCACTTTGTAATTTATAATGCTGGATAACCAATTTTAAAAAAGAAAGAAAAACTCAACAAAAAATAAATACTCAAGGCTGTTGTTTGTCACTGGATTTTGTTTCTAAGCATCCCACTTAGACTGCTCCTGACCCTTTCTTGGTACAGTCCGTCTGGAAGGGCTGGTTTCCCTGGGTCCCTAAATGGGTCGGATGTCAGTGGTGAACAGTCCGTCTGGGGTGAGAGGCGGAAGGGCTGGTTTCCCTGGGTCCCTAAATGGGTCGGATGTCAGTGGTGTCTGTGGGGTCTGCTTCCTTGACATTGTCTCCCAAATGAGAAGTGACCATTAAGACTTCCGGGGGCTTAATCTTTCAGACCTAGATCAGCCCTGCTCAGCAATTTCAAACAAACCCAACAATGTGGCTGAAACTGGCACAAGATAGGGTACCCTGGGATGAAAGCGCGTGTTAGAGCAGCAACTGAAATCCAGAAAGCTAGAGCTGTGTAGCTTTCATGACACAAGCATTTGAGCCAGCATGTTTGACCAACGCTCACAACCCCCGCTTGCGCCCCCTTCCACCCTCCAATCCCTCTTGGATTGATTAAATTGGCTCAAGATGACACCAATAATTGGCTCAAGATGGGGCTTCGACAGGCCCAATGATCCATATCTTCACATTCCCTAAAATCAGTCCTTTCAGCTCTGTGTTGGATTTAGGATGGTTTACATTGGCTCCGTCACAAACATTTTAATAAAGTCCCAGAGAAACCGCAAACGGGTGACATCATTGGATGGTGTTAAAAAAAAAAAAAAAAGAGTCCCATTTTGTAAGAGAGAGGCTGGGCCTCCAGAGTGTGATCAGGGTCTGCCTTCCCCATTTGGTCATTCAGTAATCATCCTCTGTAATTAGGACCATAATATTTAAAATGGGGTGCGGCAGGGGGTTGCCGGCAAAGGACATTAGCTATTAAGTAAAAAACAAATATGAATATTTTGACATAAAGTAGCCAAGAAGATGAAGGACTCTAGGGTGGGTTTGCCGCCCCAGGGCTGAAGGGCTGGCTGCCTGGACTTGGGTGGAGGCATGTGGAGCATTAATGTAAGGACAGCCCCTTGTCCCCTGTCCCAGGACACAGAGACAGGACAGTGGGGCTTTGGAGCTGAGGATCCAAGCTGGAGAGGGGAGCCACTCAGAGCCTGGGGATTCCCATTAAGAGGGTTTCTTGCTGAGGGGTAGCCTAGAGGGAATTTTCATTTTCTTCCCTATAGTATTCTGTTCACTTACCTGGAACTTTTTCTAAGAGTTTATATTAGTTTTACAATTAAAAAAAAAAAAAAAACACAAGTAAGCTTTTTCAAAAATTAGTATAGCTATTTTGATTATGTCCAATGATTGTAATTATATATTAGACTGAAAATATCTGGAAAAATACAATATTAATCTTAATGGTAGCTCTCACTGGGTGGTAGGACTAGGGAAGATTTTTGTCTTCTATTCTTCTGTGAATTATTTTTGTAATAGATAAAAAATTTCAAAGGAAAGGGAAACATTGAAACCTCAAGAAAACAAATTGAGCTCATTTAGACATAGATTAACCTATGTGTATAGTGTCCTCCCTCTTCCTGCAAAAAAAAAATGAGAGTTGCTGTTTTAATTTTAGTATTATATTGTATTTTTAAAATGCATTTCAGGCAGAGGTGGGAGGATCACTTGAGCCCAGAAGTTTGAGACTAGCCTGGGCAACATAGCAAGACCCTGTCTCAAAAAAATGCATTTCACTCGCATGATTATGAACTTACAAGAAGCAAGATGTTTTCAAATGGCAGAATCCAGCTTCCCAGTTGAGGAAGGGACAGATATTGCATTCCCTGCGAGTCGGGCCTTGCTGTCTGAGGTGAGTTGGTGTGCTGGTGGGTCCCCCCTACTGTTGTTGCTCCCTCAGAAGGGGCTGGCACATTTGATGTGTATCCCCTTGTCAGGCAGCAGGGCTGAAGTCATGTCGAAGATTTCCCAGAATAATCTATCCATATGGCCATTACAATTAATTGACTTTCCTGTGACTGAGGGTCAATCTGATGCCAGAATATACCTTGATCACTTTTTTCTAGTGAGAGATTTCTAGACTGTTTTGTTTTATTTATCTTATAAACATATCTCTGTGTTTTATGGTTCACACTGAAAGAGGAACCTGGGGACCTTACAGACCATGTAAAAAAGGGGAAGATTAAAACATAGACTATATGGGGTGGGTGTGTGTGTGTGTGTTTGTGTGTGACTGTTTTTTTTTTTTTTTTTTTTTTAAGCGATGCATGTTTTAAAGACTGGATCTGGCCATGACTAAAGGCTCATTGCTAATGCTGGGCCTTATTTCACTGACTGGAGTTCAGGCATATGGAAAATACCTGTTAGTTCAACTAAATACACCTAATATGAAAAATGGACTCTGTTCCTTGTGCTAAACAAATGCATTAACAAATTTGCATAATGTAAACTCATCCCTTTAATGACTGTTTGGCCCCAAAATATTGCTGGGGTTATTCTTTCCTCCTCTCCTCTCAGCCTAATTTTTTCTCACAGAGAAAGTGGGAAGGAGAATACTCTGGAATGAGACAGATGTGAGATCAAATCTCTTTTTTGTTTCTTGCTGTGTGATTACGGGCAGGTTGCCTAACCTCTCTGAGACCACAGTTTCTTTTGTGTGTAAAATGGAAATTGTATCCCTTTCTAAGGGTGATTTAAGAATTGTATGATATGGCCGGGTGCAGTGGCTCATGCCTGTAATCCCAGCACTTTGGAAGGCCGAGGTGGGTGGATCATGAGGTCAGGAGTTCAAGACCAGCCTGGCCAACTTGGTGAAACCCTGTCTCTACTAAAAATACAAAAAAAAGAAAAAAAAAATTAGCCAGGTGTGGCGGTGGGCACCTGTAATCCCAGCTACTTGGGAGGCTGAGGCAGAGAATTGCTTGAACCTGGGAGATGGAGGTTGCAGTGAGCTGAGATCGTGCCACTGCACTCCAGCCTGGGTGATAGAGCAAGACTGTGTCTCAAACAAACAAACAAAGAATTGTATGATATGATGGATATAAAGCACCCAGCTCAGACTTGTTTTGGCCACACTGACAGAGGAAGGTGAAGCTTTGAGGCATAAGAGAAGAGCCCCAGAATGAAGAAAGAAGGAGAATATGGCTTTATTCACAGCTGACTCACTTTGGGAGAGTCACGGCTTCTCTCTGGAACTCAGTTTCCCACTTAGAACATGGGGAAGGTAGAAGTGTGTGGAGTGTGTAGAGTGGTCAAGAGCCTGGATCAGGGGCTTAAATCCTGGCTGCCTTACCTTGGGCCACTTCACCGTGCTGTGAATTTCCTTCTCTGTCAAATAGAGGCCTTGTGCAAATTGTTTGAAAGCCTTTGCAGCAATGCTTCGAGTGTGGTGTTGTTTGAGTATCAGTGTTTGCCATTATTCTTATAACAAGGTTCTCTTTGGTCCCTTCTGGCTCTGTTTTTATTTATTTTTTTATTTCTACTTCCTCTGCCCTCAAATTTTCAAGGACAGGCTGATTTTTATTTTATTCTTCAACATTAAGGTAACTGCAAACATATTGTTGAAGGAAAATAAAAGGTACTTCTCAGGCTTTCGTCTGCAATAACTTAAAGAAAAGGACCCAGAAAAAAAAAAAAACCCAAGGACCCAGCACTGTCTTGATTCTGTACAAATGTTCACCTCCTTCAAAGAGGCAAGAAGGCAAGTCCTGCCAGATCTGATTGTGCAGACCCAAAGGATCTGATCGCCCGTCACTAAGGCTACTAATCAAATTTCCATCCAATATGCTCACGCAGGATTTCCTGATCAAACACTTAAGCCTGCCCCTCTGCACCCCCATTAGCTAACATGTTTTATATGCAGAGGGGTCATCAAAAGTGTAATTGCCTTAAAGAAACTTAATCCCGCATTCTTGTCAACTCAAAGATAACTAATAATGCTTGCTAGCTGATATTTTTCCAACATCAAGAGTGTACCAGAAATTAGGATCTTGTTCTTAATCTTCCTCACAGCAGATGTTGAAACCTAGGTGTACTGATATCTCTCACGGGCCAGGTAAAAGGATGAATTTTCTCTAAAATTAGCTGGCTTTTCTGGGACAATATGCTGCTGCCACGTAATGCTAGAAGACTGGAATAGGCTGTGGAGATCCAAGCCCAATGGTTTTTCCTAGTCAGTGTAACATTATTTTGGCTTCCAAGTTCAAAGTTTACCTGTGAATGCTTCTGAGGATATGGCATCCATTTTACATTTGAATACATTTAATCAGCTAACATTATGGAGTGTCTGCAAAAGAAGTTTGCTAGATGCCCGCCCGAAAAGAAAGCAAAGTGAAAGTACAGCACAAGAAAGGGATTATGTGAGTGTTGATTTTAATGTCAGTTATTGTATTTAATAAGGGTAATTAAAAACATTACATGCTTGATATTGGTTTATTATGTGGATATATTCTAAACATAGCATGTGCCTAACAATTCATTATTTTGCCATGCTTCACAGCTTCTAATATGTCCATTTGGTCAGTGTTTCAGGGAATTTTTTTTTCAAAAATTGAGATTTTTTAAAGCTCTTATTTCTAAAGGTGTTTCTCATATTTGAAGTAAGTTTTCTGTTTCCATTTTCAAATAATCACTATGTGATTATTTTATAATCATGTAGTATTCCCTTTAAGGGGAAAAACTTCCCATATCCATGTGCATACATGTACATGTGCCTGCCTGCACATGTGTGCTCGCGCATACACATACCTGCACGGACACATCAACAATGCCTCACTGGGATTTGTGGTTTGAATGAGAAATGGTCCCAGTCAGGCTGGGACAAGTAGGTCAGGAAATTTAACCTGACTTTCCCAACCCCAGTCATCACTGGCAGGGTCTGAAAAGGCCAGGTTTGTCAGGACTCAAGGATCCTTGGTGTCTGAGTGGCAAAACTGATTTGAGGTCCTGTCTGTCCTGTCCTAACATTTGCCCTAGACTCCTCCAAGTGGCACTAACTAACCCAGGCTTTTGTGCACAGTGCCTCCACTTGTGTGATTACCCCTGACTCCACTCCTGGATGAGGTCAGGGGTCATCTGCACAGACTTGTTCCACTACTTCGGCAGGACAAAGAAAATGTGTTCCTTGTGTTTACAGGGGGAGAACAGAGCCTGCCACGAGGGCCTGGAGAGGCCCGTGTAAAACAGGCCCATATGACAAAAAGGTGAATGAATGGTATAAGTTGCAGCCATTTATGGCAGTCTAGGTATATGCCTGTGAGGGAAGTAGGATTCTCCCTTCTTTACAGATGAGAGATTAGGTGGCCTGTCAACATCATAAGGTTCTTCAGCACCACTGCCCCCACCCAGGATTAAAAACCCAGCCCCATCCATCTCCAAAGCCCGTGTTCTGTCCACTGTTCCCTCCACCCTGCCCTCCTAGGGAAACACCATGCACTAGAACCCTTATGCAAGAAGCCCATGCACACACAGTCACACATGGTACATGCTGCTTCCTACAGCTACAATGACTGCATGGTCTGAAGTTGTGCAAACAGGAAAGGGAAACATCTATGAGAAAAAAGCACATTCCTCTTCTGTCCTGTATACCTCTGCATGGGACACTCTGTGAGGAAGTCCTCAGACATCATGGTATCAATTGCCCTGGGTGGCATGGTGGGGGTGGCTCAGGAAGAAGCTGTCCAAATTCCCATCACCATCTGCCTCCCAAACTACCCTAGGTACAGTCTAATTAAGTAAACAAATTAAACAATCAATAAACAACTACAGTCTCAGTAAATTCAGTGTCCTTGCTGAGCAACTGTAGCTCCAAGACAAATCTCCTAGCTACCTCCCTGTCTTTGTAATAGATTTCTGCCCCGATCCTCCTCTATGTAAATGTTGAAGCAGTGTCTAGATAGGCCATTTCAACGATCTGTTTTATTAATACATTTACTCTGTATTCTGTCAGGCCCTGATGTAGGACCTGGACACAGAGGTGAACAAGACGTGGTCCTAGACCCTAAAGGCTTTTGAGGGAGGTTAAACTGATTAGGCCTACCTGCAGGTTGAAAGGTGGTCAAGATGCTCTCTGCAATTGAATTTTCAGCAAAGGCATGAGCGTGCACTGACCTACCATGGGAAAGCAACTCTTAGCTTGTTTTCATTATAGAAGGGTATCTCTTTATTTATTCCTCGACTTAATCAGGCCTTTGAATTGGCTCATCTCAGGCTGGGTGGGACAGAGGGAGAGAAGCAGTTCATTTCAGGTCAGTTTGGGCTGCTTGTAGAAAATGGGTTGTTACTTGATTGCACTGGATGATCCATGTCTGATTTGAGAAATTACTCAGCAATCTGATATTTTGCTAGTTTGAAAAAAATGTTTCCTACCAGCTGAATGCAAATCACATTTTATATGTTAATGAGTCATAAACTCAGAGAATATCCATGCTTGAAGAGTCCCTAAAGGTTATGGAGGCCAGCCTCCCCATTTGACAGATAGGGATACCAAGGCTCAGAGGGTAAAGGACTTGTCCAGAATTGAGGTAAAAATCACCAGGCAGCAAATTATGAGTGTTTCTATTACTGGGGCATTTTCCAACAAGTTTATTGCCACAGAGAGAATGGTCTCAGTTACCCTGGGCAGCCACAGAACTTGACACAACTCAGGAAGTAGTTTTAATGTCAAGAGTTTCACATATTTTCCAACTTTGTTTTACCAAAACGCATCTGCTGTTCAGAAACATCCCCCGACTTCTAGGAGAAACATCTCAAAAGGACAATGAGAATATTTTCTATTTTTATAATGATGTCGGATCTTTTACCTTTGGGAGATTTGTATTTAAACCAACCCAGCTTGCCAACTTCCCTTAAAGAAGAAGTCATTAAATTTCCAATCGGAAATTTGAGCATAAATGAGATATTTCAAATGAAAACAGCAAGGAATTTGCAAAGGCATCTGATCCTGCATCATACTCCCAAATCTTCTTTAAATTAGTTCTATGTCAAAAGGCTACATGGAAAGACTTTTTCTTTTGTCTGATAAAGGAAAAATTGGAACAATATCACTTCAGTTTAGTATCCAGGCTATCATTTGGTTTCATTCCAAGGAGAGGTTTTTTTTTTTGTTTTTTTTTTTTTAACTTTGGTCTGTAACTGCACATGTATATAAGTTTAATCAGTTTCTCCCATAACTTTATTGCCATTTAAGCTATTCTCTACTTACTGACCTTCTTTCAAATTAGATGGGTGGATCTTGTCTATGATACGGCATTTAGCTCCATTAGAAGAAAAATATCTTAGCTGAATGTATGTAACATTGCTTTGCTAGAAGAAAATAAAATTCTTCTGAAAAGGCAGCTGGAGAGCAAGATGAGTTCACTGCTCCACTGCCTCCTGGGGCTGTTCCTTATCAAAGCATGTGATTCCATATCAAAAAAACGTGACCATGGAGAAACACTTAAAGACCCACGACTCCACTAGAATCTACTCCAGTTTCACCCATTGCTTCCTTCTGAGATCTCAGGGACCAAGATAGTTCTTTACCAAGCCTTACAGCCTGAATGTGTTCTCAAAGGAAGTCCCCCCAGAGTCACTCTGGCCCTACTAGCCTAATGCCATCTCTTATCCAAGATCAGCTTGACCCCTGGTCCATCCAGTGATATGTGTCTCTCCCTCAAGTCGGGGGGGCAAAGGTCTTAGTGTCACAGGCTTCCTGGGAACCAAGGCAGTCCAGGTTGCAGCCAAGTTCTTGGGCCATGTCAAAAACTTACTTCCTGAGTCTGGGCTTCATTACTTTCTCTACTTGTTCCATCAGCAAACATTTACAAGCACCTAGTCAGTGCCAGATCCATGTGAGGCACCCAGCCATGGGCTCTCATGGTTTGTTGGCAAACTCAAACATGGAGGAGATGCTCACAGAAATGAGGGCATTTCTACATTCTTTAATTCCAGGAATTGCCCAGTGTCCTTTCTGGGGCCAGAAAGCCTTGCTCTTCCCATCACATCTGCCTCAGAATCTCAGAACACCGTGTTTGGGATTTCTGAACTAGTCGAAAAGTAATGAGAGACTATTTCAGACACTAAGGACCCAAAGTTGTTAGCTAATTATAGGTACATTTTCTCAGAAAATCCTCCCTAACAAAAAGAGTCTTAGTGGGAAGTGGGATCGGGGTGGGGCCCAATCCAGACCTTTATGTTTTTTTCCTGTCAGGGTATCCATGATTCTGCTTCTTTTTCCCTATCTCCCTTCTTTCCTTCCTTCCTACCTCACTTGCCTCTCTCTTTTCTCTCCCTTCCCCTCTTTTTCTTCCTCTTTCTTTCTTTTTCGTTTCTCTCCTTTTTCTTTCTTTTCTCTATTGTACTTCAGAAACAGAACAATCACCCCTGGAAGAGATATACATAAACTGTTTTTCCAGAATAACTTTAAGCTTTCTTTCCAAACAGTATGAACCCGGGGAAACCGTGGCACCTTGGATCTGGCTCCCAGCATCCTGCCTAGTCCTTTCGGGACTCTCCCTTCTGCCCACATTGCCCTTCTTCCTCCTCTTCCTCCAGCCTGCTCTGTGGCAGCTCCGTCTTCTCTCCTCCCCCTGTGCCAGCTCCCTTCTGTCTCTAACCCACTCCCTTGGAAAACCTCACTTTCGTCAAGACTTTGGGAACTTTTCTGCCTTCCTCCCAGAGGCATTTGGGTTTTAAATAAAAACCAGGGAGGCAGTGTTCAGGCAAGCTCCTGGTATTTATTTTGGAGCTCTATGTGGGGATGAAACGGAATCTCTAGATTGCCTCTCCGCCTTCAGTCCCAGGAATGAGGGGACTATTTTCTTGGTACCTTACATTATGGGGGGCATTGCCTTCCCTCCTAAACTCTAGACAGTGGACTCCCTGAGGGCAGTGACTGTGGTGTTCCTAGTTGTGTCCCAGCACCCAGCGCTGAGTGTGTGCTCCGAGAGGGCTCACTGAGAGGAAGAACGGATTTGTATGCAGCGTCAGCCTCCTCTCCGGGACTCACAGGCACCCACAGGAGGTTATGCCACAGCTGTTTCCTACTCCTCTCCTCTCCTCTCCCACTTTCTGTTTTTCTTCACTTTGCTTTTCCAGTGACTAGTAAGCCAGTGAATGAGATCCTTATGATTTTTAATTTTGGGAATTCTGAAAAATTTTTCCGTAGCGTAATTCATTTTCCAATGTGGTTCATGTATATTTGGGGAAAATGGGTATCGTTAAGTTTGTTAAGCATTAAGTTCTATTTATAGCTATTAGAGCATGATTGTTAATCAAGTATACCCCTACTTATTTTTTTCTACTTGATTTGTTGATTTCTGAGTGAGAAATGTTAAAGTCTCCCATTTTGATCATAGCTTTGTCAATTTCTCCTTTTGGTTTCTGTTTTTGCTTTATGTATTGTTAAGCTGTGTTTTAGGTATATAAAGATTAATGATTTTATATCTCCTAGATGTTCATTTATCAGTAGTAAGCAAATGGGTTTGTCTCTTGAATTTTTTTTCCTTCTTGGTCAAGCCTTCTCTGTGTTCTGACGTTAATACTTTTGTATCTTTTTCTTTATCATTTGCCTTATTTGTATTTTTTCCTTGAGAAGTGTTTTTTTTTTTTTTAAATAGAAGAGTGCACAGATGTAACGAGCACAGATTCACACAACCGAGGACTGATTACTGTTGATCTTTTTCTCCCTCTTTCTCTTTTTATAAGAAACAAACAATCACAGATAGAGCTACAGTTCTCTTAACCAACACTCCTTGTCTCCCCCAGACTTTCCTGAAGCATCCACTCTCATGAGTTTGGTGGGTGCCCTTCCTATCTATTAATCATGCTTTTACATACATGCATGCTGTTTCTAAATAGTACACATTAGGATTTTTGTGGTTTTAAATTTATGTAGATGATGTCATACACTATGTAGCATTGTGCACATTTCATTTTAAACTTACTCTATTTAAAAAAAAAATCCAACCCTGTTGCTGTATGTAGATCTTGTTCTTTTTAACTGATCTAACTATGTAGAATTCTATCATAAAATTACACATTACATTTTATGTGTGTATTTAGTTGCTGATATACATTTGTGCAGTTTCTTATTTGCAGTCTTACAAACAATGCTGCAGAGTACATCCTTGTACAAGTCTAAGTATTTCTATATGTTTCTCCAGACTGGCTGACTGTTCCACATCCCTGATAGCATGTGGGAGCATTTCTCTCCGGTGTATATTAGTAAGTGGAGTCTCTGAATTGTGGAATATGGATATAGGCAGTTTTAGTGGATTCTGTCTAGTGTGGGGTACGCTTACACCCCACTCTTTAGCAACACAACAGTACCCCTCTCTACTTCCTTGCCTTGAGATCATCAATACTTTAAAATATTTGCCCACCTGACTGGCAAAAAACAAGATTTATTGTGTGTTGTTTTGATTTGCATTTCCATGGAACTGAGAGTGTTTATTGGCCTCGAAACTTTTCTCCTTTGGAGCAGGGTATGTTTGTGTGGGGAGAGTATCATTTTCCCATTGCTTGCATGGCTTTCTATTTTTTTTAACCTAATCTGAGACTCCTTGGCTTTTATAAGATTTTAATTTATTAAACTATTTTACTTTCTGAAATATTTAAGCTCATTTCTGCCACCTTATTTTAAGCTTTTGTTTACATTATTTTCTTATTGCCATTTTTGTGTTTTCCTTTCCTACTCTTTGTTATGTTGATAAAATTTACTTATTTCCATTTATATTCTGTGGTTGCCTATAAATCTTTATTGTCAATATTTAAAGATATTATTCCATTCATGTTTATAATTAGCAACATATTTCTTTTGGATTTATTTGTCCATTCTCAGTCCATTATTTAGAGGTTTGTAGATGGAAAGAATTCTGAATTCTCAAATGTCTGAAAATGGCATTAGTCGCTTTCACATCTAAATGAGTGTTTGGCTGGGTATAGAACTTTATATTTAAGACCTATTTGAATTATTTTTAACCCTCAATAAATAACATTATCCTTGATAAACAATCCTTAATAAATAACATTAGCATTATTTCCCCATTGTTTTCTTGCATTTAATGTCGCTTGTAAGAAGTCTCCTGTTAACATCATTCTTATTCCTCTATATTTTATCTGTTTTTTTTCTCCTCTCTGGGAGCATCTATGATTAAAGAGAATTCTTATTAAGACTGTGAAATGTAAATACTTTACAATTTATTTTTTATTATTGTGTTCATTGATAATCATTTTCAGTTAACTTTGTACTTGGTTTGGGAAACTTTAGGGTCTTCAACTTTGAGCAATTGTCTTCTTCTATTTCTTTGAACTTGTGGTGCAGAGTTGAGTTTATCATTCACCTCAATTCAACGCCTACTCACCATTGGTCTGCGCGTAACTTTTCTCATCTGATGTTACCAGTTTTTGCCTCTCATATCATTAATCTACACTTCCATCCCTCCTTCCCCCTCCCCACCCCGCAGTAGTACCCTTGCTAGCGGCTTTGGTATATATCCTTGCTCTCTATGGTATTTTTGTTTATGTACCTATTTTCTTTTTCCCTTTTAGACCTCAGGTGCAGGGCGTTGAGTTTACCAAGTTCCCCAGTTCATGATCATTGCCCTTATTTGTCTATTCAGGGCCCTTCTCTTGTTTTATTTATTCTGTTTTGTTTCCTCAGCTCCTCCAATGCCTTTACTTCCCATCCCTAAACATTTCTATATGTTCTTATAAAATATATAGAGTTGTTTATCTGTGAAGATATTTTCCATTTACACACGTGGCATTTTACTGCAGAACTTGTTTCTTAGGCTTTTCACTGAGCACTGGTTTTCGAAGACCCACCCATGTTGCTCTGAACACACAGTCCTTAGGGATGGTCCAGCAGCCCATGCTTTATTTGCTGCATAGCACTCCATCCCCTGGTGAAGGGACCTCAGTTGCCTCTGTTCCTTGCCACCTCAAACAACACGATGATGAACATCTCACATATGTCCCCTGTGGACCTATGTGGGATTTTTCTGGAAATACATATCCAGGAGGGCAACTTCTGAATTGTGGGTATAGATTTTCTTCACTTAATTAAATACTGCCAGATTTATCCCCCAAATGTGTGTATCACTGCACATTCCTGTCACTAGGGAATGGAAGACACTGTATTCAAACTTTCTGTGAACATTACCATTGTCTGATTTTCTAATTTTTTTCCAATCTACTAAGAACATAGAAATTTCTTTTATTTTAATTTGCATTTCTCTAATCACTAAACACGGTAGCTGTTTCAGTTTTCTCTTTGCAATTACCTGTTCTTATCATTTTACCATTCTTTTTTTTTCTGTTGTTTTGACTGTGTCTTTTTTGTGGTTATTGTTGATTTTTTAGGAGATCCTTTTAGAAATTAGATTCTTGTCAATTTAATACATTGTAAATATTTTCTTCCAACCATCTGCCTATAATTTTGTCTATGACTTCTGTCAATGAAGAAAAATACCTAAATTTTATTTAATCAAATCATCTTTTAAAATTGATTAACTTACTGCTTGTGATGTATAATTTGAGAATTTTATTTAAGGAGTCTTCCATCTCTAGGATACAGAGATTTATTATCTACTATCAGTTTTATAGTTTTACATTTTACTCTTAAGCCTTTAATCTATCCAAATTCTGTCTTTATGCATTATGTTAGATAAGGATCCAGTTTAAGTTTTTTTCTGAAGTAAGCCATTTTTTCCAAGGCAATTTTGTAAAGAGATAATCTTTTCCACATTAATTTGCGATGTCACTTTATCTGTGTCAAATTATCATATATACAGGAGCAGGTCTCTGAGCTCTATCTTCCGTACCATTGTCCATTTGTGTGTCCTTGTGCCAGCAATAGACTGTTTTTATTGTTATGGCTTTGTAGTATGTCTTAATAGCTATTTGGGCAATTTCAAAATAGTTTATTTATGGTTCTTTATTTTTCTGTGTATATGTCCATATAAATTTAAAAACTTTAAAAACACCTCTTGGACTTTTAATTGTGATTACAGGGTGTTTTAGGTTATTTGGGGGAGCATCAACATCCTTATACTATTAGATGTTCCCACCCAAAAGTATGGGATGTCTGCTTATTCAAATCTTTTGTGCCCTTCAGTGGAGGTGTTAGGTATTCTTTGTCAAGATAATTCTTAGATGACAGTTTTTTTTTTTTTTCTGAATCCTGAATGGCATCTTTTTTGTGTTACATTTTCTAATGATTTCTGGTTTAGAGAATGCTGTTGAGTTTTGTAACTTGATATTGTGTGTCTTAGACAGGACAACAAAATACCCTGGACTAGGTGGCTTCTAAACAACATTTGTTTCTTGCAGTTCTGGAGGGTGGGAAGTGTAAGATCAGGGTGTCCATAGATTCAGTGGCTGGTGAGTGCCCGTGTCCTGATTCATAGGTGACACCTTCTTGCTGTGTCTTCACATGGTAGAAGGTGCGAGGAACCTCTTTTATAAGAGTGTTATTCCCATTCTTAAGGTCTATACCTGATGACCTAATTACCTCCCAAAGGTCCTCCACCTTGCGTGCTAAAATTTCAACATAAGAATTTTGGGGGAACACAAACATTTAGACCATAACATTGTTTCTGACAACTTGCTAAACTCTCTTTTCATTTGAATATTTATTGATTCAGTTGAAAGGATAGGTCTTTGAAATATTTAGCAGTTGTGTGTGTGTATGTATGGGTTTTAGATTTACATAAATGATATGGTATAAACCTCCTTCTGTTCTATTCTTTTCTGTTGTTAAACATAATGTTTCTAAACCATATCCATGTTACCGCATGGATCTCAATATATGATTCCTTTTGCTATCTGCAGCATATGCCACTACGTTTTGTTTATCCATTTTCTTAGTGATTAAATCCTAGGTTGCCCCCACTCCCTGCTATGAGAATCATCGACGTGATAGGCATCCCTATATATGTTCCTTTATGGAGCCACGCACCAATTTTTTCCAGAGCAGTATCAGGAATGGAGTTGATGGGTCACAGGATATATGCATGCTGAATTGTATTATACTAATTGCTTCCAGATTGTTTTTCAGAATTTCTATACCAGTCTACACACCCACTGATGTTAAAACAGGGTTTCTTTCCCTGCATACACCATCACCATCATTTGTTATTGTTCAACTTTATAATTTTTACTACTCTAATGGCTGCAAAATTGTATCTTGTTAGATTTATTTTTCTAATTACTAACTAGAAAATCAGTATTCTAATTACTAATTATTATTCTAATTAGAAAAACATTCTAGTTACCAAGATGAAGCGTCTCTCCATAAACTTGTTAGTCATTCAGGTTTCCCCCACTTGAACTGTCCTTCTTCATTTGCAAGAGTTCCTTTAGAATTCTGACATTAATTATTACAATATCTCCTCCCAATGTGCCACTGGCCTATTCACTTTGTCCCAGGTATTCTTTATTGTGCATGGCCGGTATAACTCCTAGGCATTTTGTTTTTTTGCTGCTACCATGAATGGCATCTTGTTTTCTATTGTAGTTTGGGTGGTAGTGGTATAGAGAACAGCACTGACTTTTGGAAGTGAATCTTGTTTCTGACAGCTTTGCTAAATGTTCTTATTATTTCTATTGTTTATCCAGTTTTGTTGTATTTTTCTATGTAGATAATCAAATTATCTGCAAATATGAGAGTTTTGATTCTTCCCTTTCTATCTTTTACCTCTTATTTCATTTTCTTGTTCTATTCTATAGGGTGGGGCTGCTAGTACTAGGGTGAAAGTAGTTAAAACAGTGACAGTGGACATCTTTGATTGGTTGTTGATATTAAAGAGAAATGCCTAAAGATTTTCCATGGAGTGTGATATTTACTCCATGTTTTAATCTATAGCCATGTTAACATAAGGAAGTTCTGTCTCTTAGTTTTCTGAGAACTTTTATCACAAATAATTATATTTTTATCATAAATAATTAGGCTATTTTTTTTGGCACCTAATGACACAATAATGTAATTTTCTCCATTGGTCCATCAATGTGTGGAATACATTAACTTCTAAAAATTTTATTGCAGTATAATGTATTCTTTTTAATACACTTTTGGATTCAGATAACTATTTTTAAGGGTCTTATTTTCTTTCCTTATAAGATCCTTATCTGCCTTTGGAATCTCAAATACATAAGCTTCATAAAATGAGTTTGGACAGACTTTACTGTTTTCTGGAACATCTTGTATAACAAAGAGTTTAACAGTTTCTTAAGATTGTGTTGGTCTGTCTATAAAGCCACCTAAGCTTGAGGTTTTTCATGGTGTTTGAAGTGGGCAGTAGGAACAAGGTAGTCTTTAATTCCATAATTTCTATTTTTTAATGATTATTTTATTTTGAGTTAATCTTTTACCACATTTGGCACTATATACTCTTTCCAGAACTGTATCCATTGTTATCACATTGATTGTTCATAATTCTTTTTCATTCTGCATTTTGCTTAAAATTTTCTCTTTTTTCCTTTGTCAGTCTTGATGGATTTGTCCATTTTATTAGTGTTTTTAAAGAGCCAGTTTAATATTTTCTTTGTTTTATTTGAGTGTTCTCTATTTTGTTGATTTCTGCTTTTATAATTTTTTTAATATTTCTTTTTTTTTCTTTTGGGGATTTTTTTGCTGTTCTTCCAGCTTCTTAATTTGAATGCTTACTTTATTTATGGTCTGATAAATGTATTTAAAAGCTATAAACTTTCTCTAAGTACTGCTTTAGCTATAAACTATGGATTTTGACATATGGTACAATTCAGATATAAATATCTCATAATTTTTAAGCATAAATGTTATTTTTTATTTTATTTTTTTGAGACAGGGACATGCTCTATCACCCAGGCTGGAGTGCTATGGTGCAGTCATAGCTCACTGCAGCCTCGACCTCGTGGGCTCAAGCCATTCTCCCACCTCAGCCTCCCGAGTAGCTGGGACTGCAGGCACACGCCACAACACCTGACTAATTTTGTATTTTTGGAGAGACAGGGTTTCTGTATGTTGCCAAGGCTGGTCTCGAACTTCAGGGCTCAAACAGTCCATCCACCTCAGCCTCCCAAAGTGCTGGTATGACAGGCGTGAGCCACAGTGTCTGGACTACCATAAATTTTAAACTTTGGTTGTGTTAATATTTTTCTGATTGATATGTTAATTTCTGAAAAGAATGTGTCAAAATCTCCAACCAAAATTATTGACATAAATTTTTTCTATAGTATATAGCAATAATAAATTAATTGTTAATTTATATATTTTGAAGCTATATCTTTAGTTTTATGTGGGTATGTAATCTTTGTGTCTTAAAGATGTATTATTCATTTTACCAGGACATAATTTTTTTCTCTTTATGAGATTTTTTTGCCTTAAAATTTTAATATAAGATAAAATATATAATTTTAATATAAAATAATTTTAATATAAGATAAAATTTTAATATAAGATATATATTAAAGTACTACTCTCATTTTATATTTACCTATAATATCATCTTTAATTCCTTTATTTTCCAACATTCTATATCCTTCTGTTTGAGGTATTTTCTTCTGGGCAATACATGGTTTGATTTTTTAAAAAAATCCATTCTGAGAGGCTGGGTGCAGTGGTTCATGCCTGTAATCCTAGCATTTTGGGAGGCCGAGGTGGGAGGATTGCTTGAGCCCAGGAGTTCAAGACCACCCTGGGCAATGTGGCAAAACCCCATCTCTATTAAAAAAAAAACAAAATCAATTCTGAGAGTCTATCTTTTGATTGGTGAAGTATACTATAGTTGCTATTATGTTGGTACTTATCTCAGCAATTTCAGTTCCTGTTTTCTATTTACTATCCTTTTGTATTATTTCAATTTTCCCTTTTTCTAACTTCTATTGGATAGATCCATTTCTTTCTGCTGATACGAAACTCGTACATCCTTTATTTATTCTTCTGTGGTTGCCTCTAACTTAACAACTTATGCTTATTATCACCTTCTCCATCTTCCTGCTGAATATGACAGTTACTTGAGCCATTTCTTACCTCCTACTGGTTTTCTCCCTCTACCTGTCACCATATATTTCATCTACAATTTTCGTTCTGGAGTTTGAAGGATATCACTTTTGTTTTATTAGGGTTTTATTTATTTAGACTATAATTAACTCTATTAATTTATTTACCCATACTTCCAGCCCATATCTAGAATTGCCAGGTGAATTACAGGAGGCCTAGATAAATTTGAGTATTGTACAGGACATACATATTCTAAAAAATTACTCATCATTTTTCTGAAATTGAAATGTAACCCAGTGTCCTGTTGTTGCTCCTAAGTCTGGCAACCCTACCGATATTTCACAGAATCCTCCATATTCCACAGACTCCTCCATAGAGTTGTTATTTCTATTTCTCCTTTTTTTCTTTTTTTTTATGTATGTTTCTTTTTGTTTTCTTGTTTCTATTTCTCTATTTCTGAGTATGTCCATCAAGAGTTTTTTTTTTCACTGAGAGTTTGTGTGTGGTAAAGCACATAAGATCTTGTATTACTGAAAGTGTCTTTATTTTGCTTTCACATTTAAATGATAGTTTTCCTGAACATACTATACTGGTTTCAAGTTCTTTTACTTCAGCCCTTTGAAAATAACATTCTTTGTCTTTTTGTATCCAGTGTTGCTGTTGAGAAGGTTGATGCCAACTGATTTTTTTTTTTTTTTTTTGAGACAGGGTCGGGTCTCTGTTGCTCAGGCTAGAGTGCAATGGTGCCATCTCAGCTCACTGCAATCTCTGCCTCCCAGGCTCAAGCCATCCTCCCATCTCAGCCTCCTGAGTAGCTGAGAGTACAGGCATAAGCCACCATGCCTGGATAATTTTTGTATTTTTTGCAGAGATGGGGTTTTGCGGTGTTGCCCAGGCTGGTCTCAAACTCCCAAGCTCAAGCCATCTGCCCACCTCAGCCTCCCAAAGTGCTAGGATTACAGGTATGAGCCACTACACCTAGCCTTAATTCTTACTTTTTAGTAGATGATCTGCTTTTAGTCTCCAACTTCTAGGCTCAAGGGATCCTCCTGCCTCAGCATCCCCAAGTAGCCTGTCTGGCTGCTTTAAAATTTTCTTTTTGTCTTTGATGCTCTTTATTCTCACTATAATGTGAAGAGATCTTTCTTCTTATTTACATTGTTTCACTTTTCAAGGCATTTCCATTTAAGGTTTTGTCTCTTTCATTCTGTGACGTTCTCAACCATATTTCTTTAAGTATGTCTTCTGCTGTTTATTTTTGTCTCTATTTCTGGGAGTTAACTTGTTCTCTGAGTTGGCATTTGTTCTTCTACTTTCTTTATCTCTGAACTTTTCTTTCATTTATGCAGTCTTTTCATGATGCCATCTGGGATTGCTGTCCTCAACCTGATCATGGAGTGTACTGATTCTTTCTTCAGTTGTATCCATTCTGCTGCTGTACCCATCCATGAGTTCTTTATTCCAAATAGTATATGTTTCATACCCAGGATTTTCAGCTGGTTCATTGTGACTTCTGATTCATGCTCTTTGTTTCCAGTATTCTCAACGTATCTTTGAGGAAGTTTAATATGCCCATTTTTGAGTTGTTTTTATTTCCCATTAGTTCTGTTTCACCTGGTAGAGATGGCTCAGTCTGTCCTTTCCTCATAACAGTCACACTCCTAAGATGCCTCCGTGCTTGTCCTTGTTGACTCCTGGAGGTATTAGCTACCTAGACTGATGAAGTGTAACTGAGAAGAGAGGCTTCTGCCCCTCCTCCTAATGTGTTCAGGACAAGGAGGAGATGGGGCAAATGTGCCTTAAGGTGAGGGGCCTGTGGAATTATTTCCATACTGACAGTGCTGATTTTTCAAGACCTGACTTCCTCAACTGCAGCCAGCTTGCCAGGGGCTATAGAAGGTAGACAGGAGAGGAGAGAATGCAGGACTCTGTCAGTATTTCTTTATCTGCTGCAAACTATTTCACATTCCAGTGGGACTTGAAAGCCATCTTGATATCTGGCCGCTATCGTTCTGCCTCACAGGAGTCAAGGGAAAGCATGTTATTCCCAGAGCAATAGGAAGGAGAGAAGAGGGCAGTCCAGCCTCTCTCCTAACCTGTCTCTTGTCCTTGGTGTTTGGTCTTCTTATGCTCTAAGCTGCTATTTCCCATCCTCCTCCTTGCAACACATGCATCACAGTGAAACCACCTTCCGTTGTCTCGCAGTGGTGAAGTCATTTCAGAGTTTGTATGTTGGTTAACAGGCTTACTAACATCCCTTTGACTTCTGGGGTGTCTCCAGGGCTGTGTTCCAGAGAATGAGCCTGCACCTGGGTTGGTTTGCCTTCCTAGAAGGATGCTGATGTCTTCTACTTTCTCACTAATTTTACCCCTCCTTATTTTTCTCTGTTCATTTCTTCTAAAACTACTATTTGATAGAAACTGATTTCTAAGTCCATATATCCCTTAATTATTCTTTTGCACTTTCTGGTCATTTTTACATCTGCCCTGAATCTTGAAGAAATTAGTACAATCTTTTAGCACAGGGATCCCCAACCCCTGCGCCATGGACTGATACTGGTCTGTGGCCTGTTAGGCACTGGGCTGCACAGCAGGAGGTGAGCAGCGGGTGAACGAGTGAAGCTTCATCTGTATTTACAGCCACTCCCCATTGCTCATATCACTGCCTGAGCTCTGCCTCCTGTCAGATCAGCAGTGGCATTAGATTCTCTTAGGAGCACAAATCCTATTGTGCTTTGCATGTGAGGGATCTAGGTTGTGGGCTCCTTATGACAATCTAATGCCTGATGATCTGTCACTGCCTCCCATCACCCCTAGATGGGACTGTCTAGTTGAAGGAAAACAAGCTTAGGGCTCCTACTAATTCTACATTATGGTGAGTTGTATAATTATTTCATTATATGTTACAATGTAATAATAATAAAGTGTACAATAAATATAATGCACTTGAATAATCCTGAAACCCTCCCTGCCACTCCGGTCCATGAAAAAATTGTCTTCCATAAAACTGGTCCCTGGTGCCAAAAAGGTTGGGGACTGCTGTTTTAGCACAGGAATTTACTTCTCAGCCTTTCTCTTTCTGGAATTCAGTACATTTAATTGAGTTTTTACATTTTGATAATCATATATTTTATTTTCAAGAACTTTGTCTTTTTTTTAATGTCAGCTGTTTCTTGTTTCATGGATGTGGTATCCTTTATTATCTCCCTGAGGACATTACTATACCTTAAAAGTTGCTTTCAGACTATCTCCTAACTCTCTTTTCTTACTTGTTGTTACTATTGGTTGAGTTTGGTGCCTTTCTTTCATATATTGGTGATTCTTTGGTGTGTACCTTTCTGTGTTTTTGAGATTCCCAGTGTACTAATCTGGAGATACTATTTTTCACATGCTGATTAGCCTGCTTCTAGTAATTTCTTTATGGAGGGAGAGATTGGGGTGAGTGTGGGAGAACAAAGGTATGTGAAGTTGACATATACTATAAGCAGGAATATTGGGTCTCATCTTAGACTTCTCTGGTCTAAGCCTCTGGTGTATAGGCTAAGGTTTCTGCTGCCTGATGCTTGGGATCAGGAATGGGGCTAAGAGACCCACTTGCCTAAATGTTCCAGATGCCATGCCCCAAACAACCATGCCAATGGTCACTTATTTGTACTCCCTATTCCAGCCACCTTTTAGCTTGGAGCATCCCCAGAGTTGTACCATATTTCACAGTGGTCCCTAGTTGAGGGTCTTTGACTGATGTCTTTGGCTGAATTCCATCAGCCAAAAATCTAATTTTTGTTTTTTGTTTTGTTTTGGTTTTGACTTGGTCATTTGTGAAAAGGCAGGCAGACACATATGTTCAGTGTGCCATCTTGATATAATCTCTATGGACTATTTATTATTTTTAAAGCAAATTTATTCTTAAAAATTATTTTTACCGCATATCAAGCAGAGAAAAATTGCACAGAAGAGCAACCTGATAACTGGTATCAAACAGCTGAAAATTGATCTACAAAACTTGAGGATCACAAAAGGTCACTTTTTGTGGAGTGAGGCTCCTTCTCCCTACCCTGAGAAGAGCAGGAGCCTGGAACTCTGGAGGCCTCAGAAGCTCATGGGGGCAAAGCCTGTTGTCTGCAGCTGCCCAGACACATCTGAGCAGACCCACCAGATCTGTTCCAAGACAGCAGCTCTGCCAACTGTATCAGCTCTGTCCCACCACAGGCTTGGCCTCGGGGACCTTCTCTGCGGCTGGTAAGTATATAACACATAGTGTTCAAAGTTTGGACAGCCCTATGTGGCCACCCCATTTAGAGCCTTGTCACTTTTAGGGCTTTGTGCACCAGCAGGCATGGATCCTCTACCCATGGAATTCTGACCTCCCAGGCCCAGGATCTCTCTGCCTCCTCCTGCTCCCTGACCTCCTCTTCATCCTCCCTCTTCTCTGCTTCTCTATTTCCTCCTCTTGCTCCTCCCCTTCTTCTCCTTTTCCTTCTCTCTCCTCCTCCCTCCTTTTTCCTCCTCTCTCCTCCTCCCTCCTTCTTCCTCCTCCTCCCCTCTTTCTCCTCTCTACCTCTTTCTCTTCCCCAACTCCATTTCCTTCTCCTCGTCCAGCCCCGGCCTCCTCCTTACTCCTTGACTATCTCCATGGATGTAGACCTTTAGAAAGGAACCTCATTTGCAGTTGACTCCAGGCAACTTCTCTTTCTTCATTTTTCCTACTGTGAAACTAAAATCTCTAGGGAGTAGGAAGTCTAGAACTCAAAACCCTAAGGCCTGGCTACCTTGCCTATGAAAAGCAAAGGCAGAACTCCCTCGGTTCCTTTGCTGCTACTCTCACTGCAGCCGAGGTAGAGATAGGCACCCTTAGTTTCTCTTTCAGTTCTTTGCCATGCTACTGCTGCAATCGTTGCCTTGAGTGTGTACTTCTGATTGCCCAATCCCACCTCCCCATTGGCACAAGGCTGTTCCCAGCTGGGCCCAGGCCTGCCCCTTTGTCCATTGTAGTCTGACCCCTGTCCAGTCACTCAAGATAATGTCCTTTTCCTGCATCTGCCGCTTCATCTAGCCTCTTCTGGGGCTCTGAGGGTCTGTCCTGGCCCTGGTGAATATTCAGGGCATGCTGGTAAGGGGGAAAACAGGGGAAGAAGAGAAAAGAGGGACCAAGCTGAGTGAAGGGGGCCAGCTTGGGGACACCCCTCAGCCATGGGGCCTCTGTCCTTTCCTTCCAGGACTGAGAGATAGATAGCCCTGACAACTCTCGAGATGCTTGAGGAAGGCCTCTCATGTGGGTAGAGGAGGCATGTCCTTGTTTAGTGAAGTTCAGGGCCTGAGGCTGTTGACCCATCTGATGCCTGAAAATCTAACCCGAGATACTCAGTCCTTTGGGGTAAGGCCTGCCCTCTTAGACATAACCATCCTGAGAGGGGGGCGGACGAAGCTGTAAGCCCTCTTGAGGAGTAGAATATTATACTTCTGAGATTTCCACCAAGCCAGGGCACTGATGGGATCTGCAGAGGTGAAATGAGCCAGGGTTATGGCTCTGCACTTCAGAGACCTGAGGTGGTCAGAACTCTGGATCAGTAGTGAAGCCCTGGCTATTCATCTCCATGAATAACTGCCTGATGATCTTGGCTCTAGGGGTCTGTTCTGTGGCCACCCCCACTGGGAAGCAAGCCTCAGGGTTCCTTCTGACCCCAGGTCCTTGAACCTGTCTCAGCATAGACCATACTGTTGGTCCTTCCAGCTCACTCCACAGGGCACACAAGGACTCCTCAGAAGACTCAGGGGTGGTGGCTCTATTTACCATTTTATGCCCCCCAAGCCTGATGCAGGCTCTGGTCCCCAGTAGGTCAACAGGTGTTGGGGGGCTAAAGGAACTCAGCTGTGCACTGAGCCCTGAGCCATGGGAAACACAGAGTAGAAGCCCAAAGTGTGGTCCCCGGAACCAGGACAAGTGCCAGAGGGAGTGCCTTTTCACAGGTGTGGCCCTTTCAAAATGCTTGGCCTTCTTCCACCGGAGGCCAGCCCAGCCCCTCTTCTGGGGACAGCCCCGGCAGGGTCCATGGGAACATGAGGCTCCCGGCTGTTGTTTGTCTCAGCTAATCTCAAGAATGCACTTGTTTTCCCTTTTGGTTTGGGAAGTCCTCAGCAGCTCCCCTTCATGTCGATAGTGCTGAGGGTAGAGGCCGTGGGAGCCAGAGGGCAATGATCCTGGCTTGCTCTGTTGCTGGCTTGCTTTCTTTCCAACTGTTTCTGTTACCTCCGGCCTCCATTTCAGCTTCTCCTTGAAGTTTCTAGCAACCCTGGAAAGAAACGTTCTGAATTTCAACACTTCAGCCAGTCTCCTCACAGTAGGGAGTACTTGGGCAGGTGTGATCATCTCTATTTTACAGATGAACCTGGAGCTCAGAGAGGCTAAGTTAATGCTCATGGACACAGCAAGTGAGAGCAGAGCTGGAATAGAACCCAGCACCTCCCGCCGCCCACCCCGGCCCTCCACTCCAAGCTCCAACTCCAGGGCACCAATCTCACTTGGCAGCTACTGTCTGTTACTTGCCATCTCCTTCACTTGATTTCCTTGAGAGGAGTCCTGCAATATTCATCTTTGTACTCCTAAGCGTGGCCCAGTGTCCAGAAACATAGAAGATACTCAAAGGATATTTGTTCAAAGAATGAATGGCCTCTACTATGTGCCAGGAATTCTACTGGGTGATTTTTACACATGTAATCCTTGATCTTCACAACAACTCTGAGAGGTAGCTGTTGTCCCCATTTCATGAATGGAACCTCTAGGGTTCAGAGAAGTTAAGTAAGTTGGCAAAGATCATGGAGCTTGTAAAAGGTTGAGATGAGATTCGGATCCAAGTGGTTGGACTCCAGGACTCATGCTGGCTCCCAATGCACATGAGATAAAGCATCTGAAAAGAAAGGACAGTGGGCAGAAGAACTGCAGGGCCTTCCTTCTTGCTGATTTTGCAGTGATCTCTGACTGAGGGAGGTTGCAAAGGTTACCTGAGCTCCCTAAACAGGGAGACAATTCTCAGCCCCTCTCTGCACTCCGTCCAATCTCAAGCTCACAAACACATGTTTATTGAATGACTGAATGACCACCCCTGAAGTTGGCCATCCAGGCTCTTCACTCTCAGAGATGGTCTTTCTGGTTGCTCTTTCTTCACCAACTTTGGAGCCTGTCATTCTCTGCCCAACCTTGAATGCTAGGATTCCTAGGGCATGTTTCCTAAACTTTGTCCTCATTACTACACCTCCTCTGAGTGATCTCATTTCTAGTGGTGGTTTCAGTTACCCGCTGTGTGTAGGTGGCTTCCAAACCCATATTTCTAGCTCAGACCTCCCCTGTGAGCTCCAGAACTTCATAGGTTTCCACCTGAATGTCCAATAGACATCTCACTTCAACACTTCAGAAAGCACTTGTGCCATTTTTTCCCCCACCCCAGACATTGACTGGGACAATCATTACTCAGCTGCCCAAGCTCCCAACTCATGCTCATCCTTGACACTCCCTCATCCTGACTTTACCACATTTAACTTATCCTTGGCTAATCACCAAGTTCTGGTGCTCTACAAATTTGGGCCACCCTGGTTTATCCTTTGCATTACTCAGCAACTTCCCAACAGATTCCATACACTCCAGTCTCTTCTCCCAGTTCTACTCCATCCATTCTACACAAAGCAGCCAGAAAAACCTTTTAAATCACATATCTGACCACATCACACCCTTGCTTAGAGATCCGTCTTCAAGGAGAATATCCAAATGCTCACCATGACACCCAAGTCCCTCAGGATCTAGTCCCACTAGTCTCTTCAATCTCAATGTTCTTCCTGCTCACATGATAAACTCCCTGTCACTGAGCATTTGCTGCTCCTGAAGAGTTGTCATGGGCCTCTGGACATGCCATCTCCCAGGTTGGAGTTTTATTCCGTCACCTCTGCACCTGCCCAATTGTCATTAAACCATCGGGACCCAGACTGGATGTTGTCCCTTCCTAGAAGTGTCACTTATCCTGCAGGCTGAGCAAGGGTCCCATTCTCTGGGCTCCTCTAGCCCCCTTGAATCCCTGTTTTAGAATAGCCTCTAGATGTGTTCTGTGAGGATAGGGATGGCATCCAATGCATCTTTGTCCCCAGTGCTTAGCCCAGGGCTGGGTGCAGGGAAGCTCCATGAATGTCCAAAAATTAGACATGAATCTTGAGTCCTTGGAAGGAAAACATGGTTTCTTCCCTTCATATCTTGGCTTTAGTTAGCTGGGTTTTCTGTCCTCCCAGCCCTAGTTCCCTGTCTCAGCTTGCTATGGGACAGGACGCCCCCCCCCCCCAGCCCCCATTCTCAGAAGCATCACCTCCAGCCTGCTAGCCCACTGTGGTCATCTCTTAAGGGCCTCCAGGACTATATCAGGATGCAGAGGGGATTAGGACCCACATGGCTCGCAGGGCCTCATTTCAAGGCCCTAGGAGAACGCTCCACACAGTTATTCCCCAGCCACTCCTGAAGCCTCACATCCATTTCTCAGGGCATAAGAAATGTCACTGAAAAGTTAAAGATGGATATTAGATGTCAAATCCCTTGAAGAGAAAAAACATTTAGATTACTTCACATTACTAGGTATGAATGACCAGCGTAGTATACTTCCCTGGAAGTAAATGTGGACAGATGAGAAAAGGCCCAGGAACAGGAATTCTCTGGTTGCATAAAAGAGGGTAAAAACCCATGAAAAGGGAAGGGACACTGCCAGACTGCCTGGCCTACACCATATGATGGAGCATTCAGTTCTCACCTGAAGGACCCAGTGGTGTGTGTGGGTATGTGTGTGGATGCATGTGTGTTTCCTCGAGTACAACTCCTAGAAGCAGAAAAATTCTCTTAATGGCTCCATAACCTCAGCAAGGATCTGGACACACAGTGGGTGCCCAATAAGTGCTTGCAGCTGGCTTGTTGCCCCAGAGCCTGGCCTGGCAGCTGCTCCTGCTGGGTGCACCCATCAGCCACCTTCCCAGGGATGTGGAAGTGTTTGCAGTGGGAGTGAGGGATCCTTCCTGGATTCCCTTTCGACTCTGATGAGCTCCTTTCCCATGAACTCCCTGCCCTTCCGGCCACTGAACTAACATAATCTAATAGAGCAGCTCCCCAGGTGGCCGGGAGTAGCTGAGGGGTGGGAGAGCCTGGAAGCGCCTCTAGGGTTCCAGCTCCTTTCTAGGATCAGAGCCCCTCTTGGGAACTGTGGATTCCCTAGAGATGGCCCAGAGCATCTTTTCTCAGTCCTACCCACCCCTTGGTGTTTTACATTCATTCAACAAACATTTATATGTGTACATGCCAAGCACTGGCCTGGGTGCTGGCAATGCAGTAGTAAACAGATGAAAATCTCTGTCCTTATTGAGCGTATATTCTAGTATCTCTTTTGGTGGTATGAGGCATTAAAATATAATAATGTGTGAGATAGTGATAAGTACTAACAAAAAATGAAGTAAGGAAAGGAGATGTGAAATATCTAGTGGAGGAAATGTTGAAATTTTAGAGTATCCAGGGAAGGCCTCATTGAGAAGGTAATTTTTAAAATTTATGTATTTTTATTGTGGTAAAATATACATAACATGAAATGTACATCTTAGCCATTTTTAAGTATATAGTTCAATGGTAGCTACAGTCCCATTGTTGTGCATTCATCACCACCATCTGTCTCCCGCACTTTAAAGTCATCCTATGCTGAACTTCTGTATGCCTTAAGCAATAACTCCCCATTTCCCTCTCACTTCAGCCCCTGCTAACCCCTGTTCTACCACCTTCTGTCTCTAAGAATTTGACTACTCTGTGCCTCTTTTTCTTTCTTTCTTTCTTTTTTTTTTTTTTTTTTTTTTTTTGAGACAGACTCTTGCTCTGTCGCCCAGGCTGGAGTGCAGTGGCGTGATCTTGGCTCTCTGCAACCTCCGCCTCCTGGGTTCAAGCGATTCTCCTGCCTCAGCCTCCAGAGTAGCTGGGACTACAGGCACGTGCCACCATGCCCGGCTCATTTTTGTATTTTTAGTAGAGTCAGGGTTTCTCTGTATTGGCCAGGCTGGTCTCAGAGGTCCTCAGAGGATCTACCTGCTTCGGCCTCCCGAAGTGCTGGGATTACAAGTGTGAGCCACTGCACCCGGCCACTCTGTGCCTCTTATTAGTGTAATGATATACCACATATATGCCTTATATAAAAACTACTCATATGCTCCTCACACTACCTTATATAAGTGGAATCATACAAGATTTGCCCTGTTGTGTCAGGCTTATTTCATACAACATAATGTTTTCCAGGTTCATCCTAATGTAGTATATGTCAGAATTTCATTCCTTTTGAAGGCTGAATGATATTCCAGTATGTGTATATACTACATTTTGTTTTTCCATTAATCTGATGAGGAATATCTGGGTTCTTTCCGCCCTTTGGTGACTGTGGATAATGTTACTATGAGCATTACTATATAAATAACTGTTTAGTCCCTGCCTTCGATTCTTTTGCATATATACGCAGAAGTAGAATTGCTGGATCACATAGTAATTCACTGCTTAATTATTGGAAACTGCCATACTGTTTTCCACAGCAGCTGTACCACTTTACATTCCCAGCAAAAATGCACAATGGTTCCAACTTCTCTCACATCCTTGCCAGCACTTGTTTCCTGCTTTAAAAAAAAAAATAGTACTGATCCTAATGGGTGTGAAGTGGTATCTCATGGAGGTTTTGATTTGCATTTTTCTAATGATTAGTGATGTTGTCTTTTCATATGCTTATTTCCTATGCATATGCCATTTGTATATTATCTTTGGAGAAATGGCTAATTAAGTCCTTTGCCCATTTTTTATTTGGGTTATTTGCTTTTTATTGTTGATTTTTAGGAGTTCTTTGTATATTCTAGTATTGATCCCTTATCAGGTATATGATTTGCAAATTTTTTTTTTCTCATTCAATCGGTTGCCTTTTCACTGTGTTGGTAGTGTACTTGATGCACAACAGTTTTTAATTTTGATGATGCCCAATCTATTTTGGTGGTGTTGCCTATGCTTTTGGTATTATATCCAATAAATCATTGACAAGCTCAATGTCATGAAGTTTTTCTCCTATGTTTTAAGAGTTTTATAGGTTTAGGTCTTACATTTAGGTATTTGATCCTTTTTGAGTTAATTTTCATATATGATGTTAGTTAAGGTTCCAACTTCATTCTTTTGAATGTGTACATTTTTCTTTTCCCGTATCATTTATTGAAAAGACTGTCCTTTCCCCAGTTAATAGTTTTGGCCCCCTTATTGAAAATCATATGAGGGAGAAAGTAATTTTTGAGTAGAGACCTGGAGGAAGTGAGGAAACTAGCTTTGTGGATGTTGGGGGAAGAGCACCTGCCAGGGGAAACAGACAGTGCAAAGGCTCTTGGGGGCACATTAAGAGGGTGGGTTTGGCTGCAGCGGATTGAATAAGGGGCAGAGGGGTAGGAGGTGAGGTAAGAGAAGTGGGGGATGTCGAGGAGGGCAAATCATGGAGGATGCTGTGGGTCACAGAGAACTTTGCTTTTACCCTGAGCAAAACTGGAAGCCACTGGGGGGCAGGGACATGTGGGCAGAGGGCCCACATGTCCATAAATAGGACATGATCCTATTTATGTTTCCACTCTGGTTCATATGTTGGGAATAGTCTTACGGTCCCAGGACAAAAGCAAGAGACCAGTGAGGGGGACACTCAGGTGGAAGAAGATGGGAAACTGAGCCAGGGAGTGAAATGTAGTGAAAATCTGGACAATAGGATTAGATAACAGACCAAATATCGGGTGTGGTGAGGGAGGGGGAGGGAGGAAGAGAGAGGGGGAAAGAGAGAAAGGGGGTGAGGACAGAGGGAGAAAGATAAAGGAAGACTGTGGCAGGCATAGGTTTTGGGGCAAATTTAGGACTTCAGTTTTGGATGTGCTAAGTTTGAGGTACCCATCAGTCATCTAACTGGAGGTGTCACGTGGGAAATTGGACCTGGGTCTGAAGTTCAGGAGAGAGGTCTTGGCTGGAGTCATGGAGGAGGCAAGGAGTTTCGTATGTTGCTTTGTGACCTCAGGCCAATCCCTTTCCCTCTCTGGGCCTCAGTTTTTCTCTGGGCAAAATAAAGCAGCTGGATGACTACTCTCTAAGTAGTGCCTTCCAGCTCTGCTGTTCCCTGGTTCTAATTGGAGAGGAATAGAAGCAGCAGCTCTGGGATACCCAATTTTCCACAGACCTTCTCCTCTTTCTAGATGACTTTTCTCTCAAGATCACTTCCCCCAACAGATTGCCCAGCTACCAAGACCCAGGGTTCATATCGTGGGGAACCTCTTAGGTAAGGAGCGTAGGCAGCCCCAACTCTAGCCAGCCTCTCTCTGCCATCTGGGCTCCTTTAGAAAGATAATGTGGGAGCCACACAGTGAAGGCTTCTGGGTGAGGAGAGGCTGGCTATGTAGTGGAGTGATTTGGAGTGTGGGCTAAATCCAATCTTAAATTCTAACCACTCTTAGCTTCCAATCTTTGCTTGTGACCAAAGAGAATATAAAAGGGGAATTCTTTCCAAACCAGTATCTCTAAGTTTATTTAATTTTATTTATTCATCTCTGTAATAAAAGTAAATAACAGCTAACTGTTCTAGTGCCAAGTGTCTGGCCCACGTTGGCTTAATTTACTCTCATAGAATATTGTGAGGTGTGTGTTCCTCCTCTTACTTTAGCATCCAGGAAACTGAGGCTCAGAGAGGTTACTTAGCTTTCCTTAGGTCACACAGTAGGGAAGTGTTAAATTTGAGGTTGTTACAGAAATATATTCAGTCCAAAAGAATTTAATAAAGACACATGAGGAAGTTGAGGCTAAGGTGAAAATCAAGACAGGAAAAAGAAATAAGGCTCTTGTAACATAAGGTCCTGTAGAGTTGCTGAGAGTAAGATGACCGTTGACTCTGAGTTTCTTAGCAACCAAGGCAAAGAGGGATATGTGATCAGATATAGAAGTCATAATATTTACAATATTAAAAACTAGCCAGGTTAGAAGAAACTTGAGTTACTGGTGCTGGGACTGTGAGGACTGTTGGAAGGGGCCAGTTTTTCATGAGGATGAGATGTGATGTGATGGATGATGACCTCAGGAGCAGGAGCATCATCCCTCAACAGTGACAACAGGACCCTTTATGAGGAGGCATCTCACCATGCTCTGTAGTATAGGCCAAAGCTCAGTTCAGTAAAAGCGACAACAGGAGGAATGAACAGGGAGGCCAGAGCCAGAGCCTGGGGAGCAGGCTCATTGTACTGCAAGGAGGCTGCCTCATAACTTCAGGCACAGAGAGGAGCCCCTGCTGGGGATGCCGGAGATGCAAGCACTGCTGAAATTGGGGGCTGGGGGAGTCCTTTATTCTTATAACTCCTTGATACCTCCCAACAGGCCAGCTCACCTCCCTTTAAGGGCAGAGCTGACATCATTCCCTGGGGACAGACATTGCCCTGGGAACCCTAAGCCGTGTCCCTCTGTTCAGTGCAGGGGCCAGGAACCCCAGATCAGCACTCCTCCAGCCCTGCCCCCTGGTGTGTGGCCTCCAGGACATCTATGCCTATAACTGCCTCCCAGGAGCACCTCCTCTAGGAGAACCAGCAGCCCTGGGAGCACTTCACCAGAAAGCCCTTGGCTGGGAGACAGGCAGTGACTTTGTCCTTCTAAATCACAGAGGGACGTACAGCCAGGTACCCTCTTGCACAGAGTACTGCTGCATAAATACTTGTGGAAGGAAGGGAGGGAGGGAGGGAGGGAGGGAGGGAGGAAGGGGGGTAGGCAGGGAGGGAGGGAGGGAGGGAGGAAGGGAGGGAGTGGTAACTGCACAGAGTACTGCGTATAAATACTTGTGGAAGGAAGGAACAAAGGAAGGAAGGAAGGAAGGAAATCGTCAGAAGAGAGTTCATATTTTGTCATGCTCTCTGGACCTTTCTCCCTGAGGTTGGGCTTCTAACCTTCCTCCTTCATGCTCACAGCTCAGAATGGGTGCACAGTCTTTGGGAAAGTAGTCCAGGGCCTTGAGAAGTAGAGTCTGTCCTTTAGCTTTGAGACAAGGCAGCCACACCTGTGGGGCTGTTTGGGAGTAGGGTGAAGGGTAGGAGGAGTAAATCTGTGGAGTCAGCAGGTCTAACGTTGAATCTCACTCCATGTATTGGCTGAGAAGCGGTGGATGTAAGATGCTACTTCTCTAGGCCTTTCTCTTATGTAAAATGGAGATAGCACTACCTACATCGTGGGGGGATGTTGTGGGGATTAAATGAGGCACAGCCCCCGCCTGGCAAAGCAGAAGCTCCATATAAGATTGTCCTTTTTAGGGGGAAAATAATCTCAAATTCTGGCTTGGCCATTACAAGCGGTGTGACCTTGAGATGTCAGTTTACCTCTCTGAGCCTCAGTTTTCTCACCTGCAAAATAGGAATAATAATATTTACCTTGCAGGACTGTTAGGAGGACTGAAAAAAAAATAGCATATACAGCCTCTACCATAGTGCCTGGTACACACTAGGTGCTCAGTAAGAGGTGGTTGTAGTCAGGGACTAAAGAGCGTTCTGTGGAGTGGAAGGCCAGAGAAAAGACAGATAGTTGAGGGCCAGGGCAGTCACGAAGCACTTCCTGGAGGAGGTGGCTCTGGTGCTTAGCCAGATCATGTTGGGGTTATGTGTGTCTCAAGGGAGAGAGCTGTTCCTCCAGGGCAAGGCTAAGGTGAGCCAGGGTGGGAGGAAGAAGCACGTAAGGGAGCAGGGAGCTGACCTGAAAGGGAAGGGAGTGTATTTGGGGATCATCAGAACAAAAGTCTTTCTGGCAGCTGTGGAAGATCATAGAGGGCCCAGAAAGGCCAGCAGAGGAGAATAGGGAACCATTTGGGTGAGGCAAGCCTTGATCCCTTTCTATAGATGTCAAAACCCAGACTCAGGGAGGGTAAGTGGAATAACTTGCCCAAAATGAATGAAGATCTTGATACTGGCATGCCGGTCTACTGAGAGCTGATGCACAGGGTGTATACTTTCCTGAGTCTTTAGCACAAAGACAGAGGCAGGGACAGTCCTTAGCTGGCTGGTGAAGGCCTTTGGAACAGCAAGAAATACAAGGAAGGGGTGCAGAGCTCAGCCTGGGCTGTTTGGAAAATAACACAGATGAGGCTGAGTCTCTCTTGGGCTGTTACGGACATTAATAGCCACAGACAAGGGCCCTCACACATCACTAGGGAGAAGATTTCAAAGACCCTTAAAAAATCATTGGGAAACATTTAAAAAGGAAATTGCTCACTAAGCAGCCAGAGACACGCCAAATGTGCTGGCGTATAGCTCACCAGGCGATGCTTGTAATCTAATTGCCCATGAGCAAGAGTTTAAAACAATATTTATGATGTGGAAAAATAGCCCATGATTTGATTTGTACAGAAAAAACATGCCTAATGAGTAAATTAGATTTTGATCTTGCTGGCTTGGGTCCTATGGGTGGAGCCTGGCCCTTTGGATGGGCGAGGCTCTCCTGCCCCTTAACTCCCTCTCCTCAGTACCCCCAGTGTGGTCTTGGTGACAGCCCTGTGCCCTGGTATGATGTCCAAAGGCAAACCCCATCTCTCTCATGTCTGCACATAGCAGCCTGGAAACACAACCGCCCTTTTTCTTGGGTCAACCAGTCCTTTAAGTCCCACCTCCCCCTCCAGGAAGCCTTCCAAATTGCTCCAGCCCTCTCTTTTCATCTCCAGCAGCCCTGAGAGTCTGTGATACACAGTTCGGCTTCGATGAGACAGAGTTGTCTCTTAATTAGGCCGTTAGTCACTTGGATTGTTTTTGCTTGGTCTCCTGAAGGCACCTTGCGGTCCAGTGAATATTGATTGCTTTTGCCTACCCATTCCCCTTCTTTTGGAAAGAGCACCCTGATTTTCCTTAGGGAAACTACGCGGGCCCCCAAGTCCACGTCATCTGGGCAGGGCTGACTATACACAGCCCTTGGCTCCCTGGGCTGGAACCCTAACCTAGCCAATCAGAGCACTGTTCCCCTCAGCCACAATGATTGGTTCAGGGATTAGCATGTGCCCCAGCTGGGCGCGGTGGCTCACGCCTGTAATCCCAGCACTTTGGGAGGCCGAGGCGGGTGGATCACGAGGTCAAGAGATCGAGACCATCCTGGTCAACATGGTGAAACCCCGTCTCTACTAAAAATACAAAAATTAACTGGGCGTGGTGGCACACGCCTGTAGTCCCAGCTACTCAGGAGGCTGAGGCAGGAGAATCGCTTGAACCCAGGAGGCGGAGGTTACAGTGAGCTGAGATCGCGCCACTACACTCCAGCCTGGCAAGAGAGTGAGACTCTGTCTCAAAAAAAAAAAAAAAAATAAAATAAAATAAAGAAAAGAAAAAGAAAAAGAAAAGAAAAGCATGTGCCTCACACTGGGCCAATGAGAGGCCTCCTTGGGCAGTGGCAGGAAGAGGCATTCTTGTCTCTGGAGCTGCTGAGCTGGGAGAATCAAAACCTGGAGCTTGAGGTGGCCATCTGGTCACTTGGTGTGGGGAGTTTGCCTGAAAAGTCAGTACCTGGGAAATGGAGCTGAGAAACAGAGAGAGAGTTGTAGGGCCATGGTCCAGCCCTCAATCCAGCCGTGGAGGTCCATGCACTCTTCATTCCAGTACCTTCTCCCCTTTTGTTTGTTTCATCCGGAATTTAGTCTTATACACTGGGACCTGTAGTTCTGACTTAGGCACAGGACTGGTGCCCAGGAGTGGGGAGCAGATGCTTCTAGAATTGAATGAAATTTACGAACTATTAAAAACAAAACAAAACAAAACAAAAAAAAACTGTGGACATCATTTGGGCATCTGGGACTGAAGCCAGTTTACCAGAGTTTTCCTGAATGCCTGCTCTGGATTGGCTCCTCCTCTAGGTGCTGGGGATGTAGAGAAGAACCAGAGCAGACCCAGCCCAAAGGAACCCACACTCTGGTAGGGTAGATAGAGGAGAAGCAGGCTGACTGCAGCCAGGGACTGAGAGGAAGCAGCCGTGCCGTGTGCTATGGAGCATCGCTGGGACCATGGGGCTGAGAGCCCTTTTGGAGGGGCAGGCAGAGATCAGGAGGGTGGGCAGGGCTTCAGAGGGGAGATGAGAAAGGCCCCCAGGGAAGAGTGACAGGGTGAATGGTGAAGTCTGTGGCGGTTCCAGTACTGCTTGGATAGTAGCATTGAGACCCCCAACTCCATTCCTTGGGGAAAGAGGCCCAAAGCTGCTGTTCACCACCTGATAGAGGTCACTTGGCTGTTTATCTTTCTACCCAACCCACAGCTGCCCCCTCACCTGGGAGATTAAACTAGAATAGTGCAGTGATTGTCTGAGGGCCTGCGTGGGTATTAAGGCCAGCTGGAAGGGATGGGGCTTTCCAGCCACACAGTGAGGCAGGGATTGTGAGTGTGGATACCCATCTGCATAAGCCAGTTACGAACACCATAGTGTTTATTATCTAGGGCCTTCATTACATCAACAATTTAATGACATTTGCTAGGTATTTCCTTGTGGCAGGCATTGTGCTGGGGTTTTATACTCAATCTTTTATATACTCACTTCTTGACAGTGAATAACCTGCCTTGGATCTCACTTTTCAGATAGTACTTAGGAAAGCTTCAAGCCCTAAACCAAGCGACGCCTGTGACACTTGGCATCTACTCAGGATTGGAAAGTCAGACCAGCAGACCATGCTGGAGGCTCCATTCTGCAGACTCATTGATGGGGTGACAAAAGCCACAGATACCCAAGACACCTGCTTATCTCGTCCAGGTGAGGGTCTGCTGGGCAACTGTGATGATGGCTTACTATATAGTAAATTGAACTGAATTCAGCTGACAGTCACCAACTGCCTACAATTTCCTGATCCTGCTTCCCTCTCCACTTACCTGTCAAAGAGAGAATAAAAAGCAGGCCCTAGGTGGAAATATAGACACATCCACCATCATTTCAATAGTATAGGATGCATGCAATGATGTACATATGCATCCATCCATGACAAGATACAGAATAATGCACAGAAAAGATTAATTCTGTCTCTGTAGTCAGGAGATTCATACAGAGACCCACAGCCAAGCAGGGATCAGAGCTGGGAATAAGTAGCCTTCAAACAGCAAACTTGTTGCACAGTGAGATACTCACAGTATCAGGGCTGGCATTGAAGATGACTCCCATATGTCATCCCCAGGGAGGTAGATACCATCACCCCATTTTATAGAGGAGGCAGTTGAGCTCAATATGCTTATAACTTACCGAGGCAAGACAAGAGCAGCAGGATCAGGATTCAAACTGAAGCTAAGTATGCCAAAGTTTGGGCTATTTTCTCTATGGCTCACTGCCTTTTTGGTGTCTGTGGCTTTTGTCACCTCATCAGTGAGTCTGCAGAATGGAGCCTCTGGCATAGTCTGCTGGGCTGACCTTCCAATCCTCAGTAGATGCCAAGTGTCACGGGGCTGAGAGGGATGGCAGACACTCTCATGCGTCTCACCCCCAACTTTACAGGTAGGGAGGCTGAGTGGGGACAGAGTATAGTTTCTGCCTCTCTGGCCTGACGCTCTACACTGTCCCACTTTTCTGATTGTGGGGATGGATGTCAGACTTCAAAGGCAGTAGCACGCTGTCTCTCCATTCCCAAGCTCATGAGAAAGTGCCTAAATCCCAGAACAAAGGCTGTTCCAGACTCACATCACCTGCTCAGCACTTAGCTTGGGGCTTAATTAAAGGAAACAGAGCTTGGAGTGAGAGCGAGGAGTGAGTGAGAAAGTCGATAACACTAAAGATGCCGCCATTAATAAAGCCAGACTCACTGCTAATATCCCACTTGAATTCAAAACAGGACAAATAATTGGAAATCTGAGCGGGGTGAGTGGTGGGGCCAGTGGGATGGATGACAGAGGTCTGGCAGCTGTGGGAGACCTTCTGTATGGGGCGACATGGCTGGCACAAAATCTCCTGGAGTGAGTAACTCAGTCCTGGGGGCCAGAGTCCTCCTCTAGGCTGAGAGCCACAGGCTGAGGCCTGAATAGATGCACTAGCTGATGCTGAATAGCTGGAAATGTCAGGCACTGTTCTTGGTATTCTTGGTTCTTTACAGATATTATTTCATTTAGTCCTTAAAAATATATCTATATATAATCTCTACATAAATATCTATCCCTCTGGCTGGGCACGGTGGCTCACGCCTGTGATCCTAGCACTTTGGGAGGCCGAGGCAGGTAGATCACTTGAGCTCAGGAGTTCGAGACCAGCCTGGCCAACATGGTAAAACCCCATCTCTATTTAAAAATATAAAAATTAGCCAGACGTGGTGGTGTGCGCCTGTAGTCCCAGCTACTCAGGAGGCTGAGGCAGGAGAATCGCTTGAACCCAGAAGGTAGAGGTTGCAGTGAGCCAAGATCACACTACTGCACTCCAGCCTGGGCGACAGAGTGAGGCTCCATCTAAAAAAAAATCTATCTCTCACTCTCAATTAGATAGTATTACTGTCTCCATATTACAGGTGAGCAAACTGAAACACAGAGAGGTAATTTGTCCAGGATCCCTAGTTTGCAAATGGCTGCACTGGGATTATGAGTCTATGTTCTATGTCCTCAAAGTGTATGTGCCTGACCATTAGACTACACTGCCTGCCTTGAGTGAGCTGGCCTCTCATCTCCATTTTACAGGGAGGGAAACAACCCCAGAGAGGCAAGGTGACTTCCCTTTGGTCCTATGGCTAGTTAGCAGTAGAGCCAGGATTTGAACGTACAACTTTTGGCTCAAAGTGCAATCCCTAAATCACTGTTGATTGTGCTTATTCTCAGAGGGGCCTCATAGAGCCTGGGCAGGTGTGCTCACAGGCAGTTATTATGACACTGGTTGATAGCTGATGAATGCTGTACACATCTCCACATAAGCATCCCCAGAGATGAGCGGGAACCCCATATAGACCACTGAGTACCATTCAGTTGTGTCCTCATGGCCACTACCATATTCCTGCTTAACTCCTTCTTTACCCCATCTGTATCCTGCCTCATCTCCCACCCGTTCATCCCCATAGCTCTAAGGTTGGAGGTTGCTACATTGGGAGCTCTGTGCCATTCTGGACCCCGTAGGTTGGGTTGGGAATGCATTCTGCTTAGGGACTTCGCTTCATGCTTGCAGGAGGCAGAATCCATACCTATTCAAGAGGCAGCATAGCAGAATGAAAAGGGCACAGATGTTGGGGTCAGACAGGCCTCAGTGTGACTTCTGATTTCTGAGCCTCAGTTTCCCTATCAGTACAGTGGGCCTACAGATCCAGAGAAAAGGTAGAAAAGCCTGGCTCTATGGGTCCTACTAAAACCTGAGGCAGCCTCTCTCTGGAAAGGGAAGGAAGAGCAGAAGGAGGGCCTGCAGAGTGCAGAGCACTGATTCCTCCCCCTAGTCCGTTATGTGGAATGAGGAGTCCTTAGAACCGGAGGTGAGCATATTTAGGGTAAATGAGAGGTGGTGTGAGCACTGAGGAGGGCCTCACTGCTCTGAGAATGCCGAAGGATGGAGATGTCAGCTGATCCAGCAGACACAGGGCCAACAGGTCATGAGATGGTCAGGGCACAGCTTTATCTTTAGGGTCATTAACCTAAAGGACTCCAAAGCCAACCATTCCCCATAGAAGTAGCTTGGACGGCTGCCCTCCCCTGTGATCCTGTCTCCTGGCTCCATTAGGCCTGAAAAAAAGGCCCCTCGCTCACATTCAGTCCTGGTCTGAAATGTTCTCGTCTCACCTGCTCAGAGATGCTGGGAGCACTGCTTTGGCTTCTTTTGGTGGGTGAGGTGCAGAGAAGGTAAGAGAGTGAAGGGGCATAGTGAGGAGAGTGGGCAGGGCACACTGGAAGGCTCTGAGATCACTGTACTAGAGACATCTCCCCTGGTTTGACATTGACTCTAAGGACTTTGACCTCTGAATAGTCCAGCTGTGATGGCCAATGACAGGGACTCTGTGCCAAGGACCAGAATTGGCAAACATTGTAGCCATAAATAGAAGTGGATTCAGTGGCATGCTGGCAAATGTTTAACAGCCAGCTTTCTGGAATGGAGGAAGCCCAAATTTGTAGCATTTACCAATTTCTGTAGTGTAACTAAATACTCACTCCATGGCTGATCTGTGTCACTGAATGTGCCATTGGGAAGAAGTGTTCATGCTTGCTTGTTATGAACCTGTGCATACTGGCTTCAGCACACCACAGGGCAGATTCACCATGAGGCTAGGAGGCCTGGGCTTCATGGCTCCTCCTGTGCAGGGATTCTCTCAAAGCTCATGCGTCGTCCCACATGGTCATATATTTTTGTACAGTTGGCAAAAGTCAGATATAATAACTATAATTGGTTAAGATTCCTACCTCTTTCCATTCTAACATCCCCTCCTTCTCACTTCTTGAATTGAATGGTTTGGAGTAGCCATGGGCATGTTGTAATTTCTTTCCTCCTTGTAAATAAGCGTTCACTTTTGTACCTTTTTTTGATTTTTAATTTTAATTTTTTATCTTAAAGAGGGCCTCAAAACTGATACGTACTTTCAGCTGCGAAACCTGGATCCACGCTGGGAGTAAATTAGATTGCAGTTTATCCTCCAGAAAATTGTGTTGATTGTTACTCTGTATCTTGGAGTCATATTGGTGTATATAAATGGATCACTGGATAATTTTGTCCAGTTTAGCTTCCTAAAGCGTCATTTAAATTATGTCAAAGCTTTGCTCAGCACTCTCATGGCTCCCTCTTGATCCCTTAGACTGGTATATTCAAGGCTCTCTATAGATTGACACCCATCTGGTTTCTGAAAATACTTCTTTATTCCCTGTACATCCTCTAAATAAAACTCTTTTCCCCTTGTGCCTTTGTTTAGGTTGTTTCCCCTGTCTGGAGTGCCTTTCCCTCTCCTCCCTCTTGGACTTTGCCAAATGCCTTTTCTGTGTCTATAGAGATGATCGTGTGGTTTGTGTTCTTTACTCTATTAATAGAGCGTATTACATGAATTGATTTTTCAGATGTTAAACCAATCTGGCCTTCCTGGGATAAATCCCACTTGATTATGGTATATAATCCTTTTTATATGTTGCTGGATTTAGTTTGCTAGTATTTTGTTGAGAATTTTTGCATTTATATTCATAAGAGATATTGATCTGTAGTTTTCTTTTCTGTGATGTTTTTGTCTGGTTTTGGTATCAGGGTAATTTTGGCCTCAGAGAATGAGTTGGGAATTCCTCCCCGTTCTACTTTTAGAAGAGTTTGTGAAGTATTGGTATCATTATTTAAATGTTTGGTAGAATTCACGAGCAAAGCCATGTGGACCTGGGCATTTCCTTGTGGGAAGTTTTAAAATTATGAATTCTCTTTTCTTCTTATAGGTCTATTTAAATTTTCTGTTTCTTCTTGAGTTGGTTTTGGTAGTTTATGTTTTTCTAGGAATTTGTCCATTTCACCTAATTATCTAATTTGTAGCATATGGTTGTTCATAGTATTCCCTTATAATCCTTTTTTTTCTGATTTTAGTTTTTGAGTCTTCTATCTCCTTTATATATTTGTCAGTTGGGCTAAAAGTTTGTCAGTTTTATTGATCTTTTCAAAGAATGGCATTTGGTTTTGTTGATTGTCTCTATCGTTTTTCTATTCTTTATTTCATTTATTGTTACTTAAGTCTTTATTTCCTTTCTTCTGCTTGCTTTGTGTTTAGTTTTATCTTCTTTTTCTGGGAGAAAGTACTGAGAAAAATCCTAAAAGTTATGCAACACAGTATTAATGTTTCTGGAGGTTGATTGACGCCTCAAAGCTAAAAATACATTGTAAGTAAGATGCCAGCCACATCCCTGCAGATTGCTAAAAGGTAGCAGAAGTGGTCCAGTGACTACCAATCCCCATCCCCCGCCTCCAGCCTACATAAAAGAAAGTAGATATTTGGAAGGAATTCAAGAGTCTTTGTGCCCTTCCATCTCTTCCACACCATGTGGGGTGGTGTTCCACCCAAACATGTTAAGAGGACTTAAAAAGTACTTGCAGAATTTGGGAGTGGACTGTTCTAGGGAAGGATATTTGCTGAGCTTTAGAAACCCAAGGGCCATCTTGCTGCTCTAAGGGAAGTGTGGTGAGAGTGATCATGGCACACACCACCTGGAGTTTGGGTGTAGCTGTGAACATGGAGACTGCTGCCTGCTTCTTTCTAGGAACTCATGGGGCTTGCAGGAGTGGCCTATGGCAGCAGGGAGAGGGACAAGTGCAGTGGCAGTAGAGCAGCCTCACATGAGAGTTTCCTGTGGGTCATGTGGACACCATGGGAAGTGCTGGGGCTCAAGCTGTCATGACAGGACCTGCCTGCTAGGGAGAGGGAACCCGAGCAGCAAGAAACCATGAGGAGGGCCACTTGTGGTGGTAGTGCTGAGGAAGGTTGCAAGAGTCAGCCAGAGAACTGTACAGTGTGGTGAGCAGGTCCCTGTAAGAGTCTACAGATACATACCCAGTGGGTGGGTGTGATGGTCAGCGTTTGGATGCCTGAAGTTGTAGAGGGAAAACAGCTAGCTACGGATGTCCTAGAGGGTACTACAAATAGGGCCTTGCTTCTCCTTTCTCTAGTCTCCTTCCTAACCCCCAAATCTACCCCCCAGGCTCCTACCCAGCTCTGGAATGCCTGGAACTGGGGAGAGGAAAAATGAAAGTGACCATGCTTCCTACCGCACTTCCAGGTTCTTGAGTGAGGTGTCACAGGTGAACGCTGGGAAAGGGAAAGGAGTATTGAATTGGGAGAGAGATTGAAGTTTTAAATGGAATGTGATATGGTTTGGCTCTGTGTCGCCACCCAAATCTCATCTTGAATTGTAATCCCCACGTGTTGAGGGAGGTACCTAGTGGGAGGTGATTGGATTATGGGGGTGGTTTCCCCCATGCTGTTCTCATGATAGTGAGTGAGTCCTCAGGAAATCTGATGGTTTAAAAGTGTGGCACTTCCCCTTTGCTCACTCTGTCTCTCTCCTGCTGCCTTGTGAAGAAGCTACCTACTTCCTCTTCCCCTTCCATCAGGATTGTAAGTCTCCTGAGGCCTCCCTAGCCATGTGGAACTGTGAATCAATTAAACCTCTTTCCTTTGTAAACCCAGTCCCAGGTAGTGTCTTTATAGCAGTGTGAAAATGGACTAATACAGGATGAGACTGGCCTTCTTAATACCTGAAAATGTGGTTTAATTCCTGGCTTTGGGGTCCACTGAAACCTTGTGAAGGTGAAGACAGGTTTGAGAGGATTTTTGAGGATGTCAGAGAGGGAAAAGCTATGCCCTGTGGGTGCCCCTTTGAGCATACAGATAGGTTATAGAACATAATCAGTAAGGATGCCTGTGAGCTTTGTGTGACAAAGAACAGCACACACGTGGAGGAGACTGGTTCCTGTCACACCCCATTTGCTGTGCTCTACTCTGCTGATTTGGAGATCCTTAGGACCAACCTCCCCATTTTGCAGATTGGGAAGCCAAAGCCCAGAGAGGGCAAAGGGTTTGGCCAAGATTATATGATCAGCCTGTATGAAAGGCTCCTGACCCCCTAAATGTCTGGAAATTAGGAATCAGTGACACTTTCTTGCTCATTCAACACAAAAAGCTGCAATCATAAAAGGACTCAACTTTGGGGGGGAAGTCAGGGAGGGGATGAAATGTAGACACTCATTTTCATCATCAGATGTTTCTCAGGGAAAATGACAGTTCCAGCCCAGACGGGGAAGTGGAAATGGCCTATGCTAATGTCTGGAAGTTGCAGAAAATGCTTTAATTCTGTTCTCCCAGAAGTCAGACCCATCCATTTGAAACTGCCAGTCAACTTTCCAGCAAAGGAAAACGCACACACACACACACACACACACACACACACACACACACACCTCTGCACAAATGGCTTTGATTAGGCTTAGCTGTAGGTTTAAGAAAATTTAATCATCTTAACCTGTTTAGTCTTTTTTCCTGATGAAAATCATCAGTGAGATTCCAGCATGAGCCAGTGAGAGCTGAGCTGCTGTCAGCACTGTTGTTTATGTTAATATGTTATAGGCATGAAATGGAGGAAAGTAGAATTATGAGTAAAAATCCTGAGTGAATTAGAAGAGTAGGGGTCTGTGGCAGGCCCCTGAGGCTGCCAGCGGGGGCCCTAAAAGGACTATTTATTTATGAGTCTTGAGATAGAGGTTCCTTCTACCTGTTAGAAAGCATGTTGAGAAACCCTATATTTCTATCTGTGATCAGAACTTGCCTTCTGCAGAACTGAAGGTCTAGAGCCCTATAGACACCATTTGCTAGCTGCGTGATCTCAGTCAAGTTAGTTAACCTCTCCAAATGTCAGTTTCCTCATCTGAGAAATGGGACTAACAGCTGTGTGAATCAGCTGGCATGTTGGGTGAAGGGACCAGCCCAGTACCTGGTGCATAGTGAGTGTTCAGTCAAATGCCCATGGCATCAGTGTTACCCTTCCTACCTGATGCCATTCAGCTTCTTCATGGTGCTCTCTCCTGGTGCCCTAGACCCTGGGTGCTGGCCCATGGATGACTGCCACTGAATGTGAGGTGGTCTACTGCTGACAGATTGAAAAGGCTCTAAATCCGGAGCCTTGACCCACCTCTATTATGAGGACCTGGATGACTTTGGTGACATCAGTGCTTCTCTGGACCTTAGTTTCTGCCAAATTGAGACCACTAGTTGTCCCCAGTATCCACTCTCACCTTCCTCCTAGGAAAAAATCCCAACTGCTATTCAACTAGAGCTGCATTTCCCAGATTCCTTGTAGCTAGGTGTGGCCATGTGACTATTTTTGGCCATTAAAATTCGAAAAGAAATGTTATATGGAACTTCTGAAAAGTCACCTAGAAAGGAAAAAGAGGAAACAAGTGAATGTCTGTCAACAAGTGAATGGATAAACACGGTCCATTCATGCTATGGAGTATTACTCAGCAACGAAAAGGAAGAAACCACTGACCCCATGCAACAATGCAGATATAACTCAGAAGGATTATGCTGAGCAGAAGAATCCAGACACAGAAAAATGCATTCTAAATGACTGCATTTACGTCAAGTTCTAGAACAGGAAAACTAATCTATAGTAATGGCAAAGGGGACATTGACTGCAAAGGAGCATGGGAGAAACTTTCCAGGGAGCCGGAAATGTTCTATATCTCCACTGAGGTGGTGATTACACGGATGTTTAAATTTGCCAAAACTCATCCAACTATACATAACATGTCTGCATTTTATTTTAGGTAAATTATACCTCAATACAATTTTTTTTAATTAAAAAAATTAAATTGCTTTTTTCTCTCTGGTGTGTAGCCGAGGAGCAAACAGCAGGCAAGGTGGGGCTGTGGGGCTGGGACAGCTTTCTCTCAGGGCCAGGATTATCTAAGAGGCTGAGTCCAGGAAAGGCCTGACTTTGTTCCTCGCCTCCCCACTCCCTGTGCCTACTCCTCCCAGCTGTGGCATCCTCAAAACCCACTAATAGGGAGAAATTGATGCCAAACTAGAGAGCGGGTCTCAGAGAGCTTTTATGCATGTTTTTGAGATGGGATTGCCTGACTCACATGAGGAGGGAATCTCTTCCTCACACCATAGGTCCCTTTCTCACAACAGAGAACTCTGAGGCCCATTGGTGGTCAGGGACTGGTCAAGTGGCAGGATCCCTTCTAGCGCCATTGCTCCTATATCACCCTGGGCTTGGGTCATCGGCAGACCTGACAGGCTGAGGAGGAGGTAGGCAGGTTGCCTTAAGGCTGGAACTGGAGCAGCCGCCTCTTCTGAGTGCTCAGTGCTGTATGCCAATCACAGGCCACATCAACATATTCCTGTGTGCAAGCTAAGGTGTGGAATGGGATGGGTCATGGGTGCACATGGGATGTGTGGCAGCAGTGACGGGGTGTACTATTTCCCAGACCTCTAGATTGCAGAGTAGGGACACTCCATAAGCTAAAGCCAGGTGCAGAGAGGAAGCTCTTGGTATTGCTCTAACAACACACAAAAACACACATGCACAACTACATATATGCACTCACATGCACATACACACACAGACCCACACATACTTCCAGCATGCATACACATGGATATCCACACCTAAGTACATACTACTCTATTTGTCTGTGAAGCCCTCAAATGCTTCTCACTCTTCCTTGCCTCTGAATCTTCACATGGGTTGCTGCCTCTACTGGGAGTGTACTTGCTTCCTTCCCTTCATCTGCACAAACATCATCTGCAAGTTTATACTTAAACACCTCTTTTCCAGAGAGACTATCACACCTGCCTGCTAGAGACCTCCCAGCCCCATGCAGCTCCTCCCTCAGCCCTCATCACACTCTTTTGTAATAACAGGTTTGATGTTTGTCTTCTCTGACAAATTGTGAGCTCCCTGAAGACAGGGCCTGTCCAGCATGGCCACCCTGCACCCCATCACCCAGCATAGCACTCAGTAGGTGCTCAAACAATACATATTAAATAGATGAATGAATATACACACTTACCCATCTGTGTCTACTTCCCCCCACATGATTGGGAGCTTCTTGAGAGTGGGACATTGTCTCAGATGTCCCTGAGGAGATTTTCTAAAGTGCTTGTTGAATGAATGGATAAATAACTGCCCACCCCCAAAACACACACACACACACACACACACACACACACTGAATGAAACAGGAACATTCCTATTCATCCAGACTTATGTGTAGTAAACTAAAGATGGCCACATCTTTCTAAGTGTTCCAACTGAGAGATGTCTAGTCCTCTGTCCCTTGAATATGAGTTGGCATTAGTGACTTAGAATGCAGCAGAAATGGTATCTTGGGCTTCCAAGCCTAAGTCATGAGAAGTCTTGCTGCCTCTGCCTTGACATCTTGGAACATTCACTCTTGGAACCCAACCATCATGCTGTGAAGAAGCCCCCAGCCAACAGCCTGAGATGAATTCCCAGCCGGCAGCTGACACCAACTTTCCAGCCATGTAAATTATCCTGGAAGTGGATCTTCCAACCCCAACTGAGTTGCCTTAGCTGATGAGCAAAGATGAGCTACCCCCACCAAGCTCTACTTATTTTGCATATTCATAAATGAAATTAATGACAATTGTTGTTTTAAGCCACTACGTTTTGGGTAGTTTGTTATGCAGCACTATATAACTAGAACACCATCCACTCGTGTATGAGTGGGCCAGGGTTATCTGACAGGCCAAGCCCAGGAAAGGCCTGTGTTTGTTCCTCACCTTCCCATTACCTCTGTCTACTCCTTCTAGCCCCTGGTATCCCCTAACCCCACTAACAGGGAGAAATGGACCCTAAACTAGAGAGTGGGTCTCAGAGAGCTTTTATGCACATGTTACCTGAGGTCTCTCAAGCTGCCACTGAGAGTCTGCCCAGATTACATCCCTGAACCACCCCGCAAAGGGGAAGGAGCAGATGAGGCAGCTGTCCAGGCCCCTGAGTATGCCTAGTATAGGTAGGTGACCAGGATGAAAGAGAGGGCAATGCTCTACAAGGGTGGGCGGGGGTATCTGGGGGCACTGATTCTGTCTGGGTCAGAGCCTATGTGAGGGGCTTGTGTGCTTTCCCAAGATCTCACACAGAAATGTGCCTTAAGTATTTATCAGAGACTGGGGTTAAGCTCTCTGTCTTGAAAACACTGGAATCCATTTTTCTTTCTGCATCCATCAGTGACCCTATTTCCCCTGAAGCAGGAGGGAGGATGAGAAGTACTAGTAAGAGTCAGCAGAGAAGAATAAGCTGTGTAGGCTTCTAAACCCCGCTGGCAGGTTTGGCCAGATCTAGTGTGCTAATGTGCACAGCTCCTGGTGGGTCCGCCAGGTGAGGGGCTGAGATGCTTTTGGAACTCTGAGGGTGTGGCTGGGCAGCTAACAAAGAAGCTAATGAACTCCTTGACCATCCTTACACATTGTGGGCTCTAGGGACCAAAGGAATGGCCTTTAAGCAGTCTGGTCTGGGGACAATTTGGAGAAAGCTCTTCCCTGGCTGAAAGGGCATCCTAGAATTTAAAATCGGAGAGTCACTCCGTTCAATCAAACTATCAACTCCAGGATCCTTTCAAAATGTAAATCTTGAAAGAAAAGAAAAATTTTAAAGTTTCCTGATACACAGGATACTAAGGAGTAGAGGTAAGTTGGTTTTGGTCATTAACACTTTAGCATGAGTTTATTTTTTTTTTTCTAGTGAGGGAAAGGGAAGAGCAACAGTGAGAAACAAATATATTTAAGGATGGAGAAAATTACTGGAAGGAGGATAGAAAAGGGAAAGTGGTATCTTAGAAAAAGTATCTTAGAAAAATATTTACCATCAGTCTAAATTTGCTTGCATCTAGCTTTGAGGCAGGAAATACTTTATATTTTTGTCCAAAATCTCTGTGCAGGGACTTCCATTTCTGGAGCAAGGGGCCTTAAATACCCTGAACAACTTTCCAAATGAAAACAATGATCTATCAGACAAAATATTTTAAAAATTTTAATACACGACTGAATTGACAAGAAAGTATAGGGTCACAGAGACTGAAACTGCGTGGAGAGTGTAAACACAGGATGATGGAGCACAGTGCCGGTTTTGTTCCAGGATCTACCATCCCCTGGTGACTTTAAGCCTGCATGTTGATGCTGAGCTGGAATGGGAGAAAATAGGTAAATAATGGGGCCCTGGGGCCTGCCCAAGTGGATTGTCTAATAAAAGACCCCTGCATAATGCTGGGGCCTCAATAGCTACACTTTCAATGTAAAAGTAACTAAGAAATAAATCTGCTGCATAGAAGAGAGCAAGGACAATTTGGTCCCATGTAGAAAAAAGTTAATTCTCCTGAGAATACTTAACCAAAAGTCGATTCTCACATGGATACATGATCCAAATTCATACGTTGTCAGAAATTCTTAAGCAGAAAATTTAATTCAACAGAGTCCCAAGTTGGTGCTTCCCAACAAGTGACTGGCAGAAACAAAAACAAATTATCTTTGCAAAATGGCACGTTCAGCTGAGGCCTCAAAGATTTCCCACAGATGTAAAGTTCCAATGAGGATTTCAGTTCCAGTCAAGAATCATAAAATCACACCAGAAGATAAGGGACCATGAGTGAGAACCAACAGAAACAATAGACTGTAGAATCAGATCTACAAAAACTTCAGATATTAAAATAAACAGACATGAAAAATAACTGTGTGTTCTAAGAAATGAATGTTTAAAAGTATGAACACAGTACAGGACACTTTTTAAAAATGCAGATTTGTAAAAAACCTGGAACTACTAGGAAAATGTATATAACAATTAAAAAATTCAGCAAATGAATTTACAACAGATTAGACACAGCTGAAGAGAAAATTAATAAACTGATAATTCTTAAGAAATTATCCAGTATGCAGGTCAGAGAGATAAAGATAAGAACAAGAAGAAAGTAAGGTTATGACATGAAGCATAGTGTGTGGAGGTCCTTGGAATTCCAGAAGGAGATGTTTATAGAGGGAATGGGGAAGAGGCAGTATTCAAATAAATAATGGCTAACATTTTCCCAGAATTGTTAAAAGACACCAAAACTTGGATGTTAGAAGCATAACAAATCATAAACAAGAAAAGTAGGAATTCAGAACCACATACATTTTGGTGAAACTGCATCAAAGACACATTATTTTTAAGTACATATAAATTTCATTACTCCTTGTATTATATACTTATATTAAAGTATTCTTTTGTAAGTATGGCATATTTCACAATATATTTTTGTTAAAGGCTATGAGTTCCTGAAGAAATGTGGCTAAAGTGAGGTGGCTGGAAGTTATCTCTGAATTCAGCTTTGGAGCTCTGGGAAGCAGTAGGGTGTTTGGGAAGAACTTAAATTTGAAATTAGGAAGACCTAATTTTAAAGCCCGTTCTATTGCTTCTCAGCTATGTGACATTTAGCAAGTTATTTTACCTCTCTTAATATATTTCCTAATTGATAAAATGAGAATCATGTTCACTTTTTGGAGTGGCTGGGATATGGCATAAATTTTAAAGACTTCTTGGGCAGGGGAAACCCTAGCGATGCCTAGCCAAAGTCTCTTTTCTCGAAGGGGAGTGTGAGCCCTGCCATCCCTGCCCCATAGGAGGGCCCACATTCCCCGTTTTTCTTCTCTACCAGGCTAAATTGGACCTTCCCTGGAACTGATAAAGATTATGGCCATGTACATAGCACCTTCTGCGGGCTGGGCACAGTGCTGACCATTGTATGTGTATTTCCTCTCTTTTCCTTGCAAGAGCCTTGCAAGGAAAGAGCTTTAACGGGAGATGCTGAAGGCCAGAGAGGTTAAGCCACTTCCCCCAAATCATACATCTACACATTGTACAAATCACTGATGTCTCTGAGCTTCACATTTACCATCTGATTACAGGGCTCAGAAGACCTTACACACCTCCAGAGTGAATGTAAGATCATGTGAGCTGGTGTGAAAATTCCAGCTCCTGACTAAATGAACCTTCGCTCTGTGTTGTCTACTTTTGAGTTTCTCATTCCCATGTTTCACAGCTCCAGCTGGCTTAGGTAAGAATCCAGCCCCTTCTTTCCTCCTATTCTAGGCCAGGCCATGACTTGGGAGATGCTGGGCTCCCAGAGATGGCTCAGCTGTGTGCCCACCATAGGTAGCAGCCTGGGTGGGGTACACTTCCCACTGCCCCCTTCCTGCCTGGCTCTGCCTTTTGCCACCCTGTAGGCCAATGACCACTGGTCCTAAGGCTCCAGGAAGCTGCCTCTGACCAATGTGAAAATCTGCCCCCAGAAAGCTCCTGCTGTGGCAGCCTGGGAGAAGGCACTCCTGGACTTACACCTGCACCAGGGCTGGCCCTGATGTCAGAAGCCCCAGGCTTCTGTTTCTGCGTGGCACCTTGGTCTCTTGAGCCCTGTCCTTACATGGACACCCAAAATGCCCTTTGAGGGCTTCTCTTGTGGCCTTCTCCCTTGTTTGCAGCTGTTTTCTAGGCTGGATTGGAAAGATGTATTTCTGGATGGACATGAAATGGGCTACTTTAAGACAGTGGGTTTGTCTTTGCAAGAGATAGAAGGGGTATGGCTGGGCGCAGTGGCTCATGCCTGTAATCCCAGCACTTTGGGAGGCTGAGACGGGCAGATCATGAGGTCAGGAGATTGAGACCATCCTGGCTAACACGGTGAAACCCCATCTCTACTAAAAATACAAAAAAATTAGCTGGGTGTGGTGGTGGGCACCTGTAGTCCCAGCTACTCGGGAGGCTAAGGCAGAAGAATGGCGTGAACCTAGAAGGCGGAGCTTGCAGTGAGCCGAGATCGCGCCACTGCTCTCCAGCCTGGGCGACAGAGTGAGACTCCGTTTTGGAAAAAAAAAAAAAAAAAGAGATAGAAGGGATTTGGGGAGGTGAAAGGGAGTTGGGAGCTGATGAGGATTGGGCAGTTGGAAGAAGGCATGGGAGATGAAGGGAATGTGGGGTGGCAAGGAGCCACCTCTCCATAGCGGCTCCAGTGGTGAACCATGGTGGCAGTGTGGGGGTATCTGACTTCTCCCGGGAGCCTGAGATCTTCCATTTCCTGAAACTGGGGGCTACCTCTCATCACAATGGTGCCTCCCCTGCCATGGGGTGGCCCTGCTGATGAAGAGTGCCCAGGGGCTTGACTGGGGTGAGCGTGAGAAGCCATATGCTCCTGGGAATGAGTCCACCCAACTTGGCTCTGTCAGTGGGACAAAGATGACAATAATAGTGACAGCCCTCCTCTGAGCAGTTACTCCAAGCAGAGTGCTATGCTGAGGGCCCCACAGTCCTGGGAGGGATGTGTGGTTGTTATTCCCACCTAGAGTTGAGGACACTGAAGTTAAAGAGGGAAATAAAAATGATCCAAGGTCAACATAAGGAACTGAGTCAGAATTTGAGCTAAAGCCCACACTTTTCATCATACCTCAATCCTACCTTCTAGGTAAGGGGGCTCAAGGACAGCTCGTCATCCAAGACTGCTTTAACTTTAAGAAAAATCAGAAAGACATTCTTTAACATTCAGGAGCAAAGAGTGATCTGTGTTGACTGTATAAAGCTTAGAGAATACCAGAGAGTAGGAAAGTCAAAGAAACAACCCTGCCCCGCCACAGGGGAGCACAGCATGGCATAGTGCAGGCTGGGCTGGGGGCTGAGCCCTGGCCAGGCTGCAGGAGAGGACTGTAGCTACTCTCAGGACTTCCCAATGGGGACCCAGATCTACCAGTGTGAGCTGGTAGTGTAAGAAAACACATCAGACGGTCCAGGCACTCAGACATAGTGTTGGAGCTTGGGCCCGTTGCTTGTGCTGCAGAGGAAGGCCATTGGTTTGAGTAAACTTGTGGTCAGGTAACACTTCCTGGAGAGAGGTGTGGTGGGGGGGGTGGTTGTCAGGCTAGTAAGGAAGAAAGGGAAGAAATGTCTGGCAGCGACATCAAGAACCTCTGAAACAGTGTAGGGGAGTGTCTGTGAATTTACTGGGCCCCACTGGGTGAGGATATAACTGAGAGAAGGGCAGGCAGATCTGGAGACATCTTCCAACAGAACAAGAGGGACACCAAGTGACTGCATGGACTTGGTGAGCAGAGAAGTGGAAATGTGCAGATGTGGTAGCAGGGAGTCACAGTGTGGCCAGGGGCCAATGGTCAAAGGCCAGGCAAGGGACATCTGGGCTGACTGGAGGGAGAGGCAGTTGCCTCTGCCTCTAATGCCTGGAACTTCCATCTCATAGGGGACAAAAAAAAGGAAGAGAAAGGGAAGGAGTGTTAGATTGACCTAGGTCAATCCCTCTAATGCCTGGAACTTCCATCTCATAGGGGACAAAAAAAGGAAGAGAAAGGGAAGGAGTGTTAGATTGACCTAAGTTGACCAAGAATTGATTGAGAAAGAAAGAAAGAGGCTGGATCTCCTGCAAAGCGGCCCAAGGGCTTCCAGCCATGAATGGACCCAGATTCAAGTGCAAAGCTATGCTGGGAAATAAAGAAAGGCACAGCTTTGTCTACTGAGGTCTTGTGTGAAAATCCACACCATCCCCTGCAGCGTGTTTAGTTCTGCTTCTCCAAGGTAGGTCTCCTCCCGTTTTAAGCTGGAGAGCTAAAGCACAGCAGAGTGAAGTGGCTCACCCAAGCCCACAACAAATGGCTGGCATTTGAGCTCACATCTGTCTGACTCCAAAATCCATATCCCCTTGGTCTCATTGTCTGAAGCTTACTGCCTGGGGATCCTGGGACAACATTTCAGCTGCATTCCCAGCAAACAGATCCATGAGCCCAGAGAAGCACCCCAGCCATGCCTGAGACTTGGTTCCCAGCCACTCAGCACCACCTCCTATGGACAGAGCTGGAAAACTGGGCCACAGGAAGCAAGACTGCATGGCTCTCTCCTCTCCTTCCAGTATGGCATTGAGCACTGATTAAAAAGATAATCTGGAGGCTGCTCTAGGGCCAGGCGCCATGCACAAAACACCAGAATGATTTGTCATCTGAAAAGCTAAAAACATCTTGATGGGTGGAGAAATCTTGATGAGTCGATCATGGAAGATTATGCAAATCCCTCTGCCTTTGGTGCAGACTTTTCCAGCCAAAAGATACCACCTCCAGATGTGGTACCCTCTAAAAATAGCAGGTGGAGTCATCTCCCCTGGCTAATTGTTCTAAGTGGTCCCTCAGTGCCATCTGGAAGTGGATCTCCTCAGTGTACCAGGACATCGCCCCAATTATCTATGCAACGGCTCCTCAATGCTGGCCTTACAACAGAGGCGGCAGCTGTCTCCGCTTATTACACCTCCCCGCCCCCTGCCATGGCCGGCACTGACTCTGCCTCTGACGCTGAGGATACGCACTGCACACGCCCTGCCAGATGCCAAAGGAAGCCATTCTTCTGGAAGAAGACTTTCTCCTGAAAGCCTCCTGGAGGCAAAGTTCTGGCAGAACGAGGCAATTTCCCTCCCTGCAGGCGGAAGGAAGGCAATTAGAGCGGGTAAGGATGGGGGATGCTTTCTCTTTTCTTCACTGCTGGCGAAATATGGGCCAGGTCACGCCACTGGCAGATGCTGCTGGCTGTGAGTGTGCAGCATCGACTCCAGATGGGTTTCTTGCCAGCATCTCTGGCAACCAGGGCAGGAGAGGTGCATGTGCCTGTTCTTCCCAGGGGCTGTGGGTGCCACAGGGCAATGCCTATAGCAGGCAGGTCTGGGACAGCTCTCAGATGTGTGCCTGGACCCAGGTAGTCTGAGATCTTCGCCAGGGCCTCTGACCACCTTGGCCTCTGAAGCAATTAACTGGTTTCCCTGCTCTGTTCACTGGTCAGTTCTGAGTAGCATGAGATGGCAGAATTCTCAGAGGTCACCTGGCTCATGAGAAAGTGCCAGGAGGGCATGTGAGTGCTTGGAAAGGTCCTCCCCAGAGGGAGAAGAACCAGGTCAAAGACTTTGTGCAGCATGGAGGAGAAGAAGGAAGGGAAGAGAGGAAGTACTGCCTGATGTGTGGCCGGTTAGCCTTGTGCCTGCCCAGCCCTGCCTTGAGGAGATGATGGAGGGAGGGGCAGAATGTCTTCCAGGGAAGCAGGGGATGCAGACTGCTAAGAAGATGCACAAGTCTGTCAGTGTACCAAGTTGTTGTTCCAATCGTGTCTGTAGGGATCTTTAATCAGAAATAACTTCATTGCAATTTCAGGAGCTAGGGCTGAGAGAGGGGAAATGATGCAGACACTGCCACCCAGCAAGTGAGAGGAAGGACTGAACATGGACAGAAGGGCTTGAGACATTGAGCCTTGGCTGCTTTCACCCATCCCTTCAATTGCTGCCCTCTTTTCTAATGGCCTGAGTCTCCAAATGGAGCCAAGCTGGGGGCACCCTGGCCAGGAGATGTGGCCTGCTGTGCCCCTGAGAAGAGCTGTCCCAGGCACACAGAGACAACATTTGGAAGTGGAAAATGCCTCTGGAGCAGTCAGAGTGTTGGGAAGTCTCATCCCATTCTCCGTTTCAGGAACCTTCCCTCAGCAACAGCAGAGCAGAAGGGAACTCAGTTCAGCATAACTCGGCAAGTATTCCCGAGCAGCATGCTTGGGCTGGGCAGGGGAGACTGTCACAGCCAGAGTGGGCAGTGCTGTGACAGGAGGCTCCCTGTGCAGTTCCACTTTGTCTCTGTGACTTCGCACAGGTTGTTCCCTTGCCTGGAATGTCCTCCCCCAACCTTTTCTTCCTGGAAAACTTCTATTCAGCAAAACTCAGGTTAAATTTCACCTCCTCCAAGAAGGCTTTTTCAACTCTCTATGCTGTGCTCTCAGAGCCCCCTCCTCAACACACACACACACACACACACACACACACACACACACACACACACACACACACACACACACAGCTTTCCTCTACCAGGACACTATCTGCTTCTTGACTAGACTGCAAACTCTTTGAAGTGAGTGATCATTTAACCAGCATGATGTTTGTCACATAGTAGATACTTCGTCAATGTTTAGGAGCCAAGGAGAGAAACCACAGTGAACAGCCACACTGTACTTTCCTCACTGTGATCAGCACAGTCTTGAACTGTGGCGTAAGGGCTTCCCTGTGATCCAAGGAGGTGCTTCCTGCTGGTGAAGGAGGAGTTGGGCCCGGGGCTGCAGCCACCTGGGCGAGAAACCACTGGGAACCTGCTCTGTGCCAGGCCCTGCCTGGGCTTTGGGGGTGGGAGTAAGACACAGTCCCTGTCCTGAGGACCTGCAGTCTGGTGGAGTGGACAGGAGCTGGGTTGACATAGGATCTGCCAGGCAGAGGGTGCTGATTGTCATAGACAGCTTGGATGTCAGGGGAGCCTGAGGTGGAGAGTGGTGGTGGCTATTGAGACCATTCTCCAGAGAGGACGGGGTGCAGGTAGAGTTTCAACAGGTTGATGGAAGGGGATTCCAAGTGGAGGGGGGACCAAGGACAATGACAGAGAGACGGGAGCCTGCAGAGCAGTTGAGTATCAGTGAAGTATGGGAGCTCAGCTATGGCATCTTGGAGCTAGAGGGAGAGAAAGATGAGGGGTGAGCCTGGAGCCTACAGCTGCCAGTGCTGGAGGGCCCCTTGCATCAAAGCCCTTTCCTGTGGAGGATAACGGGGGCCTTGAGACCAGGATGCCTGCCAGGAGACTGGGCCAGATTGGAGGGCTTTGAGTGTACTGATACAGATTGCTTAAGCCTGACCCAGTGGGCAGCAGACATCTTCACACAGGGGGTACAGGCTGGACCAGCATGAAGGCAGGATCTGTGGGGCATCTGCACTACCACGTGAAGTTTAGCAGGCCTCTGCACCCTGCCTGTCTCTGCACCTCTCCTGCCATTATGCCTTGATTCAGGCCTTGCTCCTTTGAGTAAAGACACTGCCTCCTCTTAGGATGCCCACACTCCCAGAAAGGGTAGCACGTTAGGCCTCAGATACCCCAGCATGGGCCAGTGGAAATGGACTGGAGAGACTCAAGCCAGCACGAGGGTACTTGGAGCCTGGGGAATGGGGGGTGGGGCCAGGCAGGAGGACACCAATGCCAGCATCACCCTAAGGGAAGCCTGGGGTGATCTCACAGCCTTGCCTGAGATGTGGGACAGTCTGACAGGCAGCTGGGCCAGCGGCTCCTCCCTCAGCCTACAGATGGATAGGAACTGGCCATAGCTCAGCACTAGCTTCTGTGAGTAATCAGACTGCATGACTTTTATTCTTGGATAGCCTCTGCTGCCGAAAAGGAATATGGTATGAACTTTATATACTGATGTGGAATATTCCCATGAAATATTAAATAAAAAAAGTGAGTTGGCCAGGCGCGGTGGCTCACGCCTGTAATCCCAGCACTTTGGGAGGCCGAGGCGGGCAGGTCATGAGGTCAGGAGTTCGAGACCAGCCTGGCCAACATGGTGAAACCCCGTCTCTAGTAAAAATACAAAAAATTAGCTGGGTGTAGTGGCGGGCGCCTGTAATCCCAGCTACTTGGGAGGCTGAGGCAGGAGAATCGCTTAACCTGGGAGGTGGAGGTTGCAGTGAGCTGAGATTGCACCACTGTACTCCAGCCCTGGCAACAGAGTGAGACTCCGTCTCAAAAAAAAAAAAAAAAAAAAAAAAAAAAAGCGAGTCACAGCACAATATATGTAATATTGAACATTTCTTTAAAAATGAAAATCTGTCCAGTTGCTTTGACTCATGTCTGTAATCCCAGCACTTTGGGAGGCCGAGGTGGAAGGATTGCTTGAAGCCAGGAGTTCAAGACCAGTCTGGGCAACAAAGTGAGACCCCCCGTCTCTACAAAAATTAATAATAAAAGAAAGTTAGATGGGTGCAGTGGCATGTGCCTATAGTCTCAGCTACTCATGAGGCTGAGGTAGGAGGATTGCTTGAGCCCAGGAGTCCAGAAGGTCAAGGCTGCAGTGAGCTATGATCTTGCCACTACACTCCAGCCCTGGCAACAGAGTGAGACCCTGCCTCTAAAACAAAACAAAACAAAAATCTAGTCTAGAAGTGCTTGTAGGTGTTTGTGAGTACATAGAAAAGCTCTGGATGGAGACTTGGCCGTTTTACTATAGTGGTTACCTCTGGGGAGGTGACTGGCATTGTCGAGGGGACATGCATATCTTATTATGTATGCTTCTGCACTATGAAGTTTACATTAATTTAAAGTAATGTTGGTTAACACCCTGAGGACTAAAACATGCTCATCACACCCTCCTCGGGACCTCTGCTCTCACTGATATCTCAGCACATCTAGCTGACAGTGCCTGTCCACATGAGCTGGGCCCCAAGTCCAGCTTCCTCACTTACCCGTTGGGGCACACCTGGGCAGGGCCCCTCCCTGAACTCTGCTTTCCCTGCCTGAAAATGGGAGCAATGGTGATAACAACCTCTCCTCACCAGCTCATCTTGGACGTAGAGGTCATGTACAGGCTTTGTGGATGACCAAAGATCCAAGTGCTTCTGTGTGGCTGCCAAGGACAGTGCAGGCACAAGAGTCCTTCCCACAATGAGGACTCAGGCAGAGCAGGTGGCCCCTCAGGAGGAATCACAGCTGCTGCCCACAGGGGCTGCTCTGTTGCTTCTCCACCATGGCAGAGGCTAATGGGGGCCCTGAGGCTTTGGGCTCAACCCGACTAATCCCTGTGTGGCTGCTTTCTAACTGTGACATGCTGGGCCCCACCCATCCTCTCTCCTCTTTGTAAAAAGGAGAAATGAATACCTACCTTGAAAGAGGACTCTAAGGGTTATACAAGATACTACGTGTGCACATGCGGAGCACACAGTGGCACGGATACATGGTGTGCACACCTCCCTCCCCGCTGATACCTGGGGGAGAGCCCATTCCACATAGTGTCTCCAGCAGCCCAGAGTCCAAGGCGGCCTCCCCAGCATGCCCACCAGCCATCCACCATGGGTTTTGGGGGCTCACCCTAGCATATTGTTCTCTCACACTACCCTCTGTCCCACTGCTCTGGTGTAGAATGGAACTCACAGACCTTCACCCCACTCCTGTGCTCCCGAGGGGCACACCTGTGGCATAAATGGGAGGAGTGCCCGGGGTACAGGTGTGGCCATGGCAGTGCCGGGAACTGTGGATCTCACTCAGGAAGACATATGCAGACATCACCTGAAGTTCCCAGCAGGACAGGGAGTGGCACAGGCAGCTCCATGCAGTGTAGACGGCAGCACCTGTACTAGACACCTGGGTCACACCTGACTCTTGCTCTACTCCACCCAACTGTGTTGCCTCCAGAAGGTGCTTGTCAGTAAAGTCAAGTGTCTGTCCCAGCTCTGACCACACGTTGCTATTGAGAGGAAATGCAAGGGATCAGGACAGAACAGATGCAATCCAAACTCATGCAGTGGGTGGAGATGGGGTAGGGTGGGGCCAGACCCCTTTCTCAGGTTGCCTAACCAAAGGGTGCCTAGGTGGGGCCTGGTTGCAGGAGGGCTCCTCATCTTCCTGTCTGTAGAGACAAGCTTCAGTTGCCTTTCCTTCTTGGCGGTCTGGACAGCTGAACCCCACTCCCCCTGCTGCCCTCCCCTTCCCCCTTCCCTCCGCCCATTCCCCCTCACAGCCCATTTTCTGGCCGAATTGTTCCTTGGTTTATCTTTGACCTCCACTGCAAACCAGGCTCACTCTGACAGGGCTTTGAAGTCAAGTGCCTGTGTCTCCCACTCCAGAGTTGGGTCCAGCCCAGCTGGACTCAGGCTGGATGCAGGGCTGAGGTGGGGCCGGCCCCCCAGCATGCCGGCTGTGGGGGTAGGGAAGGGCTGGTGCAGGCAGAATAGAGGCAATCGTGGTGACCAAGAGGGAGTCAAATAGGGACAGGGTGTGGACGCCAGGGTCTGGGACTCAGGGCCTCACCCCAGAGCTTGGTGGTGGAGATTTCTAGGGAACAACCATAAAAGGCTAACACAGGTGGGTGCTGGGATCTACTGCCTAAGTGCCATGTCCTGACCTTTCCCAGTGATTCTCAAGCTTGAGCATGCATCAGAATCTTCTGCAGGGCCTGTTAAAACACACAATACTCAGCCTTGCCCAAGAGTTTCTGATACAGTAAGTAGGTCTGGGGTGGGGTCTAGAATCTGCATTTGTAACCAGTTTCCAGGTGCTGCTGCTGCTGCTGAGCTGGGACCACACTCTGGAACCACTGCCTTAAGTACTTTGCCTTCCACTCCCTGCAGAACAGAAAGAGCAGGCTGAATACACTAAAGGGAGTGAGGGTGTCTCAACATTCCCTTTAGCAGGATTAACCATAGGAATTGTAACACTGCTTGAGCTTTTATTGGGTCTCAATAAGATAATAACAGATTATCTTATTGAATCCTTACAAGGGCCTTGTAAAATAGGAATATCACACCCATTTTAGTGAAGGATAAACTGAGACTCACAGAGTCCAAGCACCCCAAGTCACCCACTGGGCAGTAGCAGAATTAGGATTTGAACCCGAGCAGCCTGGTCCCAGAGCCCATGTGCTGGAGCTACAATACCGATCCCTCTGGACAGACAGGTAAACGATGGTTGACCATGGGATCAGTTCAGAGCCTGGAGCAATCCCTGTGCGTGAAAGGCTCAGTGAGGACCTGGGCATGCTGTGGGCAGGGCTGCCTCTGTCCTGATGCTCCTAGCGCAGGCCAGGGTTCCTCTCTCTTCCCCACTGCTGGGCCCTGCCAGGCAGAGGGCTGGATGTGCCCCAAGAGGAGAACAAAACCCTGAGGAACAAGACTGAGCCCCCATGTTAGTTCAGTCCAATCTGATAGCATCAGAAGCACTAAGATGTTGGCTTGGCTCCTTCTACTTTTTTTCTTTTAAAGCTGTTTCAGAATTTCCTTTGCCCATATTTTATTTTTCATTTGAAAGAACTCCTCCCTGCTCCTGCAATCCACCTGGCTATATAATTCCTGGACTGAACATATTCTTACTTATGTGAGTATATGTGTGTGAACCTGAGGGTGCACTGGGGCCTGTGGACACATGGGGGTGCCTGTGTGTCTTTGCAGGCATCTGTGGTGTGCAGAGTGCCCACATGTGCCTGGGTGCATGCAGGCTCGGGTATACACACTTGGGGGTCTGAGTAGATGCTGCCTTGCTCCTGGATGGGCACTGACCCCTGACTGTGAACAGATGTGCTTCACAAGACCAGGCAGGGATTGCAGCTGTGTGGCTGCCAGAAGGCGGCCAGTTGTGGGGCTCAGAAAGGAGCCTGGAGCACCTTGACCCAGCAGAGGAGCACCTTACCCTCGGTGCTGCTGCCGGCCGGCTGGCCAGGACGGCTGCCTCTCCCAGTCTGTAATGCTGTGCTGTGGGGTGTGGGGGAGATAAGGTTGCCAAGCTGTTTATCAAGCCCTTTGAAACGATCTGGGGCTGCTGGCCAGGCCAGCAGAGGAAGCAGCACTTTATGGGCCTGACTCTGTGGTGACCTCACCACTCGGTCCTCTCTGCTCTTCTCCTGTGCCTCTCTGTCTTCCACTGTCCCATCCCCACGATGGAGCTGACTAAAAAAGGAGGTGCCCTACTCCTCATTCACTCACCTTATGGGGGAAGGAATAGCCCCTGGAGGGAGAGGGGGAGGAAGAGAGTAGTGGGAGCGCCTCTGCGTCCCTAGGCAGGTGTGGGCTGGAGTAGGAGGGAGGGAAGCAACGATGGTCTGTCAAGGTCCTGGCTTTGCTCCGCTCTGTGGTGACAGGGCAGGCCTGGTTTCCCTCCCAGCCCAAGAAGGACCCCAAAGTGAAGACAGAAATGACAGAAAGCAAGAGGACATGGTTAGGACATTCCCTATGTCGGCCCATCCATTTATGCCCAGGGCCTAGCACAGCCTTTGGCACATGGCAGGCACTAAAGACTATTTGATAAATATTGCTGAATGAAGAAGGAAAGAGCTGGAAGCTTGTTGGAGAATAAGGAGATGAAGAAGATGAAGGCAGAGAAATGGCCAGAGGGAGAAGCCAGGAGCCCAGCATTTGCAGGCCCTGAGATGCTACCCAGGGAAGCCAGTGATGGGGAGGCAGAGAGGGAGAGAAGGGAGAAAAGATAAAACAACAGTGGGCAGTGAGCAAGAAAATGGAAGAGGGAAATTTGCCCTCAGGTCTGGAGGCCTGGATTCTTTGGTGGGGGTGGGCTGTGTCCTCAAAGGAGAAAACCAGGTTCCTCCCATGTAGCTTCAGAGAAGTGTATCAAATCCGGTGGGGTTAGGGTGTGGGATTGGGACAGTGGCAGGCATCTGGATATGAAGGCCAGGCCTGCTCTGAGAAGAGAAGGTCTGTGCAGAGCAGGGTGCCTCATCATTATGTCACCCCATCATTGTCACCACATGTCTGCCATGGGGGTCCTGCCCGTCCATTCCTGCAGCGAGAGAAACAAGTTGAGGCTTTCAAAGGGGTTAGGGGGATAAGGGGAGGACACAGAGATGGGAAGGGACCCAGATGTGCCTGATGTCAGAGCCCAGGGGTTAGAAAGGGCAGGAAGGCTTCTTGGAAGAGGTGGAATTTGACCAGCTGAGATTTTAGTGACAGTAAATTGCATTATCTGGAAGCACCAGTTGGAGAAAATGAAGCCCCCTGTCTTTTCTTAGTCATGAGAGACATCCTGTCTTGGGCTGCTACGGCTGCCAGCCTGCATTAAGCTGCCTTTGGGCCCCCTGTGTGGAGCAGGAAAAATTAGAGCCAATCAATGCGATTTCAAGGCAGCAGCTCCTTCCCAGCAGCCCGTGGCCATGCCTGTTAACCAGCCCGCAGCCCCAATGGCCTGATACCACAAGCAAATGGCCCCTAATGGGGACCAGACCTCCTTTTGCCCTCCCACCTCCCTGCCTGTGTGTCTTTATGCCTGCGTGCTGAGCTGAGATCGTTGCTCCTGGGGCCCCTGTCCTGCCTAAGGGCCCAGGACCTACTGGGCTAGGCTAGGGGGTGGGGTGGGGGCAAAGTGGGGAAAAGAGCCCTGCAAATGGCCCCTATCCAGCAGGGAGCTGGACAGCTCCAGCCTGTAGGGTGGGCATGGCAGGGCTCAGCTTGGCCCCAGGCAGCTGCAACCAGGTCATCTGACCACTTTAACCCTACATCTCACTCTGCCCATTGGAAGATCTGGGTATTCTCTACCCACCCTTTGCCAAAGACAGCCTAGGGAGGCTGGATGCTGGGCCTGCTAGAATCTTCAGTGTGTGTTGCTCCTGACCAGGCCTTCCTCCTAAACTCCATTTTCCTGGCCTTGACTTGGGCCCTCATTGGCTGTCACCTGGGATTCTGCTTTTAAGCCCTCTGCCTCCTGCCCCCCTCCACCCTGCCGCTGCCAGGAGGCTTTCTAAAATACATCTGATGGGGTTACTTCCCTGCTTCACCATCCCCGGTGGCTCCCGGCTGCCTTCAGGGTGAAGGGTAAAGTCCTGAGCTGAAAGGGTCACTCCTGGGCCCTGTCCTGCCCACTTCTAGGCCTCTTCTCTTGAATGAGCCAGGATGAGGATGAGGTGAATGAGGAGCCCACCCACCTTGGGTGCAGAATTTAAGGGGGCACCAAAAAACTCAGCAATCAAAATAAATAATGTTTTAGTGCAATCTTTTAAAAACCAAAATTAATGAAAAAAAATCCATGATGAACAGAATATGAGTATTGACGAAGATGTGGACTGACAAGACGGGATCAGAGAGAGGGAAGTAAGGTGAATTGTGTAGGTGTGGGGCAGATCCTGTCTTTATTTAGCCCTGCCAGCCTCACCCTTGTGCTGGGTCTGCATCCAGATATGCCCAGTCATTCTCTACCTTTCAGAGGGACCCCAGGAAGTGCTTAGAATCCCCCCATCACCCAGGCCTTTGTATGTGTCATCCCCTCTGCCTGGAATTCTCTCCTGTCTTCCTTCTTCTGTTCTTCATTCCTCTAAAACTTGGGTCTGGAAGCCCCTCCCTCACTCCCTAAGCCAGGTTAGGAGCCCTTCTCTGTCTCTTCCCTGACTTCCCCCCTCCAACCCTAGCACAGCCCCACAGCACTGAGATCCAGGGCTGTGACCACTAGCCTCTGAAGCCATGTGGTAAAATCCTGCAGAGCAGAATGGTGAGGCATTCATTTCTGCATCCGTAAAGCCCATCATGGAGCCTGACACAGATTTTCTTCAATTACCTTTGATTGACCGAATGGATAAATGAATGGACAAATAAAAGAATAACATGGCTGTGAGTCACAGGCCATTTCAATGAATACTTCAAGGATCAAAATTAAATAAAACCCTCACGGTTCCTCAGATCCAGATGGATCCACAGGCTACCAGCATCATAGAATAAATGCTGCAACATTTTGGTCCAACAAAAAAGATTCTAGCAGTCTCTAAAAATCTTGCCATAGGATTTGGTCTATACTTTTAAAAACCACTCTTTTTTCATGATAAAGCCCTTCAACTTGCTCTAAAAGGCAACATAGGAAGAGAGAGACGATGCAGGCCAGTCCTCTCCAAATAAGGCAAAACCCAGCTTTATTTTTAGTAATGACTTTCCCAACTGCAAGAGGGCACAAGTCCATGATCCAGCATTACAGAAACCCACCAACTTCCAGAAAAGTTTCAACAACTCATAAAGACTCACATGTGCATGCAGACACAAAGACCCATTTTAGGGAAGAGGCCCCAAGACATAGTCTGAAGCCCCAGCTGGGGCCCTTTCTCCATGACAACTCTTCAGCCAGCCTGGACAGTGCAACCCTTGAGTAACCCCAGCTTTGCTTAACTGGGACAACCCACCTCTCCTCATCCTCCTGGAGAAATGCAGTTTTGTATTTTCCTGATGTTTGATGGGCCCGACATCAGAGGATCCTCGAAAGTCATATTCCCTGGGAAATCTGACCAAACCGTAAGAACGAAAAGACTATTGGCTAACTTTGTGGAGACCACTGAGAGCTCAGTCCTCAGCAGAGGAGCTGGAGGGAAAGAGACATTGGAATACTTCACTGTGATTGTCCACGCCGTCATTCTCTTCATCTGTATAAACTGTGGCTGGTTCACTTTAACCCTGAGCAGGAGCTGCCTATGAAAGAGGATGGCTGGAGTCAGATGCCTGGGCACTCTTCTGGTCAAGTCGGGAGCTCTCAGTGCCTGCTGACTCATCTGTAAAATGGGGATAACGTCAGGATGAGCTAATAACGCGGAAGCCAGAAAGGCTGATGCCATCTCTGTTTCCAATATGATTTTTATGGCCTCCAAGATGGTGTCCTTAGAATCTTTCTCTGCAGCAGGCTCGTTTTTCTCCTCAAATTCCTCTGTGTTTGGCTAAGAACAATCTGTTTTTCCTACACTTGTCAAGTTGCTCGAAATTCCTAATGCCCATTCATGTTCTTTCCAAGGATTAGCAGAGCACTCCTCGCTTGTCTTTCATCACACTCCCTCCGCACATGGGGTAAAAATTACATTTGAGTGGAACCCTGGCTATCGATGCCTGTAAAATGGAGACTTTGGCGAGACTCACTTGCCTGGGTCAGAGTGGGAAACAGGCTGAAAAACAGGCCTGAGCATCTTTAATGATGTGCAGAAAGAGAGGGGCCTCTGCCCCCACGGGCAGATGTACACAGCTGCTAACAGAGAAGCCCCTCATCCTGTACGACCAGTGCAGAGAAACGATCCCCTCGAATGCTTCCTAGTGGAGTTAAGAAATTTTTTGTTGATCGTGCCTTTGAACTAAGGTCATTTAAGTATACAACAGATGTTCCTCTGAGGGAAACAGACTTATAAAGTCAGGAACACAGAAGGGACCTAATGGTTTACTAGGGGTGGCGCATTAAGTTCATAGCAATTTAACTCCTTTCAATGCTAAACAAAACAATGACGCAATTTGATGCGCAATAAAAACTTGTCAAAACAATCATCCTGGGCAGTGGAGGTCCTTTCAGTCATTCTTCTTCTAAAGATAAACCAAGGGCACAAGTGACAGACGTTTCTGGCTTCTCTGTGTAGTTGGAGCAGTCAGTGTGGCAGCCTCAGCCGCTCCAGGCTGGATCATCCAGGATGGTTGAAGCCTGAAGCCTGGGGGTAGAGGGAGGGGGCAGCCGTGAAATAAAAGGGCAGAAAATTCATGATCTGAGTGGCTTCCTGGCTGTGCTAGTTTTCTGTGGGTGGAATTAGTGATCACCTGGGAAGTAGGGTTGGGGGGTGGCTGGGCAAGTCCCACTGCTTAATAAGTCCCTCCACAGCCTGCTTCACATATCAGACTCCACAATGAGGGCTTTGTGAGTGAAACCACAGGTATGTATTCAGTGTCTCCTATGTGTCGGGCACATCCATGGGGTTCAGCATTGCCTTCTCCAGGGTCCTCTGTGTAACTACCGCTTTCCATGAGAGGACTCCAGCAGCAAGGCAAAAGAAGACTGGATTTAAATTCAGGGAGATCAGCGTCTAAATTTCAGCCCAGACATTTATTAGCTGTGTGACCCTGGACAAGTCACTTAACCTCTCTGAGGTTTGATTTTCTCCACGTATAAAATGGAGGTGGTTGTACTCACAACATGGGGTTGTTATCAGGCTTGAGTAAAAGAATGGATGAAAATCCCTAGCACAGTTCTTGGCACAGGGTAGATGTTTCCCTTCCCTGCCAAGGGAATGAACAAGGCAGCATCCCTGCCTTCAGGGAGCTTATAGTCTAGATGGGCAGACAAGCTCTGTGTGCATAAAAGGCAAGGGATTCTTCCAGGCCATGGAAAAGCACAAAAACTTAGGTGCTGTAGAAGCTAAGTGGAAGGTGGCTGCTGGGACTGGGTGACCAGGGATGGGTTCCTGGAGAAGAAGGCCTTGAGTTAGGTCTAATAGTCTTTGGGAAGGGAAAAGAGGGCATTCCAGTCAGGTGGAGCCCAGTGAGTAAAGGTACATTGGAATATTGAAGGCATGTTTGAGGCTGGCCGTGAGGCAGCCAGGCTTCTGAAACACAGCTTTTGGTGGGTAACAGGTGGGAGTTAAGACTGGCTGGGCAAGTGGGATGCAGATTGTGAGGAGCCTCAGGTTCCAAGCTTAACTTTTTCTGGAGGCAGCAGGGAACCACTGCAGCTCTTTGAACTAAGGAACACTAATAACGTCTGTATTCCAAGAAGATTTGTCCAGTCTGTGAATGGGAAAAACTTGGCACACTCCCTGATCCTGTGCTCATGGCAGACACAGTTAATCAATCTCAGCCTGGAGGCCAGGAGACAGTTTGGAAGCTGTTATAATATTCTGTTTGTAGGGTGAGGAGGGTGTACCCTGGATGAGTTTGTTCATTGTTAGGGTATGTATCTCTCCACTTTTTTTTTTATTTTGAGATGGAGTCTCGCTCTGTCGCCAGGCTGGAGTGCAGTGGCGCGATCTCGGCTCACTGCAAGCTCCGCCTCCCGGGTTCACGCCATTCTCCTGCCTCAGCCTCCCGAGTAGCTGAGACTACAGGTGCCTGCCACCACACCCAGCTAATTTTTTTGATATTTTTAGTAGAGACGGGGTTTCACCGTGTTAGCCAGGATGCTCTCGATTTCCTGACCTCGTAATCTGCCCACCTCAGCCTCCCAAAGTGCTGGGATTACAGGCGTGAGCCACTGCACCCAGCCCATATCTCTCCACTTTTGATTTTAAGACGGATGAGGAGACAGGGCTTGCTGTGAATGTACAATGGTCTTCCATCTTTGGTACCCCAAGGACCAGTGTTTTTGGGACTCGAGCCTCCTCAGCAGCTCCCCGGCTTCCCTGTGTTTACTGTCCCAAGCAGTCTCTGATGTTCCCTGTAGGATCCTGGATCAGAGTCTGACAGCTGCAGCTATCCCTGGAGTCCAGCGCTGAGCCCTGGCCCAGAGGGAGAGGGGCTAGGGCCTGGCACGCCTGGCCACGTGGCCCCTAGGTCTGAGGTTCAGCAGCAAGCAGTGCACTGTGGCTTCCCATCTGTGCCTGCTTTGGCAATGATGCACATCTGAAATGTCTGACTGTTTGGGCAGGAGCTTGGCAAGCTGGGCCTCACTCTGGAAGAGGAGTGGAATTTTCCTGAAATGATAAACCGTTTAAATTGGTCAGAACTTTCTAAAGTTACTGAGGTGCCAGAAATAGAAGGCAAGGATGCTCGCATTGTTGTAATTTCTCTCTTGATTTGCATTTAGAGCCAATTTTAATCCATGGAGATGGCAGCTTGATGTGACTACTAAATTTGGGCCAAATCCTACCTCTGCAGGACAGGGAAAAGTGTGGAGACCACTGCAGAGCAGAGGCCGCCCTTTCCATGACCACAGCTCCTGGCCTCTGCGAGATCCCGTCTCCATCCTCATCTGGCCCTGCCAGAAGGGTAGGACAGCTCCATTCCACCTGCCTGGAGAAGCCTCTGGAGCAGTCTGGGGAGAAGGAATGTTACTTCTCACTCCTCCCTGATTGGTGCTTGCACCGTGCTCCAGCAAGACTAACCACCTTATCCCACCTCATCCATGCCCCGAAGCTTGCCAAATCCTGCAGCCTTGTCTCCAAACAAGCCTTGAGTTCAGCCACTCCCTCCACCTCAATGGTCACCATCATCTGTCACCTGGAGCTTCCTCCCTGGTCTCCTTCTCCCTTCCACCTTTCCATACAGCAGCCAATGTGATCTGTTTAAAGAATCCTGGCTGAGCACGATAGCTCAAGCCTGTGATCCCAGCACTTTAGGAGGCCGAGATGGGTGGACCACTTGAGGTCAGAAGTTCGAGACCAGGCAGGTCAACGTGGCGAAACCCAGTCTCTACTAAAAATACAAAAACTAGCCAGCCATGGTGGTGTGCACCTATAACCCCAGCTACTCGGGAGGCTGAGGCAGGAGAATGGCGTGAACCCGGGAAGCGGAGCTTGCAGTGAGCCGAGATTGCACCACTGCAGTCCGCAGTCCGGCCTGGGCGACAGAGCGAGACTCCATCACAAAACAAAACAAAACAAAACGAAACAAAACAAAACAAAATAAACAAAAAACAAAAAGCAATCCTATTAAAGCAGAAAGCAGACTGACTGATGTGGGGGTTGTTCTAGGTGCTTTGTGCACAACAGCCTTGTGGGGAGCATTATCACTTCCATCATGCCCTTCAGATAGATAAGGAAACTGAGTTGCAGAATGCTTCATAGCTCACCTGAGACTACACAGCTGTCAGCAGCAGAGCCTGGACCAGAACCCAGCTTGTCGAGGTCCAGAGTCCATGCAGCTTAAACTTAACCACTGTGCCGTACTGGCTGCATCAAAGTCATGTCCTTCTGTGCCAACTCTGTTCTCACTAATCTCTGGCTTCTCATTGCACTGATAGCATCCAGCCCTTGCCAGGCCCTGCAGGATCTGCACTGGTCCCACCTCTGATCTCTCTCAGGCCATTTCCCTCTGCCCACTCTGCTCTGGTCAGAATGGACTGGGGTTGCAGAATGAAACACAGGATGCGCGGTTAAATTTGAACTTCAGATAAGCAATGGGACTTTTTTGGTATAAATATATCCTGTGCAATATTTGGGACATATTTACACTAAGGAAATATTCATTGTTTATCTGAAATCCACATTTAACTTCTGTTTGTGTGTATATGTGTGTGTGCATGCATGCATGTGTGCCACTGAATCTGGCAGCTCTGGCCTGGACTCATTCTGTTCCCCCAACTGCTGAGTGCATGCCCGCATCATGGCCCTCACTGCACTTTTTCCTCTGATGCAGTGCTCTTCTCCCGCTATGCCTGGCTGGCTCCTTCTCCTTTGTATTTTAGCTTAGGTATCACCTCCTCAGGGAAGCCTTCCCTCACCACTGATCTAAACTAGGCTCCCTGCTATTCTGCCCGACTATCCTCTCCTTTCCCCACGATTTGTGCTTACATATTTCACCTCCATCGAGCTTGCTTCCCCCAGAAGGCTCAATGAGCTGTGCGTTCCCTCAGGGAAGGAGCCACATGTGCTTTGTTCATCACTGATGTGCAGTGCCAGCAAGGCCCAGGCCCATAGTACTTGTTATGTCAATACACATTTCTGCATTCACCTGTGCTGATCCCTCTTTCTGGAAGCCCTCCATCTCCCCTCACCTCATTTTCCACCTACTCTTTTAGTCTTTTCATTTTGTTTGATTCATTGTGGTTGATGAGCCAAGGTATGTCTGGGGTTAAGCTAGGAGAGTTCTCAGGAGCCCTCAAGAAGCTTGTGGTGAGGAAGACATTTGGAGCAGTGAGCTCTGGTGCAGTGTGCCTAGAAGCCTAGGAAGATGGCACAAGTGCCATGTTATGGGGACAGTGCCCTCCTAAAAGACTACTGAATGGACTGCCCTCAACTTCACTCCAGGAAAAGTCAACTCTCTTGCCCCTGTCCTAGGAGAGCTTTGCGCAGACCTTAACCATAAGGAGTTCCTGTGGCTCCTCTGCCTCATGACTCCCGAAGACAGAGGCTCTGCTGCTCCTTTGCACATCCCCAGCTCCTCCTAACACAGCTTCAATCACAGTAGATTTGTTTATCCCTTAGAATGCTGTGGGCTGCAAGTAACAGAATCCATGACTCAAACTACCATGTCAATAAGGAAATGTCTTATCTCATACTACAGGAAGCCTAGAGGCAGGGTGGGCAGATCCAGCAGCTCAGCAATGGCATCAGGGACCTGGGTCTCCTCTGTTGTCTTCAGCATGGATGCCACGCTAAGGACGTCTCCCCTTTGATCACCAGTGATCACACACAGTGAACACACACACACTTGGGTCTCTGTTCCTGTCTGTTTTTGCCCAGCATAAATGAGAGAATAAATTTCCCCAATCCTGGCACAGGTATCCTTATCCTCAGTCTGATAGGGACAATGACCCACTCTGGACCCTGGACATGTGCCAGGGAAACACCATGTTCTGATTAGCTTAGGGCAGAGGTTTCTAAACTTTCTTGGTTATGCCACCCTTAGTGCCTTAGTATTTTTTCACAGCATTCTAGGCCAAAAGAAATACCCAATAGTTCCGTTTGTTAAGCCGTTAGGTACAAACAATTTAATAAGTATGTCTTAACAATTTTGCAGCCATTTGAAAAATTAATGCACATAAAATGGAAAGAAAAGTAATATTTTTATATCACTCTTAATTGCCCACAATTATTTGTTAATGGGATGTGTGTGCCTGTCGGGCCTGCACAACCTCTCAAACCTGGGAATTAGACTGGACCCGCTATTCTTTTTTCTTATTTACATAGATATTTGTGCAGTACTTATTTTTTATGACAGCAACCATTGAAAACCTGGTTCCACAAAGCTATGACATCATGAATGTTAATATTGCGAAGTACCTTGAACTAATCTCATGATTCCAATGGATGTCACTGTGTTTCTTGAAAATTGAAAATATCACTTGGTGCTACTGTGAGTTCACTGCAGCACCTGGGGGCGCCTTGGTGCACCATCTGGGAAGCATGGGTTTAGGATAACTATTGTGCCTCTGAGGAGCTAGGCGTGAGGGAGGCCAATAGCTGCATGAAATCAAGGTTCTGTTTGGAAAGAGAAAAAAAGCAGTGGAGGCCAGGTAGGTAACAGGATCCACCAAAGTGGATATTAATGATTGTTGACTGGATGCTGAATTTCAAGGCCATCAAGAAAGGAAAAATACCTTTTAGCACTTGCTTTTTCATGCTTCCCATTAAGAAACCGTGAGAGAGTTCACTGCAGAAATTTAATTCCTATTACATACAATCATTTCACTTCATTTCTGTAGGATGGCTTTGTTCAACACATCAATAACTAGTTCAGATGTTCTTAACCTCTTTTGTCCCAGACCTGTGAGCCCGTCACAGAAATGAGCTGTAGGAGACGTATGTTCACATGCTGACTTGACCCCTAATTCACTTTATTATTTTAGACACATTTTCTGATCGCTCTCAACCTCAGTTTCTGGTTGAGATCCGTAAAATGCCAGTCATCACTCCTACCCAATCTCCCCCAATGAGGATATCCTGTCCTGGAATTAGGGGTTTGCTGGTGAGCAAAACTGACTACAGCACTAGGGGCAGAGCCACCAGCAGGCCTTATTGACCAGAGCCATGACCCTTTCCTCCTGAGGGCCTCTGCGGCCCCTGACTAACCCTGTACTCATCCTGGGAGATCCTGGCTTGGCTCAGTCGCTGGCTGCCAGGCATGGAGCTGGCTCCTGACAAGGAGGCACATTTGTGATCATGGCTCTTTCTTTCCATCCTCATCCCAGAGAGAGGATTCTGTCCTGATCTTCCCCAACCCTCTACCACCTAGAGTGTGCATCTGGCTTCTGGCTCACCATCGCCCCCAGGAAATGTCTACAGGATGAGTCATCAAGGTCCTCCCGAGCTCCCAGGTCCAATTCCTCCTTGGCTACTGCTCGGGCTTATCAGAGTCAGCGTCCTTGTTCCCCAGCAAGCCGAGTTCAGACAATCTCTTTCCGGAGATTATGTTCCCAAGCCTCTGTGGCGGCCAGGCCTTTGATAACCACCTGGTGAAGCGGCCTTCAACTCTCCTCCCACGGAAGCATTGAGTTTCAGAGCCGCCCTGCCTGAGGGGTGCTGCACAGCCAGACCTCAGGTTAGATGAAAAGCAAGTGCCAGGAACTGCCTGGGCCAGACAGAGATGGGGCAAGGCCACTGCCAGATAGCTTGGGCCACTGTGGGCTGCGAGCATTTTCTCTCTTCCCTGACTCTGTTTACACCAACCTTAGAGACCCCCTTCAGCTGGGTTGATGTTTATAATTGAAAGCAAGCACATGCTCTGGTATCAAGCCCTTTATAGAGTATTTACTCTGTGCCAGGCACTGTTTTAAAATTTTTAAATTTTTAATTACATTCAATCCTCACCATCGCTTGATAAATAATTTAATTTCCTTCATTCCCATTTTACATATTATAAGATTGAGGCTTAGGCCAGTCAAGTAACTTGCTCATGATCATGCTGCTGGCAAGTGGCAAAGCTGGGGCTTGAACCAATGCAGCTTGACACCAAAGCCTGGACCCTAACTCCTATACTGCCAGACTGAGTCACAAGCTGGGGGACATTAGGGACCCTCCAGTTCAAGCCTCCTGCTTGACCAATGAAGACTGTCATCAGCTCACTGGTGACAAATGTTCTGGAACCTGGTCTGCCTAGCTCCTGGGCCCAGAAATCTTTCCAAGGATGTTCAAAGTCTTTTATTATGTGGGGAAGGTGGCCTTTGAGGGTGGGGAGAAAGGAGACTGTTTGGTACTTGCAAATCCCTGAATTGATAGCGGTGGCAAGATACTTGGATTCAGAGCAGTGAGGTTTGTGGTTGAGGGATCCTCTGTCACAGGCACTAAGTACCATGTATTGAATTCGCTGTTTACCAAGTGTAAAATGGTCAGTCCTCCCAAAGGCGATTGGGCAACAGGGACCAAGAGCCCTAAAAATGTTCCTATACTTTACCCAATAATGCCACTTCTAGGACTGTATCCCAAAGAAATATTTTGAAATGCCAGCAAAGTTTTTCATATCATTGCTTTTGCAATGCCACAAAACAAACAAATATACAAAGCCTACACTAGAGGAATGCTTAGATTAACCCTGGCTCAGCCCAGTGAAGGAAGACTATGCAGCCTTCAAAAATGGGGTTTACAAACAGAATTTAATGAAATGAGAAAAAGCTTACTGAAAATGTCAAGCCATAGGTGTGATGGGAGGAGCTGAACATCGAACCACAGAACGATAAATACTTTAGGATCTCAATTATGTAAAGAAAGTGAACCAGGTTGGGGAGGGGCAGGGGGAGACTGAAAGAAAAAATATCATAATTTTAATTGTCTCTCTCTGCAATTTTTGGTGTTTGTAAAATTGTCTACAGATTTAGCTCTACTTGTGTGGTTGGAGAAGACAACCAACCAACCAGCCATAACAATAAATAGAAGGGAAATGTTCCTGGCTGGTGTCTCTCCAGACTGTGAGGGCAGGGGCAGCTCTCACAGGGCACCAGGGCAGGGAGGGCTCGGGGAATGTCAGGGGCACCCATGCGCTGAACTGACCTAGAAAACTCCCTGCCTCAGAGCGATGGCATGGGGGCAGCATTCCAGCTTGCCCTTACTCTGGGGAGCTGTTTGCGCACGGGGTTGCTGTGGGCAACTTTTCTGGCTGGGGTGCTTCTCCACACAGCCAGCTGAGCCACTTCGCCTGTTGGTCTGGGAGAGCCTAGCCTCTCAAAGCCTCATTGTTGACCCTCAGAGGAAGAAGCAACTTCACTGATAGAGTGACTCAGCTGGCCAAGAGTTGATACTTACCCCAGCTTCCCTTCATTCCCTCTGTAAAGCAGAACAAAGACTTGTTGCCTTGGGAAGGTGCTGATGCTTTGAGTACATAGGCAAAAGCAGAGCCTCCAGGCCAGAAGAGATCTGAGTTCAGGTCCAAGTTTGAGGTCCAGAGGGGTGGCTGGAGGGTCAGGAGAAACCTTGACATCCAGGATGCTCTGCAGGGTCCAGAGTGCTGGGCTTTAGTGGGCCCACCAAGTCCGGGCCACACCTCTCTTGGACACCCACCCATGTGGAGCTGAGCATCCAAATGGCTTGCATCCCAGGCAGGCCTCGCCTGGCTCCTGGCATGAGTGGACAGAGCCTGCACTCAGGATGTTGTGGCCCCAGCTGCATCAGCACTAACAGTACCTCCTACTTATTAGTGCCAGTCCTGCATGGTGGGCCCTGCCCAGAGCTACTCAGATCCACACAGAAGTCAGTAGCATGAACAGTTAGAACAGCCTGGGACCTGCCCCAACCCTAGGCCTGCTGCCTTGGGGAATCGACAGTGAATGCACTGTGGGTCAGTGTCGGGGAAAGAGGAGTCAGCCTCCATGAATAGCCATAGAATGTTGAGGAAGATTCCTGCTTAAGCAAGCAAAGCAACTACTTCCACGTGGCGTGGTTGACAATGAGGCTCCATCATGTGGAAGCCTGAGCTCATCATAGCCTCCCTCTGTTCCTTTGATTGCCTGTGCTCTGGTTCACTCCTGAAGCCCCTCAGACTCAGGGGCCGAGTTGTGTCTCCAGCCCCAGAGCTGTGCACATTGCATGCATATGGCCACCACCCTGGATGACAATTCTTGACCGTAGCTGGCAACACACAGCACTTCAGCTCATTCTGGCAGTCCTCGTCTCTACTCTGGAGTCTGACTCACCCCACAGGAGTGTTCTCGGGCTCACTTTGCTGGATATCATCAGGGCATCGCGTGCTCTCTCTCTGGTGGCTGGACTGGCTCAGCTAAAGTATGCTTGGCATCTGTGTGTGGTCACAGGAAACAGTTATGAGGTTACTGTTGCTGGTTGTTTTGGTTTTGTGTTTTGTTTGTTACTGTTTCCTAAGAATGCTTAGATCAGATAGAGATGTGGTTATGTAAAAAAAGAAGAAGAAATTTTGGCTGTGAACGGCAAGAAACATCACAGTGGTCTTTCGGTCTTTCCACCTATTTTGAGCTACTATTTGCTGAGTGCTTGCTGTGTATTCTGCTCCTTTCTCATTACATTTCCATGAATCCTCAAAATAACCCTATGAATTAGGTATCGTTTGATCACTCGTGCATTTCAAAGCTCTTTACTGAGTTGTTCCTAAATGTCAGGCATTATTATGACCCCCCGTTCTAAGTTGCAGTGACTGAGGCTCAGGGAGCTTAGGTAATTTGCCAGGGATTCAAGGCAGGAAGTGGTGAGAGGTGAGGTTGGCCTGGTGGAGGTAGGTCCAGATCTGGGGAGGGGATCAGTGTATCAGGCCAAGGAGTTTGGGGATTTCAGCTGAGAATGAGACCTTCCAGAACATGACGTAGAACAGGTGGGGTGTGTGCATGTGTGTGTTGCGATTTTTTGGGAAACGACCTGAGGCAGACAGAGGGCTCAGGTCTTCTGGAGATGAGCCTGGTTTGTTTTAAGGCTCCCCATACTTTCACTCAACAGAACAAACACAAAAGGAAGAGCTGAGAGCACAGGAGCCATTGAGGCTCTGAATTAGGAATCGTCAGATTTGTTTTATTGGATTTGATTTTCTGAAAAAACTACCTACAAAACTCGGTGTCTTAGTCATTTGGGCTGCTATAGCAAAGTTCAAAGGACTGGGTGGCTTACAAAAAATAGGAGTTTGTTTCTCACAGCCCTGGAGGCTGAAAGCTTAAGATCAGGGTGCCAGCATGGTCAGGTTCTGGCGAGGGCCCTCTTCCACGTTGCAGAACGCTGAGCTCTCATTGTGTCCACACATGGGGGAAAGAGTGAGCCAGCTCTCTGGCCTCTTATTATAAAGGCACTAATCCCATTCATGAGGGCTCTACCCTCATGGCTTATTATCTCCCAAGGTCCTACCTCCAAATACTATCACAGTAGGATTAGACTTCAGTATAGGAATTTGGGGGAGACAAATATTCAGTCTATAATACTCAGATTACTTTTTCTTTCCCCCAGAGCAGCACAAAATGTTCTAAGTGGACACCTACCATGTGCTTGGGCCTGGGCTAGCTGCTCCAGGGAAGAGAGAAGGGGGCAGAGAGGGGAGAGAGAGAGAAGGAACAGGAACAGGTGTGTTCTCTGCATACAGGTAGTTATAGTTCAGGTGAGGTGATGAGAGCCACACCCATTTCCATGCTCTGTGACTGGGGTGCTCACAGGTAACTCCATGGAGGAGATGGCATCTTAAAAAAAGGATAAGAGCTGGATTGGTGGTGAGATGGAGGAAAGGACATCACAGATAGAAGGCCCAACGTGGCTAATGGAGGGGATTGTAGTAAGTATGATTGTCAGGGGCAAGGCCTAGCTCCAATGAAGCGGAGGAGGGAATGTGTTCTTGAAAGCTTTAGCAAATCTGAGATGTTCCTGCTCATCTGGCCTCATCTGGAGAGTGAAAACCACCTGTCTTGGATTTCTTGCCCGCTCCACTCCCACCTGGGGAATAATTCCTGAAATCCTTTTCTAGTAAAATGCCCATGCTCCTCTCTCCCAGTTATCTACAGAGTTTAAGACAAGAGGTGACGTAGTGAGTAGGAGATTCGTCTCCAGATCAGAGACATCTGGGCTTTAGTCCTGGACTAGCCACTTGTCACACTGTGGTCTTGTGCATATTCTTAGACTCTCTAAATCTTATTTTTCTCAGCTGCTTAAAGGAAATAATGGGAGTTTCTCTTTCATCACACTGTTGTAAGAATCAAGTGAGATGTAACCCTTATAGCTTCCAGTGTCTCAGTGGCTCAGACTTTGTATAGAGTCTCATTCAAAGAAGCTCAGTCCAAGCACCAAAAATAACTTAAAAAGTACTTCTTCAATCTTTGTTGCTTCTCTTGAATAACATTACAGGAGATCTCTTGCGTAACCACCACAATGATTCTGAAAGATGCTCTCCTCCTCACCTCACTTCTCCCATATCCTGTACCTACTCCAAAAAACCCTCACTCACTGAAGGGTTTTTCTGTTCTCTCCCCATTGATGAGCTGATTTGCATTCGAATATGGCAAGTGGAGGAAGCCTCTGAATGCTGATACATCAGTAGTTTTTGACCCATTACAGAAATAGCGTCTCTAAAGCACTTAGCACAGAGTCTGGCTCTTTGTAAAGTCTCAATGCATTCTCTTATTAATTAGAAAAACTGTGAAAGCAAATAATAGTTACTAAAAAATTAGAACTCAGGGCCCGGCGCGGTGGCTCGTGCCTGTAATCCCAGCACTTTGGGAGGCCGAGGCAGGCGGATCATGAGGTCAGGAGATCGAGACCATCCTGGCTAACACGGTGAAACCCCATCTCTACTAAAAATACAAAAAATTAGCCAGGCGTGGTGGCGGGCGCCTGTAGTCCCAGCTACTCAGGAGGCTGAGGCAGGAGAATGGCGTGAACCTGGGAGGCGGAGCTTGCAGTGAGCCGAGATCGCGCCACTGCGCTCCAGCCTGGGCGACAGAGTGAGACTCCATCTCAAAAAAAAAAAAAAAAAAAAAAAAAAACCAAAATTAGAGCTCGAAAAATATTATCAGATAGTACAAGTAGTTCTTTTTCTCCTAAAAAAAAATAGCTGAAGACAGTTATTTAAATCTTGAAAACCTTTAAAAGAAGCTTTCCCCTAATGTTTAATTCCTTAGATCTTCCTCCTAAAACTGTGTCTGTGGATCAGCAAGGAAACTGCCTCCCGGTTCTGCTCTGGTGGCCTCTCTAATTCTCGACATTATTGCCCTGTTTCTGAAAACCACAGTGAACACCCTGAAACTCTGGGGACAATTCTGACAACTTTGGAGCTGGGAGGGAGTTCATGGCCCCTTGGCTTCCAAAACAGAAAGAGGGGCTATGACCTGGCGCTTGGGATTGTCAGAGTTAGTTGGATTCTGAACTGAGAAGAACTGTCTGAGGACAGAGGGGAGATGGATAGTGCAGAGAAAGGATCATTCATTCATTCATTCACTCAACAGCCCTTCGTTGAGCATCTATTGGTAACAGATTGTGACATATTATTTTTTCCAAAGATAGCCATGCCCTATGTTTATCTCACCCCATATGCCTTTCTTGCAGGGTGACGGACACTCCTTCCACCTAGGGGGACCTGCATTTACTCCCCTTGAATCTGGATGGGTGTGTATGACTGCTTTGGCCAATAGAATATGGTAGAAGTGCTATTATATGACTTCTGATTTTAGGTCATAAAAAGGATACAGATTCCAGTTGTTTCCCTCTCTCTCTCTTTCTCCCCACAACCCCACACTCTCTTTTGGGATGCTTGCTCTTGGAACCCAGATGCCATGCTGGGAGGAAGCTCAGGTCACATGGAGAGGCCCAGGTAGTCCTGCAGTCAATAGGCAGCATCAACCACCACACATTGTGAATGATCCTTCAGATGGTCCCAGACCCTAGCTCAGGCCCAGACATTGTGGACAAAGTGTCCCATCTGTGCTAAATTCCTGACCTCTGGAAACCTTGGAGGTAAAATATAACTATTGTAGATTTGAGTCACTAGGTTCTGGGATAATTTGTTAGGCAGCAATAAATAGCTGGTGCATAGGCTCTGTGGGGAGTCCGGGCCACAGGAAGAGCTGTCGGGATCTCTGGGGAGATCACTAAGTAAACAGACAGTGACTGTGTTGCTTGATAAGGGCCATAGAGGGGAGCACAGAGAAAGTGTGTCTGACTCCCCTGGGGTACTGGGGATGGGGGCTCAGAAAGTCTTCTTGGGAGAGGTGACATGTCAGCTTGGTCTGGAAGGGCTAGAGTTAGCCAGCTGAAAGGAAGGATGAAAAATGGGGAAGAATGAAGGGAGGGGGCACTCCAGGGGGAAAACCTGGGCCAGGGCCATGTCCCTGGGAACTGGCTGCTCAGGGTGTTATCTGGCTTTTCTAGGTGACAAATCTCTCTAAGAACTGATCATTGTATAGGGTCTCACAACTGGCCAAGCCCCTGCATCTACCCAGGACAAATGAAATCAAGACTGTGGCCTTAGAAATCCTGTTCCAGGCCAGGGCCTAGGTACTGGCAGGGTATGAGGCGGTGGCCCACAGACAGCAGTGAGGAGTTATCCCAGAGCACATCTTTCTCTTGGGCTGTAGCAGCCTCTGAAAGTACTGGAAACCAGCAGGGGAGGGGGCCAGGGGCGAGATGGGGGTCAGTAGCATGGCCAATGCATTTGGGCAGCATGGGAAAATCCTGAAACAGCTTCCTACTCCAGGGGAAAGGTGTTTTTAATGCAAATTACAGCAGCATTGTTACCTGTAAGTTGGTGCTGACTTGCTAGGGCAGCAAGGCTGGCATTTGACTCCTTTAGATGTTCCCCATGGCCGAGTCCCACTCTATGAACTGCCCTTCTCTGAACATAGCTTCTCCCTGGTGGCCTTGGGTTTTTGCCTGAGCCCCTTCTCATACCCGGAGTGCCCATCCTGCTATTTTTATCTAGTCCCTCACCTCCTCCAGGAAGCCCTCCAAGAACCCTCAGGCTCCTCAGGACTCTACAGCCCCCTGTAACAGCCCTGGAATATGGTGGTGCCATGGCCTGTTTACCTGTGTGCCTCCCCAGCTGAATGTGGGCTTCTGGAAGGTGCAGGCAGTATCTTCCAGGGCCCAGCCCAGAGGAGGCCTTCTTTAAAACCTTGCTTTTGGGTGATAACCAGGATGGATGTTCCTTTATCTCTGTCATGAGATCTGTGAACACAGGAGGGACTCATGTGCCCTCCACTGCCCTCTGCAGAGCCTTCCACACTGGAGCATTTGCTAAGCACTGGCTGAATGAATTATGTGTCTCTGTGATCTTCAGTCCTAGGCCATGAATATTTCTGGGTCTGCTCATTGAGAACTTGCATGCAGATAGCACTCCATAAGTGGTTGTTGGATCGAGTTGAATCAGATTCCAGGCTAAGGACAGTGGGATACTGGGGTGGATGAGCTTGGTGTGTCTGGGGGTATGTGTGTGTCTTTCAGTACCTCTGTGTGGGGGTCGTATCTAGATGTGTGTGTTTGTGTGCATCTGTGACTGAGTGTCCATGTGCATCTCATCTTGGATGAGTCCATATGTGTCTTTTGTGATTGTGCATGACTGTGTGTGTTGCGTGTCTGTGTGGGGATGCTCCCTCTGAGCTAAGAGCAGGGGATAGAGACAGCCACCACCCAGTCAGGAGCCAGCCAGCTGTGTCTCCATGGAGTCTCTTGCCTGCCGGGTCCCAGGACAGCCAGCCTAGCCTAGCAAGACTCAGGCCTTTTTTGCAAGTTCTAAGCAGTGGCACAGACACAGCCCACAGTGCTGCCTGCCCACCAGCCCCCGTGCCTGGGTGGTGTGCATGTAGATGGGGCCAGCATCTCCCTGGCCTCCTTGCTGCTCAGTAAGGAATGGATTATAATTCCCAGGCAGGCTGCATCTGCAACCAACTTGAGGGAAATAATTGTTGAGCGAGTTGAAAGAAAAAAATTGTAGCAAGGAACTTCAAGCCAGGCAGTCATCCGTGTCATTAAATTAGGTTAATCTAAATCCTCAGAGTCTAGTGTAGCAGCCTCTAAAGCAAACCCTACATGGCTCTTTGGAGTTCCCATTGTAAAGTTCCCAATAGGGGTGTTCTTCAAGGGACACAGTAGGCAGTAGCCTTGCAGCCTGAGGACACACAGAGCTTGTGACAGATACCAGTTCCTCCTCAGGGACCTGGCTCTGCAGGAAAAGGCATGAGATGAGAGGCAGGCCCCATCCTTGTGCTGCCCCTTCCTCTGTGTGAGTCCCCCAACCACTCCAGGCCTCATTTGCTCTTGCCCAGCTCACAGGGCCTATTAACAAATGCCAAGTGGGCCAAAAGGAAAGGAAGAGGGTCCCTTGGATGGGAGAAGCTGGGGTGGAGGTGAAGCCTGAATTACTTCAAACTTGCCTTAGTGTTGCTCCTCCAAGCTGGGTCTTTTTAACACCAACCAATGGCTGAATTGAAGAAAAAATGAGAGATGAGTCTGTGCAAAAAGTCCCACTCTTGTAAGGACTGCTGTAAATCATTAATTTATGACTGCATCCAGACATTTACTGACTCATTAATTCAATCATTTTCCCCCTCCTTTATTCATTCTTTTATAGATCCCTCAGTCCCTCATTCTCTCTTTGGTTTAGTCATCCAAAGGTCTCCCTCCCTCCCTCCCTCCCTCCCTTCCTTCCTTCCTTCTTTCCTTTCCATGCTTCGAGGGAATTGCCTGGTATGTGTTCGTCCCCGTGGCTGTGTAGAATGAAAAGCACTTCAAGTACCCTGCCCCGAGGACCAGTGCCCATGCTGTGGCCCCCCAGCTTGCTCCTCTCCCTCTCTCCTTGTGTCTTGCTCCCCACTGTCCCCTTACTGGAACACCATTTCCTCTCTGCTCCTCTCCCATAGGGAGCACATGAGCTGATGGTGGGCTGGTGAGGAGGCCTTTGTCAGGGCACTTGGGAGGAAAGGTGCTGAAACTGACCTGATAAATGAACCAGCAGGGATGTGTGGCCTGGCTCCCCCTCCCCCTTTGATCAAAAGCCTCTGAACCCCTGATGACATCCCACAGCATATTCCTCTATTAATCAGAAAAGCCTTGACAGATGTAAGCAATTTGTCTTTGGAGAGGACTGGAGCAGGGGTGGGGGAGGTGAAGCGAGGAAGCCCAGCTCAGCCCATAAGGGTGGGGAAGATACTGAGGGTAAGTCTTGAAATGGGGCTGAATACATGCATACTAAGAAGGCAGGGAGCAAGGTAGAGCCAGTCAGATCAGAAAGGGAAGTGCTTTCATTTCCAAGCATATTTCCTCCTTGATTGAGTAGCCCCTCCCAATACCACCACCAAACCACGAAGCAGGAATGAGGCTGAGATCCAGGGGTTAATCCCACTCAGACTCCTTCAGGGCTCAGATGCTTAAAGCAACAGGGGCCTGGTGGGTATGGTTCAGGCGTGGCTCTCATAACGCCACATGGCTGCTTCGGCTCTTGCCTGCTGATGACAGTGATGCTCAGCTTAAAAACAACATCAAACACCTAATGAACCTGCCATTCAGCAGATTGGGAGCTGGGCACGGGAGATGCAGGAGAGAAGAAACAATGTCAGTTCTCCAAAACCCCTAGTCTAGACTATCTGGCAGATAAATTAACCAGGAAATGGGTTTTGATGTGAGGATGGTCATGGGAGGGAGCATACAATATACAGTGTGGAGTGGCCAGCCCAACAAGAGGGGTCCTTTCCCAGAGGAGAAGACACAGCTGCATCTTGAAGAATGAGTAGATGTGCTCACATGAGAAAGGCCCCTCTTTTTTTGTCCATTTGGAGAACTGCTACTCATCTGTCAAGGTTCAGCTTGGGTCTCCTGTTAGCCTCTCTTCCTCACTAATTCTAGAGGTCAGGGACTGTGACTCATCCCTTTGTCTCCAGTGCCCAGCCCGGGGCCTAACACAGAGTAGCCACAAATGTTTCCTAAAGCGAGTGAAATGGACTTGCAGGCAGTGGGAGTAGCATGGGCAAAGGCATGGAGGCATGATCAGCATGGGGCTTTGCAGAGAACTACAGTCTGTGTGTGTCCGTGGGGCGGTCTAACTGATGTTTTGTATCAATAGGAAAACTGAAAACTGAATTAAATTTCTTCATTTTCATGGAGATATCTGGCCCCATACAAAGGCAGCCCACGGATCTGACTGCCACTGAGGAGTATTATACAATCTTATTTTCATTATGCTTTTTTTTAAAAGAGTGCTCTATGAATCTGATTAGATGCTTCAAACATAAATTTTAAAACTTACTCTTGCAAGTTTTAGAGACTAAAGCCACGGCCAATGTTTTGATCATATGCCTCCTTCCCTTTCCAATAAACACCTAACACACTTTGCCAAGCTTTCTGTGGTCAGGATTTACAGATCTGTGACTCAGCCCAGTGAGCCAGGGAACATGAAAAGATGTCGCTGGGGAGAAATATGCAAGGAAGGATGGGAGAGGTCAGCGCCTCCACCAAGCAGGACAGACTCCCACAGCTTTTCCTAATAAACAAGTTTCCAGGGCCCTTTGAATTCTTCCAGAGAGAAGAGGAACGTTAGCATTCACATTGAGGGGAGGAACATCACGCACAGTGACCACGTGGGCCCAGATCCTCAGAAAGGGGAGTTAAAAGCTCAGGCAGGAAACAGAACTGGGAGGCGGGCTGGCACCGGAATTAGGGTTGCTGACAACTATCATCATTGAGTACCTGCTGTTTGCCAGACACCGTGCTAGGCCCAACCCATAAGGCAAGCTCAGAGAGGTGAATTGCCTTGTCTGAGGTCACATGGCCAGTAGTGGGAAGCAGGGTTCAAAGCTGGGTTCGTTGGTTCCAAGCTTTTGTTCTTCTAGATTCCACTGTGATTTGGGGCCATACAATGTGGAGGGGCCAACCCAACAAGAGGAGTCCTTTCCCAGAGGAGAAGACACAAGCTGCATCTTGAAGAATGAGTAGATGTGCTCCTGAGGGTGCAAAATCAATCAATCTGAAGTCCAGGGGATGAATTTCTGAGAGCCACAAAAGGGGTCCTCCTTACTCAAGACCAAAGACCTGAAGAGTCCTTCATCAGGGCTCTGACCTGGGGTCTGGGCCTGAGCTTCCTTCTGGATTGATGCTTATTGTAACATACCCAAGATGCTCACAGATGCTGAGGACCTCCAGCCAGTTCCAAATGAGTTTGCGGTAGGAGGATTTTTAATAGGATTGACTCTAGACTTAGCATTTCCTCCAAATGCCTTCCTGGCTGCAGGATAAAACCTCTGCCAGCCCGAACCATGCAGGTGCCAATTCTGTTTCCCAGGCCCACATCGCTTCCCACTAACTCCCTGACCCCTCTATGAGGCCAGTTCAATGTCGACCCCCTCCACACAGCTCTCCTTGGCTCCTCTGACCTTCATTTATTTCCCAGTCCCTGAGTGCCTGATAATGATAATAAAAAGCTGTTCTGCTTATTGAGTGCCTGTCACGTGCTCAGCATTTTATATATATTATCTAGATTAATTCTTATAACCCTACTCCAAGGTGGGTCCTATTGTCTTCAGTTTTCAGAGGAGACATGGAGACTCAGGGAGGTTAAGTAACTTGCCAGAGGTCACACAGCTGGGAAATGGCAGAGCAGTGAGTTGAGCCCCTTGGCTGTCTGAGCAGAGAGCTGCTGTTCCCAATCACTGTGCTTCTCTATCTGCAAGCTGCATCACAGAGGTGAACTTCTCATTCTCCTGTCTTTACATGATCTCTGTTCCATTTAATTTACCCTGACTTTCCAGGTGTGAGGAGACTGGTGTCTTCATCCCCTAGTACCATTTAAACCTACTTTTTCACTGTGCATTTAAGGCATTTTGATATGGTCAGAACTTAGTACATGATTTCTGGAGGGCACACGAGTGAGCCTGTGGGTATATCTGTGTACATGTCTGAGAACGTGCATGAGTGTGATTGTGTGCCTGTGTGTGTGTGTGCATGTGTGTGTGAGTGTGTTGGGGAAAAGAGGTCAGGAACGAGAGCAGGGAGATGGGTTGGAAGGATTTAGGGTGGTGACAGAACAGGGAGATGAGGGAGTCTGAGTGTTCCCGGGACTCTGCTGTACCCAAGGGACAAGAGAGGAGCGAGCACGGGAGTCCTTGGGGGACTACAGAGAGACCAGAGGCCCTGGGAGGGATGAGGCCTCTGGGGGTAGACACACTCCTCTTGATGATGTACTTGGTAATGGCTGCCAGGAAGCCTGGCACAAACTTATGTGGATGAATAGGGAAGAAGACAAGCTTCTTGGTAAAGTAGGCCCCACTTTACCAGATGAGGTTTGAAGAGATACAGTAACTGACACTGAGTACATATTGTGTGCTAAGTGTATTACATGCATGAAAGTATGGGATCCTCAGACCTGTAAGGGACACAGTGTGATCCTTATATTATGAATGAAGAAACTGGTCCAGAGAGGTTAAGAGGCTTGCCAAGGCCACACAGCAGATTGATGAATTTGGAAACATGGATGAGGACAAGAATGTGTCTGTCCTCCAGTGACTAAAGCTGAGAGTTCTCCTGGGGGTGCAAAATCAATCAATCTGAAGTCCAGGGGATGAATTTCCGAGAGCCACAAAGGGGTCCTCCTTACTCAAGACCAAAGGATAGGCCTGGACTCTCAGACCTTAGGGAAACTGCAGAATGGAGCTGGGGGGCTGCCAGGGGTCCAGGACAGTGGGAGTACCCAGTGCCTCTGATCATGGAGGGCCTATGTCTTTTTCACCATTGGCATAGAGTATGGTTCGGCAAGGTTAACAGAACTTTGGAGCCCTTTGGAGCTGGGTCTGGAAGGTCAAGTAAGGGTTCACCAGGGAAGTTTCAGGCAAGTGCATATTCTTAGCAGTTCATTCCTGCCTCTGAGTCATTGAGCAAGACATCTCTTCCTCTCCCCAATCTGATTCTTATCTGCCCTTCAGGGCTGAGTCCTTAGGCACACCTCCTCCAGGAATCCTTTCTTGTCTAGCGCAGCCATGTTGATCACAAGCTCGGAGTGGCCCTGCTCTGGCCTATGTGCAGGACAGTTGTGACCCAAGCTTGGCTGCTCTGCACTGGTGAAAGCACCAGAGCCTGGAGGCCCAGCCAGAAAGCAGAGGCTGGCTGAAATGGAGAGGAAAGGGGAGGAAGAGAGGGGGAGAGCCATTGTTATCTTCTGGACAAGCCCAGCAAGAGGGAGCTATGCACGGCTTCTCATTCAGAAATAAATTCTAGTCAATGAGCTGGAAGACTGCTGGGAAACAGCAGGCTTTGCCTCGGCAGCTACTAGTAGGTCCCAGAAGAATGTGCAGATGGGAATATACTAGGGATACTATGTTTAAGTGCCTCTCAACATATATTGCAATATGAGTAATGTGGCTTTTTTTCCTCTGAAGTCCCACCTAACCACTGAGGCAAAGCCATGGGGTTAGTGCTTCAGGGGAGAAAAGAGCAGGCATAGCGTAGAAAGTGGATATTGCTAGGGCAGGGGAGGGAGACGTGCCTAGAGGAGTCCCTTCAAGCTGCAAGCGGAAGGAAACCTGTTTCAGTCTTGGGAGAAAGAAAGAAGAGGAAGGCAGGGGAAGTGGTTGGACTGTGCCATCCTGCTTTCCTACAGTTTCTCCCAAAGAGAAACCCAAGAGAGATGTGTTGTAAGAAGACACAGATAAGTCTTAGGCTATGTCTGATTTCAGGGCTTACATATGATTTCCAGGGAGCTAGACTGAGGAAATTTTGCTCCCTCTTAGAGAGCGCCGCATCCAACGTGATGCCATTGCCCAAAAGACAGAGTCAGCCACGGCTGGGCAGGGAGACTACCACGTAGCAGCCAGTCTCCTTTGGCTCCTCTGGAGGAATCTGGAGTTGTCCTCCAGCTGTCACCAAAAGCTATGAGAAGTAGGAGGTGGAGCTGCCATGGGGCTGCCATTGTGAGGGTCAAGGTGACCCCAGAGGAGAGACCAGGCTGCGGGAGACTGGGCCAAGGCCAGGTGGTGTGTGGCTGAGAAACAGGGTGTGCAACATTGCTAAGAATGGAGCCGGGGCCAAGTCAGCCTGGTGGGGGAGTCCAGTGGGCAGTGAGCATGCTGAAAGAAAGACCAAAGTTCTCAGCCCTGAGCTCTGTCAGGGGAAGCCAGCAGGGGTCCAGAGAACAACCCCAAGGCTTCTCTCTTCCTTTCCCAAGACCCCTCCCTCCATCAAAGGAGGATACATAATCTCCCGCCTACTCCTAGAAGCTCTCCTGGGAAGAAAAATGGGGGAAGGGGAGAAAGGCTCAGCAAGGCTTGCTTTACCTGCAAGACACTAGGATTCCTTCAGCTGTTAAATCCAGTGGCTCACTGCTTCCCTCCACCATTCTGATGGGGGATATAGAGAGAGAGAGAAAATAAAACCTCATTTGGGGGCATAGTCCAGTGTGTAATATGTTAAATTGTTGACCATGAAACAAGATTAATCTGAGGTTCAGCCACAAATCTGTACTGAGGGCACAGTATCTCACATGTGAACTTGTTCTACCTCTTCTCTCTCAGATCATCTTTTTAGATACTCAGAAGCAGGATGTCTTCGAAGACAGTTGTGCCCCACTCCTTCCTCCCTCCGAACGGGAGGGTTCTTGCTGTGCTCCCATATTCTTCCATCTCAATTCCTATCCACCTTCTGGGGCACTTCAGTGTGTGTCCTTTCTTCCTTCTGCGGGAGAGAGTGAAAGGGGGCACGGGTGGGTTCTTCAGTAGGCGCTGTTTAGCTGGTATCTCATAGGGTGGGCACATGGCTGGCTGGAGTAGATTGCTTTAGGAAGTGCCACGTCAGAACTTTGAAGATGGTTTGAAACCATGTTTGCTGTCTTAGCTTTTGGCTACAAGTAACAATTAAGAGTAACAGAAAGTGTAGATTCTTAACATTAAGGCTAAAAAAAGGTGGATCCCAAGTCAGTTCAGTGGCTCAAGGATGTCATCAAGGACCAAGGCTCTTTCTAGCTGTTTATCTCTTATCCTCAGCATGTCAGCATTTCTGTCCCTGTGCATATTGCCTCATGGTTACAACATGGCCGCCACAACTACAGACATCACATTTGTTTTTTTTGTTTGAGACAGGGTCTTGCTCTGTCACCCAGGCTGGAGTGCAGTGGCACAATCATGGCTCACTGCAGCCTTGACCTCCCAGGTTCAAGCAATTCTCCCACCTCAGCCTCCCGAGTAGCTGGGACTACAGATGTGTGCTGCCATGCCTGGCTAATTTGTGTATTTTTTATAGAGACAGGGTTTTGCCACATTGCCCAGGCTGGTCTTGAACTCCTGAGCTCAAGCCATCCACCCACCTCGGCCTCCCAAAATGCTGAGATTACAAGCTTGAGCCACTGTGCCTGACCAAACATCACATTCTTATACATCTGTAGTCAAATCAGGCTTGTGTATCTCTCTTTTTTGGAAGGGAAATTTCTCCCAGAAGCTTAATGGTGGCTGGTTCTTGTGCCCACTTTGCAGACCACCCTCTGGGCCCACCTTCCCTGAAATGAAGACATCTATAATCATATAAGCAGGTTTCTATTAGCAGGGAGAAAGGTTGGGATGACATTGGTCTGGAAACCAACAATGTCAGTGGTTCAAGTGAGACCAAGCAAGGAAAGAGAGCCAGGGCAGGAAGCTTCATGTGACAAAAGCCGAGGAGACAACAAGGAATGTTCAGAGTGGGTCATTGCTGAGCTGCAGTGGAGGATGGTGGTGGTGGTAGTGGTGCTGATGATGGTGATGATGGTGATGATGCTCGTGTGGTGATGGTAGTGGGGATGAAGCCACACATTCTGAAGCACTTACTGTGTCTCACCCTGTATCATCACCAGGGATCCCACACTTAATCCTCCAGCAATTCTATTATTTTACTTACAAGGGAACTAAGGCTTAGTTCCCTGCACTGGCAGGTGCTGGGGCTGCAGTCATTATTGCAACCCTGGCTGTTGGTGTGGTCTGCTAGGAACACTTCAAAGCAGCTGCCATGCATAGATTCTTCCTTTTATTTTTTATCACATATTTAACAAATATTTCAAGAGTCTCCTCTGTTAAGCTATCCTACATCTTAGAATTCTAGGATACCATGGAGGACAAGATAGACAAGGTCCCTGCTCCCATGGAGCTACATTCTAATGGGCAGCATGAGGGATAATCAAGGAAGCAATTAATCAGTGAATCAATACACAAGAAAAATACCAGCTCATGGTAAGGGCAAAGAAGGACACTGTGACAAGTTGCTGCCATCAGGAGTACTTGGGGAAAGAACTTCATTTATACTGAACGGTCCAGGAAGGGCTCTCTGAAAAGGTGGCACTTGAGCTGCAACTTCTATGGAGAGATGGAGCAGCCATGTAAAGACCTGGGGAAAGGGGACTCCAGGCCCACGAACAGCAAAGAAACAACCTCTGGGGTGGTGGACAGCATTTGAAGAACAACAACGACAAAAAACCCCACCCTGACTGGAGCCCAGTTGGGCAGGGACTGAAGTACATTGGAGAGGAGTCTGGAATTTTTTCTCAAGTGGTATAAGACGCAGTGGAGCATCTTCAGCAGGGAATGCATAATCTGAATTGTGCTTTTTTGAAGTGTATCCTGGTGCGGGAAACTGCCCCTTTCTGTGGGGCTCACTGGCACACCTTGTTCCATGGGCATCGGTCCTGCCTCCCCAGGAGAACTGCAAGTTCTTGGAGGTGAGAACTCAACTGAGCTTGCCTCCTCTTGCATGTGAAGGGTGAAGGCCTGCAATGGAGATGAGTGTCATAAGTAAATATTGAAAGTTTCTGCTTTACCTGAGGGTCCTGAGAACAACCATCCCAGGTAGAAGGTGGAGCATGAAGGTATCTGCTTCTCAGAAGTTCCTGGAGTCCACCATTTCACATACCAAAGCAGACTCAGAAGAAGACATCATTTTTCCCTTGGAGATGTTTCTCCAGGTTTGTGGGGGGTTCCTCTCCATCCAGCCTCTCACACAAGCTTGGGAGCAGCCCTGGGTCTCATTAGGAGGAGGCTGTCAGATGAGCTCAGCGTCTGGTGGGTCATTCCTCCAATGAGATCTGATAGGTAGCAGACGTGTGTGCTGGGGGTGACCTGGTGAGCAGTCACCCTTCTGCCCCCGTCTGCCAGCCAGGGGGCTTCCCCACCCCTGCAAGGTGCTCCACAGAACTTGGCGCTGAATATATGAAACACGAGGCCATCCCTCATAATCAGAGCTGACTTATGGGAAAATTAAACACAGAAGGACATTCTGGCTCCAGGGAAGCTTCCTTCTATGACTTCCTGGAGGCATAGTCTGGCTGTATGCACCTTCAGGGAGAACGGCTGACCCTGCTGTCAGCCAGAGAGCTGTGACCCCAGGGTGGCAGTTGCATCTCGATGATATGTTTGTATCTGTTGGAACAGGGGGGCTAAGAACAAAAGAATAAAAATAAGGGTGGAATCTTTTTGTTTGGAATGTTCCATCTACTCTGTAAGTCCTTGTGTCTGGATATCATTTATTTTTCAGAAGTACTGAGTTGAAATCTCATTAAGTTTTTCCAGGTGAGTCAGTTATAAATTATCTAACTCCTTCTGAAGCCATTAGAAAGAATGCAAGGTCTGCTTAAGGCAGTTTACAATAAAGAGCCAAGGTGGACCAGTTCAGAGGAGCTATCAGAGTCAGAGCACAAGGAAACCTGGGAAAAGGTCTCAGGAGGTTGAACCTGGTGGAGGTGTGGCTGAGTCAGGCCATGACTCAACTCTGCTGTCACCCATTTGGACTGAAGGACAAGCTAGAGGTCCTCTCTTGCACTGCATTTGCACACTAGGCTGCAGGATGATACAGAGCCAGGGTTCATCATACTCCCTAGTTTGTCCAGAGAGCGCTTTGAAGGCTGCTGTGGGCTCCCTTTACTTAAAAAGACCCTTTCTCATTAGGATTTAAAGCATATGCTTGGCCAAGTCTGTCAAAATGCATCACAGAGATGGTCCCAAACTAACTGTTGAGCAGCCCCCTGCCCTGATCAAAGCGGAGAAGGCAGGCATCGCGCTGCCCACGGATGCTGGAGCACGTGAAGAGAGCCAGCTGGGACTACAGTCCAACAGGCCCACAAGCCACAGGCCAGAGGGCCTGTCCACGAGCTGCTGAGCAGTGAGGCACCTGGATGAACCCAGTGCCCAAGATGTCCATGAGGGGATCAACGGCTCCTCTTGTCCAAAGCCAGATCATAACAGCTTGAGCCCTGCCAGGGAATGAGAGGCTGATGTTGTAGCTGGAAGGGCTGGATGGGGAGGGGACATAGATAAGGGGATGCAATTCCCTGCTGGGCTAGTGTGGGAAATTAAAAAGCACAGACGATGTTTATGCCCTAGAGGTGAGTGGAGGACCAAAGGAGACCCTAGAAGCCCCAGATCTGAAGCCGACTCTAATTGCAACAGCTCCGTTGCTTGAGTAGTGGCCAGACACCTGGCACTGTGCCAGGGCTGTCATGCCTGGACTCATCCAAGCCTCCTAATAAATCACTGAGGGTGGGCATACTAATGTTAGCCTATAGGTTTGACAAACAATAAAATAAAACACAGAAAGATTGAGTACTTTGCCCAATGTCCCACAACTAGCCCACAGCAAAGTTAGGGTTTTAACCTACAGCTGTTTGGATACAAAGCCAGTGCCCCTAATCCCTGGGTGTACCACAGCTTAGAGATCAGACCAGGTGCAGCCCCATCATAGAGAGGAGAGATAGTCATTAGGGGACCTGAAAGCTTGGGGTACAGGTCTCCCCAGTGGAAGGCTGGCTCAGAGGAATTCCACATGTGGATGTGGGCCCGGGATCGCCGTTCAGCAGCTGCATATCCAGAGGACGACTGAAAGGGGAGGAACAAGGCACACAGGTGGGAGTCTCCTGCTGCTGACCACCCAGGATGGACCTGCCTGGGGAAGGCTGGAGGATTTGGCAGGGGCGAGGGAAAAGCAACTCACACTTCAATGCAAGAGCTCATCCCAACACCTTTTGAGACTGGGGTGTGGTCTCATTCTCTAGGAATCAGCGACTCAAAGAGGGACTCACAGAGGTGGAATGGTGGCTGGCTCATGGTCACCACAGTAGAGAAGCTAGTTTCAGAAGAAAACTGCAAATAAATCTTGGAATGTTCCATCTGGGACCTCAATGGCTTTGTCCTGGGAAGGTTTTGGCCAAAAAAGAGGGTGCTGTGTCTGAGATGAGGAGAGAGGTGTGAATGTCCAGCTCCTTGGGCTCTGCTCTTCTTGTCCCTGGCTGGAGCTCCTGACTCAGGCAGGCAGGGGCATCGCAGGACCCATGGGTGCAGAGCCCAGAGCCAGGACCTCAGTTTACTCTGGTTGTCTTCCTGCCTATCTGGGCTGAGATGGGGATCCAGCTCAGCAGCATGTACGGTGTCCCCCACATACCCCAGTGTCACAACTGCTCCAGCTCGGCTTCCTCAGCAGCCCTGGCTCCATGCTTAGGACCCGTGGTGGGTCCCTGGTATTCACTATGATGCTGCCTGCCCAGCCCTCTGCCCCTGCTCCAGTGCCCAACACACCAAACTTGTCAGCCCGGCCTCTGGGGCTGGCACCTGTCCAGTGTTTCCTTCTAACCCCCACCTGGGCACTGGCCTCAGAGTCATATGCTCCTGGGTTAAAAACTCTGCCACTTACTAGCTATACTCGCTGGGCAAATGACTTTATTTGTGGTGCTCGTTATTAAGCCATTGTCTCTCAGCTTCAAACCAGCGTCCCTCTGTGATGTTCTGGGATCCCACAAATCACCAGTATGCCTTGCCAGAACTCCTTGTTAGGCTCTGCCAAGAGGGGGCACTAGAGGGAGCCTGCAACACTGGTGGATGGAGAAGGGGTCAGCTCCTTTGTGTCTGTTTCCTGTTCTGTTGGCAACACCCCAGCAATGCAATGGCCCTGCACCCCAGCAGCAGCCGCTGGTTCCAGCTGTCAGTTTCCTCCCCATTCGCAGACCTGTCCCATGGGGTCCTCTGAGAGACACCCCCTCAGAAATCTGGGCCTCAGCCTTGCAGCCCCCTCCCAAGTGTCCACATCTTTATAAGCCCACACTCTCACCCTTGTTCCCTCAGCCCTAGGGGCTGTTACTGACCCTGAGGATCTTTTCATGTGCTTATTTGCCATCCCTGTATTTTCTTTGAAGTGTCTGCTCAAATCATTTGCCTATTTTAAACAATTAGATTACTTCCTTATTATTGACTTGTAAGAGGGCTTCATATATTCCTGCTGTTACTACCTCTGATGTCTCAGCATTCCCCTTTGCCTTTCTGTTCTGCAAGCCCTGGTTAACAGTGCCTTATATGAAATTCGCTTTGTCAAAAAGACATTTTCTGTCTCCCAACAGACATACTAGTCTGTGCCTCCGATTCCTCATCCATCAAAGGGGAACAGTGACTCCACCTCACAGGTGGCAGTGAGGAGTCAGCCAGAAGATGCCTGTGAAGGGCATCATGGCCCAAGGCCTGGCACCGAGGTAGGACCTGGTTCGAGTGGCTGAAGACTCAGCAGCTTCAACAGGGTCCCTATCGTGAGCCCCCAGAGCTGTGCCTTCCTGTTTGCTTTAGGCCAAGGGAAGAAGCAGAGTGCCTCTGTGGGCTCCTCTCAGCTGACGCAGAGGCGGTTTTTCCAGCCAGCTTCTCTCCTTTGAGAACTCGTGCGATAAAGGAGAACCTGGGCAACCCTGGAGTGAGGCAGGGTGAGGAGAACTGGCCCTTCTTACATGGCCTAATAGTCACATTTAAGAAGTACCCTAATGAGAGATTTTTTAAAAGTCTGGTTTTCAAATTTCACTGTTAAGAAACAAAAGGGCAGGCCATAAACTGGAGGGAATTAACTCAATGTTAAGTATACAGACAACTTAAAAAAAGCAGAAGATTTGAACAAACACTTCACAAAAGAAGATATCAGAATGGGCAGCAGGCACATGAAAAGATGCCGAATGTCATTAGTCATAGAGAAATTCAAAGTAAACTACAATGAGATATCACCACCTCCTCTCCCACTAGAATGGCTAACATTAAAAAGACAGAAGATTCTGTGCTGATGAGGATGTGGAGCAATTAGTACCCTCATACTTTGCTGGTGGGTTGCAAAAAATAAGACCATTTTAGAAAATTGATTGGCAGTTTCTTATCTAGTTAAACAGAGGCTTATCATATGACCCAGCAATCTCCTTCCTGGATATTTACCTGAGAGAAATGAAAACATTTGTCTGTATAAAGTCTCCTTTGCAAATAGTCATAGAAGCTTTATTCATAATAGCAAAAACCTAAAAATAGCCCACACGTCCATCAATAGGTGAAGGAATAAATAAATCATGACATATTGGCACAATGGAATACTAACTCATTGGTGAAATCAATAAACAACCTGTATACACAATAAATCTCAAAATCATGCAGAGTGAAAGAAATCAGACATCGAAGAGTACATGCTGGGTTATTCCATCTATATGAATCTCCAGAAAAGACAAATCCGTTCTATAATGACAGGAAGTAGCTCCGTGGCTGCTCAGAGGCAAGGCTGGGGTGGAGCACTGATGGGGAAGGGGAGCAGGGTACCTAGAGTGATGGGAGTGTTCTGTACAACAGCTGTATACATTCCCCAAGGCTTACCAAAGGGTACATCTAACATGGATGCGTTTTATTATGTGTCAGTTGCACCTCAATAAAGTTGATTTTTAAAATGTCACTTAGACATGAAACAGTCTTCATAAGACTGACATACAAGGAAGGGACCCATCACCACAGAGAGCCTCCAAATGGAGCCTCCTTTGAAGGAAACCCCCTTCAAACACCCCTGTGCTGAGCATTTTCTGTGTACACCCACTCTCCTGCCATCCTGTTCTGTGTCCAGAAGTTTGACCAGAATGGACTGCATAAAGACTCTCTTGTCCACTGTGTTCTTGTTAGATTAGACCAATGCAAGGTACCAGCAGGAGATCTAAGGGCAGGGGATAAATGGGTGGGAGTTATTTATTCCTCTAGCAGATCCTGCAGGGTTGTGGCAGGCTGCTCATGTCCCTGGACTGAAGGTCACAGCTCCCTCCAGGCACCCCTGCCTGGACCATGCTCCCCTTCCAGGTTCTGGTAAACCTTTCATCCTCCCACCCTTTCAGAATCTGTACTGTCCCTGAGGTGTCCCTAGATCTCACTCATGAGGTCCGAGGTCATGCTATTTGAATAGTTATTAAATTCCCTTCAAGTGATCCTAAATCGAATGTGCCATCTCTTGCCTGCTCGGCACCTGACTGATATGGCACATGGTCTTTTTTTTGTGAAACAAAACAGAGCTGAGACCCTGGCAAGAGTATCAGGGTGCCTGTGGAGGTGGTGGAAGCAGAGCCGAGGGGCCCTTCGTTTCCTGTTGATATGCAGGCTCTCACACCAGTGCCTGTGCCCCAGGAAGCATGCTCCTCTTTCAAAGCCTTGGCCCAGGTCTGGACCCAAATTCCTTCCCTTGTTTCCCCAAAGGAGCTAATAATTTTTAAATCAGTCAGGGCCAAGGGCTATTAGCAGGGATACAGGTAGAAGACACAAGAGGTCTGAACCATCACGAGTGACACTGAGTGAGGTGGAGAGCCCATGGTAGCCGCTGCCAACCACACTCCTCAGCATCTCACAGCGGCTGTGCTGCCTCTGACAGTGACCAGTCATGGCTGCCACTTAGTAGCCACTACTATGCCCTGGATGCCGGTCTGGCCATTTTACCAACATCATTTTATCTCTTCCTCATGCCAACGCTATGCCATAGACATCAGTTTTTACACACGACGAAGCTGAGGTTCAGCAAAATCAAGTAACTTGTCCAAGGTCACGCTGCTTCTAAGTGGCAAGTCAAGATTCAAACACAAGTTTGAGTTTGAATTCTAGTATAGGTTGCTGCTGTCTTCCTTATTAATCTTGGAGTGAAAAAGCTCAGAGTTTGTTTGGGTGGTTCACCCATAAGTGGATGTGAAAGGATGTAGTTCTTGGTACCACCAAAAATGCCTCATTGAAACCCTGGACCCCCAGGCCCTCCTGAGAGTGGTGGCGGGGCGGCCAACCAGGCCTTCTCTCTACCTGGCCCCCTGTGGCCTCTGCAGCACCCCACAGTAGAGCAGAACCCAGAGGACTCACCTCACTGGGCAGGGCACTCATCCTTAGCATTGGGAGCCCCTCTGTGTGCCAGTTTCTTGGGTGATTGTTGCGGGCCAGTGTCAGACTGCCCAGGTATCTGAAGCGCTTTGTGAGGGTGTCCCAGCAACAACCCTGGTCCTGGGCTCCCCTTGCGGCCAGATGCTAAGACCCAGAAATCCCACTCCTAGGTATGTGCCCTAGAGAAACGTCCACATGTGCACCGGGAGATCTGTACTTCACCTCATGGGTCTCCCTGCTGATCTTCCCAAACACCCAACTGCATTCTCTGTAATTATTCTAGAGTGTATGAAATCTTTATGTAGAACTTAAAGGATGCACTTTAAATGAACCCCCATGTACATTGCCAGGATCTTAGAAGCCCCATGTGAGCATCTTCCTTTTTCTCCTAGACCAGGATGTCTCAAGGTCGGCACTATGACATGGTGGGAAGAATAATTCCTTGGTGTTGGGGGTGTGGGCCGGGGAGGGATGTCCTGTGCGTTGTAGGATATTTAGCAGCGTCCCTGGCCAATAGCATCTAGTACATGCCGGTAGCATGTTTACCCTGCTTCCCACCCCTCCTCAGGGTCATCACAATCAAATACACCCCTCCAGACATTGACAGATATCCTACAGACATTGACAAATCATCCCCAGTTGAGAACCTCTGTCCTAGAGAAACCACTAGATGGAAATAAACCACCTTTCTGACTTGGTGCTAATCCTAGTTTTCATTTTGAGATTTGTTACCTCCATGTACACATCCCGAAGCAATATAGTTTTGAATGTTCTAAAACTTCATGAGAATGGAACCATGCAATATGCACTTTTTTTTGCATCTGGCCTTTTTTGCCAAAATTGTGCTTGTGAGATTCATCCTTATTATTGCATGCAGCCACCTTGTGTTCATTTTCATTGCTGTATAGCATTCTATTGTGTGAACGTGCCACTGTTCAATCGTTCACATTCTGTCACTGCTGGCCCTCGGGGAGCTGTTTCCAGTTGGGGCTTCTATGAGCATTGCTGCTGGGAGTGTTCCAGTACAGATCTCCTGGTGCACATGTGGATGTTTCTGTAGGGCACATACCTAGGAGTGGGATTTCTGCGTCTTAAGGAATGAATGTCTCCAGTGTTTTTTGGAGAAGTTGAACTAAATGGGCTTCCCACTGGCAGAATGTTATGTTCCTACTGTACCACATTGTTGCCAACATTTGAGATGGCTGACTTAAATTTTTGTCAATGATGCCCATTGCATCATTGTTCCCTTTTGTCTGCTCACGTTGGGACTGGACCCCATCCTATCCTGTGTGTCCCGAGCCTGCTTCTGTCCAGGCACTTTCCACTGCGTTGTGGCTGCATCATCTCCATCCCTCCCTCCGGTCAGGAGCCCCCACGATGGCAAGGATGTGTCCTTCTCCTCTGTGTGTCCCCTGTGTCCTCCTCCAATCCTGGGAGAAGGCTGTGTGTTGGAAGAATGAATGAATGATTTTGAGAGGTGGCCCATGCATGGGTTGGTCTCTCTTTCTGACAAAAGGAAAACTGCAGGCCAGCAGGGCTAAGGGATGGGCCCAGGGCTTTGGGGGAGGCAGGGCAGAGGCTCCTGTTTCTTAACCCCTGTACTTCCCAGCGGGCCACTCGGCCCTGACTGCTCCTTGGGCTTAGAGAACAAAAGCAAAAGACCCCAGAGTCCTCATCCGTCTCATGATTCTCCACCAACCTCCATCCCCAGATATACTTTGTCTTGAAAGCCACTTGGGGCCCCAAAATTGGGGCAGCAGAGAGCCAGCCCCATCTTGGACACTAGCTATGCTTCCCTGAGGGGGCCGGATTTCTGGAAGGCCTTAGTTGGGTTGGAGAGGGAATGGGCTGATGGTGTGAGCTTGTCTATTTCTCTGCTACATTCTGGGACCAATTACACTGATGAATTCTGGTCATCAGAGAGCATATCCAGCAAGGTTTCTGGAAAGGAAGGCAGACAGGCACTGTATTAGTCCATTTTCATGCTGCTGATAAAGACATACCCAAGACTGGGTGATTTATAAGGAAAAAGAGGTTTAATGGAGACTCACAGTTCCACGTGGCTGGGGAGGCCTCATAATTATGGCAGAAGGCAAAAGGCACGTCTTACACGGTGGCAGACGAGACAGAAAATGAGAGCCAAGCTAAAGAGGAAGCCCCTTATAAAACCATCAGATTTCGGGAGACTTATTCTCCACCACAAGAACAGTATGGGGGAAACTGCCCCCATGATTCAATTATCTCCCACAACATGTGAAAATTATGGGAGCTACAATTCAAAATGAGATTTGGGTGGGGACAGAGCCAAACCATGTCAGGCACTGAGGAGGCAGCAGCTGGCCAGACTGGCAGCCTGGAATGGTGATAGCAGTGGAAACAGGTGCAAGGAGGCCACAGTGAGGGAGAGGCTTTCCCTCCCAGGGAACATGGGTGCCTGCCAGCAGGCCGCCTGGCATGATGGGGGCGGGTGAGCAGCTGGCATGGTAGGTAGCCGGTGCACTTGGGGCCACTGTGTGCATGGCCATATTAGGTGCTTTACCAGCAACATCTCATTTTCCTCTCAAGTAACCCTTTTGAGACAGGGCCAACATCATTCCATTGCACAGAGGAGGCCTCAGCTCAGGGATGAGAAGCAGAGCACCCAGTCTGCCATGGAAGCTGGGGACCTTGGGAAGACTGTTAAATGGGCCCCTGGGCCTCCCACTGCACCACACTGTCCCTTGACAGCCACAGTCACAAGTCTAAGCCACATTGACAACAGTGGAGGGGGCTGCTCTGGACTGAATTGTGTCCCCCCGAAACTTGTATGTTGAAGCCCTAACACCCAATGTGGCTGTATCTGGAGATAGAGTCTTTAAGAGGTAATTAAGGTTAAGTGAGGTCATAAGGGAGGGCTGTAATCTTGTAGGATTTTGGCCTTGTACGAAGAGGAACAGAGGGAGATCTCTGTCCCCTCCATGGGCACACATGGAGGAAAGGCCATATGAGGACATAGAGAGAAGGCAGTCTCTACAGGGAGGAAGAGGGCCCGCGCCGGAACCTGACCAACCATGCTGGCACCCTGATCTCAGACTTCCGAGCCTGTGGAACTAGAAGAAAATTAATTACTTTTGTTTAAGCCACCCAGTCTATGGTATTTTGTTAGGGCAGCCTGAGCTGACTAAGACCAGAGAGGAGGCAGAGAGGTCCCCTTCAACCAGTGGACTCCTTGTAGAGTCTCATGAAGGAGTAGGGTTGCCAGATAAAATACAGGATGCCCAGTTCAATTTGAATTTCAGATAAATATTAAATAATATTTTTAATATAAATATGTTCCAAATATTGCATGGGATATACTGGTACTAAATGATTATTTGTTGATTATATGAAGTTCAAATATATCTGGGTGTCCTGTATTTTTATTTGGTAAATCTAGCAACCCGAAGGAGCAGGCCTGTGCTCCTGTGCTTTATCCCTATTTGATTAAGCTGAGCAGCTCCCCCAAGGGTTCTGAGCTGGTGTAGGGCCTGGCTGGCAGTGGGACACAGGCACCCTGGTTCCAAGCCCTGGCCCTTTCCACACAGCTGCCACCTCTGAGAGCTAATTGCTGAACAAAGTTGCAACCTAACATCTGGGGCATGTGTCAAGCCACAACAGAGCCTGTCTTCCCTTTCATCAGGCAGGGCCGGGGGAGCTGCTGGAGCCATCAGAGGGAGGGAAAGCCCTCAACTCAAAGGCCACCTCACCAAGAATTCCAGCTCCCGCCCTCTAGATTCGCTTTTGGCTTTGTTTCTCAGACTCACTTGGCTTTGGGGACTGAGGTTGTACTTGTATGTAGTAAGAATATACTGTTTATTTTTTCCACTGGGGGGAAAATACCACCTCCATTAAACTGTGCATTACGCTTTTCTAAATCTTTTACATCTATCCATTAATTCTCATGGCAACCCTGTGAAATGCCTGTGTGTACTGTTATCCCCATATTGCAGACAGAAAAACTGAAGCACAAAGCACTCCTGACACAGATGGGAGTTGGCTTCTCAGCCTCTTTTCTGGCTCAAGGGTCTTGCCAGGCTACCACGGGGAGGGGAAAAAAATCACATAACATGAAATTGCTCTCAGATCTCAGAACATACATCTTGCCAAGCCGGAATCCAAAAAAACCGAGCCTCCCATTGCCCCAGATTCTGCCTTCTTCCCCTGCCTTTTCCCTGTAGGAAGAAGGATCGTAATGCACGGAAATAAACTTTCCTCCAGAGAGGCAGTCCCCATGAGTATCTTTAGGCCAACTCAACTTCTCCAATTCTTGCCCTTCTACTCCTTCTGTAGGCTTTCTGTTGCTGGGGTTCAGAGTTGATGTTCAAGGGATGTTTCACCCAAAGTTATCAAAAATGATGGGCACTGTGAACATTGGCATTTGGGAAAGATTCTCAGCCACAGGCAGAGAATGGAAAGCAATTTCAGGTGCCTCCTTTACTTCCCAACAGAAGAGCCCACTGGCCAAGACGTCTGGCCCACAACTAAGGCCTCCTGGCCAACAGTTCCAAGGATTGGTGATGAGGTTGCTGTGGAGGGAAAGCCAACCCTGCCACTCTGTGTAGGAGGAGGCCAGGCTGGCTGCAGCATATCTTCCTTCTTGTGTGTGTCTGGCATGTGAGCACAGCACATGGTCCTGTGGTTTTGCGTGGCTTTCCCTGTCCACCACGCATTTCATTTCGTGTGTGTGTGTGTGTGTGTGTGTGCTGGGAGTGGGAGGCCGCTGTGGTTCCATAACCCAGCTTCTCTCTGAGACAGCTCAGACAGGCCTGGGGCTGGGCTTCCTGCCTCGTGGGGAGGTGGGAGGCGAAGCCTGGAGACACTCTTCCTGTGTCAGGGCAGGTGAAGCATGTGTGTGAACAGCACTGAATCAGCTGTCAAGGCAGTCTACTGCGGCCAGCTGGGCCTGTCCTCCAGAGACAGAAAGAACCAGCGGACCTCGACCCTCAAGCCCATTTCAACCATCAGGAGAACTTGGAGGAGGAGCAGTGTTTTGAATCAAGTGTTTCACAATTAAGAGCAGGGTGAAGTGCACAGTGATTACAAGAGCTTCCCGGCTGTGCCCCTCTCCCATTCCCACCGCTGCTGGAGGGACCTGTCCAGGGGCTGCCCCTTCTTAGATGGAGATTGAGAATCCATAAATATTCCCTGATGGCTGCAGAACTGGGTTCAGATTCAGTGTCCAGGCACTGAAGGCCCCCTCAGTCTGGCCCTGTCTTCACCTTCTGGCCACATGGGCCAGATCCCACTCGCTGACACTTCCCAATCACTATGCTTGTGTGAGTCCCACTCGCTCTCACACCCTTAACCCTGACTACCTGGCTCAAGGCCCATGTCTCCCTCCCACCCTGCTGTCATCTTCCTGGCACTTTCTGCCCACACCAGCCACTTTGTACATGTCCCAAGGCTGTCCAAAGGTGTTATCTTTTTGTGATAACCACATCTCACAGGTGGCTAGAGATTTCCAACAGACAAAGCACATCCACAAGACACATCATTTATTTCTCACTGCAACCCTACAAAGTAGGGATTACTGTCCCCACTCTGCAGATGAGCCTCAGAGGAGTTACCGCAGTGACTCTGACTTTAAATTACTGGTTTGTGGAGGCTGAGCTTGCGTTACAGATTTGATGGGCTCCTGACGCAGGCTCTCTCCTCTACCACACCCTGAAATTCATGGCAAAGGCCTGTGGGCACAGGTGGGGTTACCAAGTGCCAGACTAGATGGGAGGGAAATGTGGCCCCCACCTCATGGAAAAGTAAGTCTCCCCAAAGAAATGGTTGTGGAGATTTATCACTAAATTTACAGCATTAGAAAGAGGGGTTTGCATGCCCAGATGTAGCCTTGGGTATTTAGGAACTAGACAGGGTCTTGCAGCAAAGTCACCCTCTCTCCTAGAACGGGTGCTGTTGGCTCCCACAGCCCCCTCTGTCCTGAGAGACCCTATGCCTCTGTGGCAGGAAGGAGAGAGGGTGGAGGGTCTGTCTGCAGTGCCAGTGGAGAAGGTAGCATGAGGCTGCATGAAAAGGAGAATGCATTCTGTCTCTGTGTGAGTCCAAGAGATGCGGAACACGGAGCCGGGCTGCCCCAGCTCCACTGAGGGCGTGGCCCGGAAGGGCAGCCTAAGGTTTAATCGCCAGAGAGGACGCCTTGCTCCAGCGTTTGGCTCCCCACGGCGGTCCCACAGCGCCACCTAGCGGCCCCCCCGCCAGGAGAACACGCGTCCCTCACTACGCGGAGGAGGGCGCTGTCCAGGAATCTGGAGCACCTCTGAACTTGCTAGGTGCTTGCATGCCGCCTCCAGTGCCTGCCGCTTGGCCCACACATGCCTTGTCCACGCTGTCCCTGCTCCTTACCTGCACCCAAGATGACCATCCCCGCCCTTCCTCTCTCAAGTGATTTTGGGGAACAAATGAAAAGGCCGTAATGTAAAATGGTAAAGCGCTCTGCAAAGGTAGTACTGGGTACCACTCACTGAGAATCTTCTCTGCACCCCACGCTGCTAGACATGTCATGAGGATTATCACTAAGCCCCGTGGCAACACTGAAAGGTGGGGATTATCAAGCCCATTTTACAAAAGAGAAATTGAATTTCAGAGAAGTGGAGTAACACATACAAATTCACCCTACTAGTACAAGACAGAGCCGGGATTCACATTAATTTCAAAGCCTGTGGGTCTCTGGCTCCCCTGGGAAGAACCATTGCTATTATCATCACTGTATTCTTAGAGCTGCTGCTGCTGCTGCTGCAGTGGAAGAACACAGCCCCTTCCAACACACAGATATGGGTTCAAGCCACTTGCCACTCAGCAGCTGTTAGGGCTTGGACAGGCCACATACCACCCCACAGCCTCACCTCACACCTCCTTCCCAGAAGTGTCCTGCCCTCTTGCCACACCTCAATTATGTCTTCCTCTAGGGAGGTCTCCCCCACTGAGCACCCAGCTCTCAGGGTGAGGGGGCTTGTTGTCCCCAGATCTGCAGCCCTGCTAGGAGCCCCAAACTATCTGATGCCAGGCTCTCATGCTGTCCCCATCATTACCCACTCCTGTGTCAATATCACCTCCCCTCAGCTGGGCTGGGGCCTCCTCACAGTACACAGGCCCAACATGCGGCAGCACTCTACAGGAACTCTGCAGGGCGGTCTAGAAACATGCCCACACGCTCTTTCACACTTGTCCCTTCAAAAAGTGGAGTCTAATTCATCTCTCCTTGAATACTGGCCAGCTTTAGCAACTAGCTTCTACTGAATAAAGTGAGATGGGAGTGATGCTGTGTGATTTCCAAGACGAGGTTAGAACAGGTGATATGGCTTTGGACTGGCTCTCTATCTCCTGAGATGCCGACTTTTGGAATCCAGCCACCAGGATATGAAGAAGTGCAGGCCACACAGAGAAGCCACGTGTAGGTATTCTGCCTGACAGCCCCCACTGAGATCTCAGCTGACAGCCAACATCAACTGGCACACATGTGACAAATAAGCCTTTGGATGATCACAGGCACAGCCTTTGAGCTACTCCAGCTGGTACAAGAGAGGGCAGAGATGAGCTGTCCCCACCAAGCCCTACCCAAATTTCAGATTCACGAGCAAAATAAATGCTGCCAAGTTTTGGAGAGTTGGTTACAGTGCAGTGGACAACCAGAACATTCTGCTAACTTGCACAATTGTGAGCAGCCACTAAGTACTGAGCACACACAAGGATGAACTGTGGGCTCTGTCCGCCCCCCAGATCATCATCGTTGCTGTTCTCCAGTCCTTAGAAGGGCTGGTTCTTCTCATCTTTGCCTGGAGGCCTGGGCCCTGCTCTGCTAATTCTACTCATCATTATTTATTTATTCATTTATTCGATGGGGTATTTTTTTTTTTTTGAGACGGAGTCTTGCTGTGTCACCCAGGCTGGAGTGCAGTGGCACGATCTTGGCTCACTGCAACCTCCGCCTCCCAGGTTCAAGTGATCCTCCTGCTTCAGCCTCCCGAGTAGGTGGGATTACAGGTGCGTGCCACCATGCCCGGCTAATTTTTGTATTTTTAGTAGAAATGGGGTTTCACCATGTTGGCCAGGCTGGTCTCACGCTCCTGACCTCAGGTGATCTGTCTGCCTTGGCCTCCCAAAGTGCTGGACTGACAGGCATGAGCCACCGCACCTGACCCATTTATTCAATGGCTATTTCTTGAGCTTCTACTATGTGTCAAACACACTGATGTCTACTGAAGATATAGTGCTAAAGGCTCTGCCCTTATGGAGCCTTTAGCCAGGAAGGTAAAATAGATAATAACCAAGTAAACTAACAATTATTTAATTAAACTCTTCATAAGCACTATCAATGCAGGGCTAGGATACTATGACAGCATGTAACAGGGGAACCTGCTTAGTCTTGCTGCTCACGTCTCTGCAGCCCGCCTCATCCTTTAGCTCACTCCAACCACTCATTAGGAAATCCTCTGCCATGGAGACCCTCCATCCTAGACATTCAGTGGCAGTTCCAATTTCCTGGAATGTCATGCTTTTTATAATTGCTTCATGATTTGTATTAGTTTGTGAGTCCTCATCAACTATAGTTTTTAAACCAGAAGAAAAATATCCTTTGAAAATTCTAGGTCTAGAAAATGCATGGCCTGCAATCTTAAATTACTCCTTAATGGTATCATTGAGGTGTTTTTGTCCCGCCAACTTCATTGAGGAGGACTTCCACTTCCAACCAAGATAGAGGAACAGGGACCAGACTTACCTGAAATAAGGAAACGAAACAGGCAAAATATATAAAACTTGTTTTTAAGATACTGGACAGTGGCTTGAAATGAAGGTCAGTGATTCCTGAAAGAGAGGATACAAACAAGAGGATCCCTACTATTTTCACAACTTACTGCCTTGAGGGACTTTCCAGGCGATGGCACAGAGAGGGGAATCCAGGCAGAGCCTAGAAAACTCCCTGCATTCAGGAGATAACACTGAGTGCTCAGGGAGACCAAGGTGGCTAGGGTTTGCTAATCAGAGTACCAAAGAGACAGAGCGCTACACAGACAGGGAACTCAGGATCTGCAAAGGGTCCTCATCAATTACTCAGCAGAGTACTGATCAGAGCATGTGTATGAAGAAACTGCCTGAAAGCTGTGGGTCAGGGAAGGCATCCAGGAGGATTAGGAACAGTGGACAGAACACACACATAGAGTGCTGAAAATAGTGCCTGGTTCCACCAACAAGAATGGAACAACTCCTAAATTATGGGGCATTGGGTAGAATCTTTGTAAAGTCTTGCCTTAGTAATGGGAAATAAATAGCCCTAGATGGAGCTATTTATTTAAATGGCTCAACAAATTGTGAAGGAATATCCAAAAAGAGCAAATGTTTCCAATTTGCTAACTACACTCTGGACAAGAATATCTATAAGAATACCAAAAAATGCAGCACCCAAAAAAGTAAAATTCATAATGTGTGACATCCAAACAAAGATTAACAGGCATATAAAGGCAGAAAAAACATAATGCCTCATGAGAACTAGTTAATGTAAACTAACCCAGAACTGACACACACATAGAATTAGCAGAGAAGGACATGAAAAGTGATTATAACTGTATTCCATCTCTTTTGAAAGTTAAGCATAAACGTAGAACTTACAAAAAAGGCCTAAATCAGGGGTTGCAATCCTAGTCTCTGATAAAACAGACTTTAAACCAACAAAGATCAAAAGAGACAAAGAAGGCCATTACATAATGGTAAAGGGATCAATTCAACAAGAAGAGCTAACTATCCTAAATATATATGCACCCAATACAGGAGCACCTAGATTCATAAAGCAAGTCCTGAGTGACCTACAAAGAGACTTAGACTCCCACACAATAATATTGGGAGACTTTAACACCCCACTGTCAACATTAGACAGATCAACGAGACAGAAAGTTAACAAGGATACCCAGGAATTGAACTCAGCTCTGCACCAAGTGGACCTAATAGACATCTACAGAACTCTCCACCCGAAATCAACAGAATATACATTTTTTTCAGCACCACACCTATTCCAAAATTGACCACATAGTTGGAAGTAAAGCTCTCCTCAGCAAATGTAAAAGATCAGAAATTATAGCAAACTGTCCCTCAGACCACAGTGCAATCAAAGTAGAACTCAGGATTAAGAAACTCACTCAAATCCGCTCAACTACATGGAAACTGAACAACCCTGCTCCTGAATGACTACTGGGTACATAACAAAATGAATGCAGAAATAAAGATGTTCTTTGAAACCAATGAGAACAAAGACACAACATACCAGAATCTCTGGGACACATTCAAAGCAGTGTGTAGAGGGAAATTTATAGCACTAAATGCCCACAAGAGAAAGCAGGAAAGATCCAAAATTGACACCCTAACATCACAATTAAAAGAACTAGAAAAGCAAAAGCAAACACATTCAAAAGCTAGGAGAAGGCAAGAAATAACTAAAATCAGAGCAGAACTGAAGGAAATAGAGACACAAAAAACCCTTCAAAAAATTAATGAATCCAGGAGCTGGTTTTTTGAAAGGATCAACAAAATTGATAGACCGCTAGCACGACTAATAAAGAAGAAAAGAGAGAAGAATCAAATAGACGCAATAAAAAATGATAAAGGGGATATCACCACCGATCCTACAGAAATACAAATTACCATCAGAGAATACTACAAACACCTCTACGCAAATAAACTAGAAAATCTAGAAGAAATGGATAAATTTCTCGACACATACACCCTCCCAAGACTAAACCAGGAAGAAGTTGAATCTCTGAATAGACCAGTAACAGGCTCTGAAATTGTGGCAATAATCAATAGCTTACCAACCAAAAAGAGTCCCGGACCAGATGGATTCACAGCGAAATTCTACCAGAGGTACAAGGAGGAGCTGGTACCATTCCTTCTGAAACTATTCCAATCAATAGAAAAAGAGGGAATCCTCCCTAACTCATTTTATAAGGCCAGCATCATCCTGATACCAAGCCGGGCAGAGACACAACCAAAAAAGAGAATTTTAGACCAATATCCTTGATGAACATTGATGCAAAAATCCTCAATAAAATACTGGCAAACCGAATCCAGCAGCACATCAAAAAGCTTATCCACCATGATCAAGTGGGCTTCATCCCTGGGATGCAAGGCTGGTTCAATATACGCAAATCAATAAATGTAATCCAGCGTATAAACAGAACCAAAGACAAAAACCATATGATTATCTCAATAGATGCAGAAAAGGCCTTTGACAAAATTCAACAACCTTCATGCTAAAAACTCTCAATAAATTAGGTATTGATGGGACGTATCTCAAAATAATAAGAGCTATCTATGACAAACCCACAGCCAATATCATACTGAATGGGCAAAAACTGGAAGCATTCCCTTTGAAAACTGGCACAAGACAGGGATGCCCTCTCTCACCACTCCTATTCAACACAGTGTTGGAAGTTCTGGCCAGGGCAATTAGGCAAGAGAAGAAAATAAAGGGTATTCACTTAGGAAAAGAGGAAGTCAAATTGTCCCTGTTTGCAGACGACATGATTGCATATCTAGAAAACCCCATTGTCTCAGCCCAAAATCTCCTTAAGCTGATAAGCAACTTCAGCAAAGTCTCAGGGTGCAAAATCAATGTACAAAAGTCACAAGCATTCTTATACACCAATAACAGACAAACAGAGAGCCAAATCATGAGTGAACTCCCATTCACAATTGCTTCAAAGAGAATAAAATACCTAGGAATCCAACTTACAAGGGATGTGAAGGACTTCTTCAAGGAGAACTACAAACCACTGCTCAATGAAATAAAAGAGGATACAAACAAATGGAAGAACATTCCATGCTCATGAGTAGGAAGAATCAATTTCGTGAAAATGGCCATACTGCCCAAGGTAATTTATAGATTCAATGCCATCCCCATCAAGCTACCAATGACTTTCTTCACAGAATTGGAAAAAACTACTTTAAAGTTCATATGGAACCAAAAAAGAGCCCATATCGCCAAGTCAATCCTAAGCCAAAAGAACAAAGCTGGAGGCATCATGCTACCTGACTTCAAACTATACCACAAGGCTACAGTAACCAAAACAGCACGGTACTGGTACCAAAACAGAGATATAGATCAATGGAACAGAACAGAGCCCTCAGAAATAACGCTGCATATCTACAACTCTCTGATCTTTGACAAACCTGAGAGAAACAAGCAATGGGGAAAGGATTCCCTATTTAATAAATGGTGCTGGGAAAACTGGCTAGCCATATGTAGAAAGCTGAAACTGGATCCCTTCCTTACACCTTATACAAAAATTAATTCAAGATGGATTAAAGACTTACATGTTAGACCTAAAACCATAAGAACCCTAGAAGAAAACCTAGGCAATACCATTCAGGACATAGGCATGGGCAAGGACTTCATGTCTAAAACACCAAAAGCAATGGCAACAAAAGCCAAAATTGACAAATGGGATCTAATTAAACTAAGGAGCTTCTGCACAGCAAAAGAAACTACCATCAGAGTGAACAGGCAACCTACAAAATGGGTGAAAATTTTCGCAACCTACTCATCTGACAAAGGGCTAATATCCAGAATCTACAATGAACTCAAACAAATTTACAAGAAAAAAACAAACAACCCCATCAAAAAGTGGGCAAAGGACATGAACAGACACTTCTCAAAAGAAGACATTTATGCAGCCAAAAAACACATGAAAAAATGCTCATCATCACTGGCCATCAGAGAAATGCAAATCAAAACCACTATGAGATATCATCTCACACCAGTTAGAATGGCAATCATTAAAAAGTCAGGAAACAACAGGTGCTGGAGAGGATGTGGAGAAATAGGAACACTTTTACACTGTTGGTGGGACTGTAAACTAGTTCAACCATTGTGGAAATCAGTGTGGCGATTCCTCAGGGATCTAGAACTAGAAATACCATTTGACCCAGCCATCCCATTACTGGGTATATACCCAAAGGACTATAAATCATGCTGCTATAAAGACACATGCACACGTATGTTTATTGCAGCATTATTCACAGTAGCAAAGACTTGGAACCAACCCAAATGTCCAACAATGATAGACTGGATTAAGAAAATGTGGCACATATACACCATGGAATACTATGCAGCCATAAAAAATGATGAGTTCATGTCCTTTGTAGGGACATGGATGAAATTGGAAACCATCATTCTCAGTAAACTATCGCAAGAACAGAAAACCAAACACCGCATATTCTCACTCATAGGTGGGAATTGAACAATGAGATCACATGGACACAGGAAGGGGAATATCACACTCTGGGGACTGTGGTGGGGAGGGGGGAGGGGGGAGGGATAGCATTGGGAGATATACCTAATGCTAGATGACGAGTTAGTGGGTGCAGCGCACCAGCATGGCACATGTATACATATGTAACTAACCTGCACAATGTGCACATGTACCCTAAAACTTAAAGTATAATTAAAAAAAAAAAAAAAAAAAGAAAATACAAAGGTAAGCCACCAAATGGGAGAAAAATGTTTGAAAACATATTTTAATATTGGACTTGTATCCAGAATATACATATATATATTCTGATATTTAAGAATTCATGAAATTAAAAAATAAAAAACCAAACAACTAGATTTCTAAAGTAGGCAAAAGATTTGAATAGATGAATCGACAAATGAATGGAAAATTAGCACATGAAAAGATGCTCAACATCAATAGTCATTAGACCAATGAAATTGAAAACCACAGTGAGATACCATAACACATTTATTAGAAGGCTAACATTAAGAGGAATGACTATTTTAAGTGTTGACGAAGATGCTGAGGAAACAATACTCTCATATAATATGTTGATGGAGATGTAAAATGGTACAATTACTTTAGAAAAATGTGGGAGTTTCTTAAAAAGTTAAACACAGTCAACCATTCATTCCCAGATATTTACCCAGGAGAAATGAAAACATATGTGCAAAGACGTGTACACAAGTGTTCATAGGAGCTTTATTTGTTATAACCAAAGACTGGGAAAAACCCAAAAGTCCCTCAACAGATGAAAGGATAACAAGTTGTGGTCCATAAACCACGATAGATACTACTCAGCAGTAGAAAGGAAAGGAACAAACTATTGATACACATGACACCATGAGTGAATCTTAAAATAATTATATTAGGTGCAAAAAGCCAGACAAAAGAGAATATAAACTTGTGGTGCCTTTTATATGAAATTCTAGAAAATGCAAACTATCCAAAGTGAAAGAAAGCAGTGGCTTCCAGGGGAGAGAGTTATTTGGGAACAGCAGGAGGAAGGGATTACCTACCAAGGAGTATGAGGAAGTTTTCAGAGTGATGGATATTTTCATTATCTTGACTGTGGTTATGGTTATATGGCAGACACATACGTCAAAACTTATCAAATTATATGCTTTCAGTGTGTGAAGTTTGTTGTATGCCAATTATACCTGAATAAACCTATTTATTTATTTATATAAAAATATAAACCTATTTATTTTAAAAAACAAAACTCCACTGGGAAATTGTTGAGGTTCGGGATATCTGTATTCTCTTTCCGTATTTTCCACAGGGTTTGTCTCAGGTCTGAGTGTGCAGAAGGTGGTCAACAAATGTTTGATTACTTTCATCCCTACAAGAATTACCAGCATAGAAGGAAACTCACTGAGCAAGGATGTTTACTGGTACAATTCAGCTGATGGGGAAATTGTGATTTGCTAAAGTAGCAAAAGTCACAAGGGGTGAGGGGACTTCGTTTGATCACTCATTTCTATGGACTGCTAGGTCAAGTCAGTTCATTTCAGCCTGGAACGTTTGCATCCCTGGACAGTTTCTAAGGGAGGAGAATGAATGCCACTGAACATTCATAAGGAATAAGATGAGATGGAACAAGAATGATGATGATGAGGATGAGGATGAGAATGATGAAGATGATGATAGTAATAGTGATAATACTATTTACCACTTGATGGCCACTGACTGTGTGCCAGAGCACCATCTGCTTCCTGTCTGTTCACCCTCACCCCAGTCCTATGTGGAAGTTGTTATCATTCCATCTTAAAGAGGAGGAACTAGCAGGTGGTGAGTAAAATGGGCTCATATAGCTAATAAGTTGCGGAGCTAGTATTTGAACCCATGTCTGTCTGATTCCAAAGCCTGTGCTCCTACCATTAAATGTATCCCATTCCCAAGCCAATAAACACATGTGAACACATGTATTTCCACCTGAACACCCATGTAAGGCCACACACACACACACACGCATATACTCAACCACATGTATACAAATGTACCTGCACACACATGGGTACACATACGCACATGCACATATTTGAATACACACATTTGCATGCATACAAAAATGGCCACACACATACACAAATGCATCCACATGTATCCCCTGAACACACACACCTATGCACATACACGCTTGCATGACACATACAGCTGAGCACACACATATGTGGTTGCACATACACAGAGGCACACACTTAGTCCTAAGAACACACATTTTCCCTTTCTGGCTCTGGCTTCCTGCAAACAGCCACCACTACATCCTTTTGCCAGCCTCTCCCAGCCAGGCCCCAAGAATCTTCAAAACACTGAAGTCCTAAGTCTCAAGTGAAATTATGCCCAGGCCCCTGACCTGGGGGAGCTGCATGCAAGTCAGGGCAATCAGATACATCACATTTTCCCATGAAAGAAATTTCTGACAGGCTTATTAACCTTTGAAAATACCAGTTCTCAGTCTGAGGGACTTCCTGAGTCCAGATCAAATTGAAAAATAACCTAGTGACAGACCACCCAGTTCTGAGCTGATGGGAATTACTTTCAACCCAGGCCAGCATGTCCTTTAGACAAAATGTTCCACACCAAACCTGACAGCAGCCAGATCTTGGGAGCAGGGGAGCCAAGTGCCATTTATTACAAAACATATCCATGATCGCTGTGTCATGGGGCCACTGCTCTGGGCCCAAGTCCCTTTGGGGGCAGCTGGGGTGGCAAGTAGCAGCCAGCCTTAGTGCCTTTGACATTTATGTCCCTGTGCTATAGGACAGAGGGTCTGTCTGTCATCACAGACTGATGTAGCCTTGGCCCCTGGCAATCATTTTCTGTTTCAAGTGTTCAGTTTGGTGTAGAATTGTAGTTCAGTGGATGCTATCAGAAGAAAAAGGACAGAGTGTCACGTGGAAAATTGGAGATAAACTGATAACTCCAGGGTTAGAGGAACTGACTCATCCGCCCCCACTGGCTTGTGGTGGAGGACAGTCTCCCTCCTTCTCTCTTTTGGGCCATATTCTGGCTCAGAAGTCAGTCTATGTAATTTCTGGAAGTGTCAATGTTTTTCTTCACCCCATAGAACACATGTAGAACAGAGCTTTTCCACCATAAGAGCTGCCAGGTACCTCAGAGTTCAGCCTTGTCACTGCATGGAATAAATTGGGTGGTCATGCGCAAGACCCATAACTTCAGAGCCTCAGTTTATGCATATAAAAGATGGGAATATCAGTGCCTGCCCTGTCTGCCTCACTAATTTGCCATGAAGACTAACAGGGCTGATGAGAAGACAGTGCACTCTGAGTGAGAGGGAAGGGGCTTGGGCCATCACATCTTCAACCATTCCTACCATTGTTCAAGGTTTTTTTGCTCAGGCAAACCCTCACACAGGCTTCCAGGAATGTCTTCTGATGTTTCCCCTCTTTCTCTGGAATTATCTCCTCTTCTGCACTGCTACTGACTGTCCCACTGCTCAGCAGGTTGCATCCCAGCCATGTGCCCAGCCCCAGCAGATACTTCAAACTGCTCATTCCTATAGCTCCCAACACAACCGTACCTCTTCTCGACCAATGATTTTGCTTTCCAGTGCTCAGAAAAAGGGACAGAGAGGCAGGAAGGCTCTCTGATTCTCTCCCCAAAACGTATCCACTCTAACCATCCTTAACTCCTGGCCTACTGGTGCAAAGGCTCCTTTGCATCTACTACCAATGCCTCCACTTAGAATCTTCATCCCCTGAAGCTTCCTCAGGGATCCACAACATCACTTGTCCCTTCTCGTTACTGGATCTTTGGTTTTTTCCTTGCTACCAGTCCCTTCTCAGCACACAAAGGGGAATTTCGGCCATGGAATTTGTGTCTCTGTAGGAACATGTAAGAGGTTTGGACTTTGAATAGGGGCCAGAAGAATAAAAACTCTGGGTGAAGTCAAAAGTGGGGTGGATGTGGACCTTTTGGGAGGCCTCAAGGATAGGGAATTGAAGACTTACAGAAGTCACATGAGTGTGGTTGCTGGAGACCGCAGGGGTTCTTGCGTTGTCCAGACTGTCACCTTTCTTCCTTGGGCTCTGTTCTTCCTCTCTCCATTCCTCTCCCTGACTTTTATCCCCTAACCCCATCTTGACTTCTAAAAGCTTAGGATAAAATATATCTTTTAAAAAACAGAAGTCCAGACCCTGTTAAATCACTGAGAGTGGGATAAGGCACTCCCCACTGAGGCATCACTATACTTTTGTTTTACAAATAATAGAAAACCATGCTTGCTCCACAGAGCTGGTGAAGATATGACCTAATGAATCCTAACAGTAGCTGCAGCCAGATAGCCTTGGGACTGTCAGTCAGAGGGCCAACCCTCCCCAACCCCCAGTGGTGAACAGAACCCCACCCAGGCCAATCAGCCTCTCTCACCAGGAACTTAGATTGGATGGAAGGCAGGGAGTTGGAACCAAGCCATTAGGACTGCAACCTCCTGGAGAGATCTCTTGAGTTCCTGCCTCTGGGGTTCTTGGAGCTGCCATCTTTCAAGTCCTTCCTGAGGCTTGGCTGTTGAGCTTTTTCTTGAATTCTGTGAGATATTCAGTATCCTTCCAATTACTCCCATTTCAGTTTTACTCAGGAAAGATTTGTTTCTTGCAACCAGAGTACTTCTGAATACCATCCTCAGAAAGTAACTGACTTGGGTGCCATGGCTCATGCCTGCAATTCCAGCACTTTGGTAGGCTGAGGCGGGCAGATCACTTGAGCCCAGGAGTTCAAGACCAGCCTGGACAACACAAAAATTAGCTGGGCATGGTGGTGTGCACCTGTAGTCCTAGCTACTTGGGAGGCTAAGGTGGGAGGATTGCTTGAGCCCAGGAGGCAGAGGTTGCAGTGAGCTGAGATCATGCTACTGCACTCCAGCCATGGTGACAAAGTAAGAAAGACCCTGTCTCAAAAGAAAAAAAAAAACGGAAAAGAAAAAAAGAAAGTAATTGACTTGCCACCACACAACCTTCTCACACCATCTTTATGAAACACCAGACATCAGATCCTGAAAGTACTTTATTCTCAAAGTTTGCAAGATAAGTATTGTCATTATGCCCATTTTGCAGGTGAGGTACTGGGGCTCTGAAAGATGTGGGCATCTGCCTGAGGTTATAGCTTAAACCAGGAATCTTCATTACTCCATATCAGTAAAACTCACTGTACCCCAAGTAAAAGAGGTCATTGAAAGGAAAGTGGGAAGCTCTCTGGCCAAGACACCACCTTTCTCCATCTCTCTCCGTACATATTCTCCCATCTCTGCTTCTGAGGATCTGCTCCATTTTCCTGCCTCTCTCTGCAGAGTGGCTTTTCCCTGCTCACTCATCAGTGAGCACATTGCTGAAAAAGGCTGCTTCAGCCCAAACCCTAAATACTTAGTTATTCACTTCAAGCTTCCACCGTCGACTATTCTATGTCTCATAGTTTGAATTATTGAGAAAAAATCTGCTTGGTGCCTGGTCATCTGGGGTAGGCTGAAGAATGCCCCCATACTTCCTCCCAAGTATAACTGCACTCTAATCCATGGAACTTGTGGATGTTACCTTATATGGAAACATGGTCTTTGCAGATGTGATTAAGTTAAAGATTTTAAAATGGGGATTATCTTGGATTATCAGGGTGGGTCAGTGATTATGCAATCACATACATCCTTATAAGAAGAAAACAGAGGAAGATTTGGCACAAATAGAAGAAGAGAAGCTGATGTGAAGATGGAGGCAGAGATTGAAATGATGCAGCCACAGGCAAAGGAATGTTTACAGTCATCAGAAACTGGAAGAGACAAGGGGCAGATTCTTCTCCAGAGATAGACTCTAAGGGGAGCAGAGCTCCCTTGATTTCAGCTCAGTAATACTGATTTCAGATTTCTCATGCGGAATTGTGAAAGAATACATTTTTGTTATTTTAAACCATAATATTTGTGGTAGTTTGTTATAGCAGCCACAGGAAACTAATGCTAATACAGCAGCCAATGGATTCATTCATCCTGCACTAAGTGTCCAATCAGCTGTGTCCAGGAGGATGTTTACAGGAAAAACATAGCCACTGAGGCCTGCTCCCTCAGCTATGGGAAGAAAGTAGAGGGTTCATTTTCAGAGAAAAGGCATGGGCTGGGAGACACCTGCATTCATCCTGCCACTAGTCTCTGACACCTGCTATCATGTAGGTGTAAGCATTGGGAAGTGCAGGGCAGCAGACTTGCCTAAATAGGCACCAAGCCTAGTGCTCTCCCTTCCCCTCCCAAATAGGGAATGAGTTCATAAACAGCACTGTTAATATTAATGCTAAGTTGGGGGAAAATAGCTGAGGCTGGAAGGTGAGTCTATTCATCCAGCTAAGTCAAACAAGAGTTTACTAACACCCTGTTTTCCCAGGCCTTGGGATAAGTGCTTAGCACAGGCACCAATCTATAGTCTAGAGAAGGATAAGACCTGCACATCCTGGATAGCTGGAAAAAATGTAAAGAATCATTTAATCATTCATTCATTTATTCAACAAAAGTTTGCTGTGCACGTAGATGTACTAGGCTAGGTGATATTGCAATAAAATATGTAGAGTCACTGTGTTCATGGGGTGAGAAAAAGAAATAAGCAGATAAAGAGCAAAATAACAGATTATAAAATGGGCTATAAAGGAAAGGAATAAGTGTTGAGACAGAGAATCAGGTGTATGAATTGGCAGTGGCAGTGGTGGTGGTGGTAATCAGGGCTTGGAGTCAGGAGTTAGATTTAGGGTGCATGTGAGCAGTGTGGATGGAGAAATTTAAGAAGTAGTTGGATTTAAACCTGAGGATGGGGGAGAAGGTTTGGGCAGGAAGTGGAATACATAAATTATGTATTTATTTGAGACAAGAGTCTCACTCTGTCACCCAGGCTAGAGTGTTTGTTTGTTTGTTTATTTGAGATGGAGTCTTGCTTTGTTGCTCAGGCTGGAGTGCAATGGCACGATCTTGGCTCAATGCAACCTTTGCCTCCTCGGTTCAAGCGATTCTCCTGGTACAGGCGCCCGCCACCATGCTTGGCTAATTTTTATATTTTTAGTAGAGACGGGGGTTTCACCATGTTGGCCAGGCTAATCTCGAACTCCTGACCTCAGGTGATCCGCCCGCCTTGGCCTCCCAGACTGCTGGGATTACAGGCGTGAGCCACGGCGCCTGGCCGGAAATTTGTTATTTAGAACGATGGAAACGGGTAGGAAAAAGAGCATATAGGGAAAAAGGTGTAAGTTTTAACTTTATGCATAGGGAAGGACATAAACACCGTCTACTTGTGAATAAGTAGTTTAGAAGAAACAATCTATAAGGGCCCGGAAGACTTCCGGCCCTTTCCGCCTTTAACTAGACTACATTTCCCAGAGTGCTGCAAGAACTGGGTGTGACTCGGAATCCCTCCCAACCACTTCCGGCGCAAGTGGCTTCTGATAATCATGGCGCCCCTCGGAACAACTGTATTGCTGTGGAGCCTCTTGAGGAGTTCTCCGGGCGTGGAACGGGTCTGTTTCCGGGCTCGAATCCAGCCCTGGCACGGTGGCCTGCTCCAACCGCTACCTTGCTCTTTCGAGATGGGGCTGCCACGCCGCCGGTTCAGCTCCGAGGCCGGTAAGTGACCTTCCGGACTTTCGCTGGGGCGTTCTTCTGGGAGACGTAGATCCTGTTTCTGGCAGGCGAAAACCACGCGATAGCCCCCGCGACACGTATCCTAGCGCTTCCTCAGATTCAGCTGTCTTCCTTCTGTACCTGTAGAGTTTGTCATCACCTGCATATCTGTTCATTCGTTCACTCACTCAACTACAGTGCCTGAGTTCCGCTCCGTGCAGAGCACTGTGCTAAGCTCTGTGGGATATGGCAAACTAAGACTGACACAGACATTTCCCTGTGGGAACTCATGTCCATGGGGAATTGGCAGTGCAGTGTGACCCGGGTTGTTATAGGGGACGCACACAGGAGAGGCACTCAAACTAGGTTGGAAGGTCAGGGAAGGGTTCCTGGCAAATATGACCAAAGCTGAGATCTGGTTAGCCATGCTAAGGAGAAAGCAAGAAGCTTCTCAAGCATAGGGGACAGTAGCAGATGTCCAGAAATGAGACTGAGCACAGATATTTGGGAACCCATTTTGGAGGTAGGATTGATAAGGCTTGATTAAGGCTTTGGATATGAGTTTAAAGGGACAAATTAAGATTGTTTCTTAAGTTTTTGATTGGAATAGAGGGTTGTCCCATTTACACCAAGATGAAGAAGATTAATTAATTGTTGGAACCGTTATTTTGGGGGCGGGGGTAGTGCAGGAGTAGATGAGATCAGGAGATGGGAAAGGAGGCGGAATTAAACCTATTTGGGACACATTAAATTTGAGGTGACTTTAAGAGTCAACTGTTTAGTATGGAGTTAAATATAAAGTGAGGAACATCGGAGTAAAAATGGTAACTAAAGGTGAGTGAATGGGTGAGACTGAGGAGAGAGTAGTGCTGAGCACTTGCTGTGTGCTGGATACCCTGAGGAACCCTGGGTGCCAGAGATGAGTATAAGACAAGGTCTGGTCTTCATAGAGCACATCACTTAGTGAGAGACATAGTGTAGGTAAGCAGACCACCTTAACTTTTTTTCTAAATGAGGTTGGAAGCCATTCGTGAATTTTAAGCTTGGGAGTAATCTTGATTACATTTTAAAGAGATTACTCTGGTTGCTCTGTGGAGAATGATCTGTAGTGGGGCCAGAATGGAGAAAGGGAGGCTGATGCAAGAGATGAGGATAGCCTTGACTAGAGTAGTGGCAGTGGGAAATGGAGGATTAAAATGAGATTTATGAAGGCAAACAATCAGTATGTTCTCTGCCAGTGGTGTTTTTTTTTTTGTTTTTTTTTTTTTTTTGTAAAATTGGGATAATCTTCGTGTTTACCTCATGGGTTGTTGTGAGTATTAAATGGGCTGAATGTGTAAAGTACTTAGCTCAGTCAGTATTGGCATGTAGTAAATAGCTAATAAATGGTAGCTCTTATAATTACTGTTATTATTACTACAGCTATTTGATTACTGTTGTTGTTATTACTACTGCTATTGGCTAGATCTGGAGGATCAGGGAGAATTTAGGAATGGCTGTAAGATTTCTGGCCTGTATGGCCTACTGGATGATGCTGAGATAGGGAACAGAAAATGCAGGTTTGAGACAAGGGAAAGTTGATGGGTTCTGACTTGGCAGTATTCAAGTACATGAGAGAGGTTGAGTAATTGGATGGAAGGTGATCTTGGCAGGAGATTCAGATTTTAGAGTTTCTGGCATATAAAGGTAATTGAAGTCGTGGCAGGATAGGAGAAATCATCGAGTAAGAATCTGAGAAGGGAGAAAAGGACATCGTTCAGAATCTGTAGGGATACCAACATTTATAGGAGAAGAAGAGGTGACTAGGAACAAATGGCTTTTTCTTTCTTTTTTGCTAATGGAAATGGAAGTAGAAGTTAGGCAAAGCAATAAGCAAACTGCATGAGGCTGAGCTAAGATTTGATTCTCTGCTTATGTCAAAGGCTCTTCCATGATAACACACGGCCTCTTCAGTATCATGTCCAGTGAACCAAGCCTCTTTCCTAGCTGCAATCTCTTAGCCTAGACTTTCCCTCCCTTTTTTCTCTGCCGTGATGAGGCTCTTGGGACGCTTTCTTTGACCCTGTCATGCCCATCCCTAGTCCAGGCTATGCTTAGTTTCTTCCTCTGCAATCACCCAAGCCCCGTACCTCTCCTGTATACCATACCTCTCACATTATGTCTCCCCACACCTCCCACTTATACCGAGGAGCGCTATGATAAATTGGAAACCATCTAGGATCCAGAACCAGACAAACCTTGGTTTAAATTTTGACTCTATCACTTAATAGCTAGTTGTCTTTGGATAGGCTTCAGCATCCTCATTTATAAAATTGGGTTTATCAGTACCTATTTTGTGAGTGGTTATAAGCATTCCTGAAAATGTGTGTTATACCTGCCATATAGGAGACAGCTCTGTAAGTGGCAGCAACCATTACAGTTATTACATTAATTACTTTATTACTGTTACTTCCTCTAGTAGTCTGTCCTTTTGGCAGAGACCGAGTCTATCTCCTCATCATAATGAGTGCTCAGTAAATCTTAAATGAAGAAATAAATGAATGCATCTCATAGGTATTAGCATTTTGCAGTGCCAAGGTAGACATTGTGCTAATGCTTTTTATTGTTAACTGACTTTTCTATTTAGAGGTCTTGTTAGCTTGTCATTTTTGTCAGCTTCTTATTTACTAAAGTCCATTTTAGCAGAATCTGGTAGCCCAGAGACCAAGAAACCTACATTTATGGATGAGGAAGTTCAAAGCATACTCACGAAAATGACAGGCTTGAACTTGCAGAAGACTTTTAAGCCAGCTATACAAGAACTGAAGCCACCAACCTATAAGCTAATGACTCAGGCACAGTTGGAAGAGGTACGTGAATGCAGGAATATTGTTAGAATACCTTTCTTTAAGGGTTTAAACAACATTTCTAGAGGCCCCTCCAGATGCTTATAGCTATTCTTCCATAGGCACTAGTGAAAGGTAATACCAGGCATAGAACTGAGAAAAGAAATGTGAGTAGGCTGCCAGAGAGGGGCAGGGAGCATGGCTGGAATTGAGCAGACTAGGGCATATGGATCAGGTCTGGGTGTTCAGAGAGTATCCTCTCTCCTCTCAAGGCAGCCTGAGCACCCCTCCTTTTTTCTGCCTGCTCCAGCTTCCTTCCTGGAGAAACATCTACTGTGATCTGCCTTGGGGCTGAAGCTTTGGGGAGATTGTGAGATCCTGCATGGAAACAGCATGTTTTCCAGGCACCAGTGTCCTCAGTACCATGGGTACTGAGTGCTGCGTGGAAAACACTTTGATGTATGAATACGTAAAGCATTAATACTCGTCTTTCTGATTCAAAAGTAATTTATAGTCAGCAAAATATATATATCTCTCTCCAGTAGTAGATTACATGAAGAGTAAAAGTCCATCTTTTCACCTCCTAGAGGTAACTGCTTTTAACAGTATGGCATGAAGCAATGTAGTCAATGGTTAAGAGAATGGGCTTTGAAGTTGGGTTGTCTAGGTTCAAATACCAGTGTTGCAATTTTCTAGCAATTTACTTAACATCTGTATGCCTCTGTTTTTTCTTCTGTAAAATGGAGATGATAACAATTGCACCTAACTCATAAGGTAATTGAGGCCATTAAATCAGCCAAATACATTTAGACTGTTTGAACACTATCTGGCACATAGTAAGCACCCCAAAACTGCATTCTTTTATTCTGTTTCAAGCAGCTTTTGTAGCCTGGCTTTGTCTCAGAGCATGCCTTTGTGGTTTTGATAACGGTTGAGTCTATAGCTGGTGGTCTCAGCCACATCGCAGAGGCAAAGGCCAGGGCTCACAAGTCCAGGTTTGGCTTTTTACTCACTGATTTGTGGCTACACCTTCTTTTCTATGCAGGTTTTTGCATTTTTTATTAGTATGTGCTTTTGTCAGATGATCCTTATATTATGTAACCTTGTGGCTTTCCTTAATAAATATTTTCTTTCATTAGGCTACAAGACAGGCAGTTGAGGCAGCTAAAGTACGATTAAAAATGCCACCAGTTCTGGAAGAGCGAGTACCAATAAATGATGTGTTAGCTGAAGATAAGATTTTGGAAGGAACAGAAACAACCAAATATGTGTTTACTGATATATCATATAGCATACCACACCGGGTGAGTATATGTCTAATCGCAAAATGATCTTTCTTTGAAATACTATGTGGAGAAGGGCTTGAGAGATGATGTGACCTGGCTGTCTCTGATGCGTCCAAACCAGATTTCCTCTGACTGGGTGAGACCCTTCTGGAAGATATACTATATGAGGGATGAGAAATGCAGACCAGCCCCACATCATGGTGTTACCATTTCTCAGCAGATAATAGGCACAGTATTTTCCAGATTCCAGATGTGCTGAGGCAGAACAAGGAGTACACAGATACAGACAGAAACCCATCCCAAACCACAAATGGACAAAAATCTACAAGGCAATGGAAGCAGGAGACTCTTTTCGCCTAAGTTAGATGGATTTCTTTAGCTGAAGCTTTTTGAGAAGATAGAATGTTTCTGTCTTATAAATTCCTTGATGATGCCAAGAAACTCAGGCATCATAAAGGATTTTCGCTTTCCAGAATTTTCAGTAAGAATGACAGATGTTTCTCAGATAATTTTCAGGCATCACCACTTCTTCTGTTGTGATTGTTATTCTCTGGCTCCTCTTTACTTGATTGCAAATTTAAAAGAACACTCTGGCATTTTAGAAATATGTAAGCTTTGTATTTGAGCCTTTGCAAGTAAAGAATAAAAAGAGAATAGTTTACAATTCAGCCCACAGAATACGTTAGAACACTATAGAATGCTGAGTTTAGGAGAAGGTTCACTCCATATTAATCTTTTATTATACATGATTATGGTTAGAAAACGATTTGAGCTATGTTCAACACCAGCCATCTGTATATTTGACATAATGAACATGAGTCACAGAGTTTCAATTTTAATTACAGTTTTTGTTTTGTGATGCTTTAATATATGTTTGCAGTGCTGTGCATGTTGGTTGGGAAGCATTTTGTAACTTGAAAAGGAGAAAGGAACTTGGAATTCAGGTTTCTCAAATTACCAAAATCCTTCTGAGGAAAAATTGTATTATGTTGGCATGTGCTTTTTTTTTTTCGATTGGCAGTGTTGATGGAAGTTTCATCTATGTTATCTTCAGAACACATTTAGAGACTCCTACACCTCTGAAAACTTGAGAGTCAGTACTGTTTGGTTAATTTATACATTAATCAGGTGTGTATCAATTATCAGCAATGTGCAAAGCTCCATGTATGCCACTCCCGGTATTGCAAAAAATTATAATCCACATTTCCTGCCCTTTTCCAGTTATATAACAATATCTGAGGGATGCCAAAAATCTTGTGTGGGGTAAATTTCCAGTTGAATGGTATAAAAAGTAGGTAGAATTTAGAGGAGGAAGTGATCCCATGGCCTGGGAGTTGGCAGTTGGAAGATCGAAGTGACCAGAGACAGTTGGACCAGACAGCCTCTCAGACATGTTTATGTCTAATGCCAATATAAGAAATCATAAAAGTGTAGAAGTAAGACTCCTCATTCTTGGGTTTGTTCTTTTTATCCCAAGGACTTTAAACATAGATCATAAAGTAGTAAAATCTGTTTAGATGAGACTTTGGGATAGAGAAATGAAAGTTTGGAAAGGTCATAGCACTTCTTTCCTCTAAAATGGATATAGATGAATCTCAGCTTTTTTCGTATCGAACTCACGTTAGCACCATAGTTGGTACTTACTGAATACTTTCATTTTAGATTTCTGATTGTCAGATGCACAGCAGTGATTAGTGAAGGAAATATCAAACCTTGCCAAGTCTTTGAGGTTTAAAATTATCATTGATCTCATATGCATGATTGCATTTTATATTGTTGATTGCAAATTATTCTTATAATGGCCTTAGTGGGACACAGGAACTAAAAATACGTCCTCACAAACGCATCCTTGATTATGTTTTTCTATTTTAGGAGCGTTTTATTGTCGTCAGAGAACCAAGTGGCACACTACGCAAAGCCTCTTGGGAAGAACGGGACCGAATGATACAAGTTTATTTCCCAAAAGAAGGTCGTAAAATTTTGACACCAATAATTTTCAAGGAAGAAAATCTTAGGGTAAGGTGACTTAGGTTTTATGTTTTAGAGCCAGTGGTGATGATTTATTTGTAGAACCAGTTGGCTTTGTGCCTTGATCCAGATAAACATTTCTAATGATAACTTGACTTTTTTTTTTTTTTGAAATGGAGTTTCGCTCCTTTTGCCCAGGCTGAAGTGCAGTGGCGGGATCTCAGCTCACTGCAACCTCCACCTTCTGGTTTCAAGTGATTCTTCTGCCTCAGCCTCATGAGTAGCTGGGATTACAGGCGCCCGCCACCACGCTTGGCTAATTTTTGTATTTTTAGTAGAGATGGGGTTTCACCATGTTGGCCAGGCTGGTCTTGAACTCCTGACCTCGGGATTCGCACCCCCCCCCCGCAATCCGACTCCCAAAGTGCTGGGATTACAGGCGTGAGCCACCATGCCTGGCCGACTTCTTTCTTAATAGAATCCTCCTTACCACCCAAGATGGGTTGTACTAGGGTTCTCTCATAATTGGCTTAGCTGGAATTTGAATCTAGGTGTGACAATTACAAAGCCTGTGTTCTTTCTTTATGCTTCTTGAGGAGCACAGAGTGGCCAGTATGTGGGTGGGCAGGCCTGTCATGACATCAGGACAGGTGCTGAACTTCAGTGTTCTCATGTGATGCTAACTCTGCTGTGTGGTTTTAGACTATGTATAGCCAGGACAGGCATGTTGATGTCCTCAATCTCTGCTTTGCCCAGTTTGAGCCAGATTCCACAGAGTATATCAAGGTGAGTAGATTTTAGTTTCTAAAATATAGGCTTAAGTATGGTTATGAGTAAGATTTTTAATCTAGCTCAATGAATTTCGTTGTAAGTTTTGATACAGGGGAAAGGGAAGAGAAATACCTGAAAATCTATTGAGTACAGTTGTGTGCCAGATATATATTTTATAATCACAACAACCCTTGATTAAAGATGAGGGAATTTAAGCTTGTAGAATTAAGTAGCTTGCTGAAAGTTGCATAGCTACTAAGTGGTAGGGTTAGGACCCAAGTTTGATGACAAAGCCTATTCTCTTTTCAGTTTACCGTATAGGAATCAAATTATTTACTAAAATTTTGCTGAAGTACAGTGTGTTTGTCTTACAGCTCAGTAAGTATTCATTAGTACCTTCTATGTGTAAGGTATTATCTTGGGTAGTATAGGTGATGCCACGAACTAGGATAGAGTATGCTGTGCCAAAGCCAGCAGTCCGGATATGGCTGTGGGGAAAGGTGCTAGTAAGTATACAAATAATTATCTCCTCAGGCCTAAAATGCTAGACACTAAGAGAAGATTACAAATTCTTTGAAGAAAGCCTTCATAGGGGTGTAAAGGAGGGTTCTAGAAGTGCAGGAAATGTTGTGGCAGGTGGAGCTGGGTGAGGTGTTTCAGGTAGAGAGAACAGTATAAGCAACAGGCAGGAAAAAAGGAGGCTTGAGAAACGGCCAGTGATCTGGTTTGCTTATATATGCCATGTATATGTAGGGGAGTGATTAAAGATTAAGTTAGGAAGGTGGATGTAGCCACATCATAGGTGACCTCAGATGCTAGGCTGAGGAATCTGGAATTCAGTCAGCAGACCTTTGAAAGCCTTTTGAACAGAGGAATGCCCCCATCAGAACCTTCATTTAGGAAGATCAATCTGGAAGGAGGACTGAAGGACCTTTAGTTAATAAGATGGAATGGGCTAGCTGGTAGAATAGGGTAGTTGATGGGGGGAGGGATAGGGGAAAGGGAGAGTAGTGAAAAAATACTTGATTTCTTTTCTGCCATAGTGACCAAGAAGTGGGTGCTACATTATTTCCAGTGGTCTCTATATGCATAATCGGTGCTTAATAAATTGTAGTTGGCCTGCCAAAAAGTACTTAATATGGCTATAAATGTTTGGTATTTTGCTTCAGGCTGCCACATACTTCTACAGTGGAGAAGGCACAGACTTGCTGTCATTTAGACAAATTCTTCTCTTTTAATTTTTTTAAAGACAGGGTCTTATTCTGTGGCCTGCCATGCCCAGCTAATTTTTTAAAAAATTTTCCTAGAGATGAGGACTGCTCAAGCAGTCCTCCCACCTCAGCTTCCCAAAGTGTTGGGATTATAGGCATGAGCCACTGTGCCTGGCCAAAATTCTTTCTTAATAGAATCCTCCTTCCCACCTAAGGTGGGTTGTACTAGGAATGGTTTAAATCATACCAATTGGTTAATGATATGGAGGCAACTGTAAGTAGACCTGGTTTTACTTGCTTGGGCAGCACTCATGCTAATCAGTGTACGTTGAATAATGCTGCATACTTCTTATTTTCATGTTTCTGAAGAGTTGCATTTTATGTGGATAGGTTCATCACAAGACCTATGAAGATATAGATAAACGTGGAAAATATGACCTTTTACGTTCAACAAGATACTTTGGTGGAATGGTGTGGTATTTTGTAAATAATAAAAAGATTGATGGTTTGCTGATTGACCAGATTCAGAGAGATTTGTAAGTATGATCTTAGTAAGTGAAAGAATCATTCTTATTGCTCTAACAGTTCATCTGTATTTAGGCTATGGTATTTTTCCAGTGATAACAGTGTACTGTCTAGTGCTTGCTTACCTCAGTTTATGGATTTGTTCTTTTAGTATAACCTAGCTCTCCTAGTTTTTGCTTTTATATAAAGTGTAAGTAAGCCACTTACTTTCTCTTGAAAGAGTAAGTGGCTTTGGATCTGTACTGTAAACCCTCAATATTAACTTATCCTGAGCTCACCAATGCTCCTGGGTTGCTGAACTTTCCAGATACCGAAAGGGGGATTAAATAGGAAATGTAAAGAAGTAGAAATAAGCTCTGTGGTTGTTTTCTGGTAGAACTATTTCTAGGGCTTTTCAGTAAACACCATCCTTTAACTTATGAAAATACTTTTGATATCCCTTGCTTTTGCAAGATTTTTAAGGCATGAAAAAGTTAGCTTCTTTTCAGAGTAGCATGAAACAAAAAATACCTGTTGTATTTTAGCATCAAGCTGGTGTGCTCCCAGGCTTCTAGCTGGAAATAATAATACAACTTGTGGTAAAACTGAAGAGAAAATAGTTTTTGAGCATCTTTCTATCAGTTGATTTAGGAAGGCCAAAATGACAAGGAAGCAGCATGGCTGTAGTAAGAAAGTCAACTTTCCACAAAAAGCCCTTGCTGGACTCAAGTCTGAACTACAAGACAGTTTTGAGATTATTGCCACCTTCAGACTGTTAGTTTTTGACTCGCAGAGTATCCTAACATGTAATACAAACCATATACACAAAGGTAAGGCATGTGGAACTGAAAGTTCCACAGAACTTATTTTCAGAATAAAATCAGCCCATACTTGGAAAAAGGGCATCATTTCTCATAGAAACAATATTCCTAATGATGATGATTTCCAGGCTAGCCCATTTCACCAGCATATGTAGTGTAATAAAAATCAGAGGGCAGAAATATACCTTCATACCCCATAATTGGGGGCTGGTGTTGATGGGGATGCTCAAGTGACTTGTCTTTATGTACGTTATCTCCTGTGAATGAATTTTCCACTTATAAAGTTTCTTGAGTTTAATCATTCTGAAATTGCTTTATTATTAAAACAGTATGTTCTTACAAAAAATTAGAGCAACGCAGAAATGTTTGAAAATTAAAGTTTATTAGGATATATTAATGTATGATATTATAGTATTACTCATCACATGTAAGCTTTACATCTGAAGCAATTCATGCTTACTGGGAGGGAAGTTTGAGTACTTACTTAGCTTTTCCTGCTATTCCTAGGTAAAGGCCCTCCTGTGGTCATTCTGAACAGAAGAGTGAGCTTACTGCAAACCACAGGCTGGACAGTAGAGGGTGCATATCCTCACTGAGTGGAGCTCAGAAAAGAATTAGGATTCTGCACACATTTATTCCAGACTCAGTTCCCACTGTTGGTTTTTATATTGAGATTATTTTAAAATCTTTTCGAAATATAATTTATTTGCTCTTTAAGTATGGGTGGGGTGTTAAGCTAAATTTAAATTGTTCTGTGAGGCACAGGCATTATACTTAAGCATGAACCTAATGAAGCCCTGAACATACCAACAGGTAGCAGTCCAGTTAAGCTCTTTATAAGGCCACATGCCTAAGCTCCAAAGGGAATCTTAATTTTTTATTGGGGAGACATTTCGTTACTACATTTAGTGGACTTTGTTAGATTATAACAAGCACAATAGATTTGTGATGAACATTTTTTATTTTTTTCCCCCTGAAAAGCTTTATGATACAACAGCTCTGTTTTCCTGAGAGATGGCCTTTAGGGTAGATGAGCCTCAGTATAAGCCCAGAGCATTTCTCTAAGGCTACCAAGGCTTGAGGAATTCTGTACTTACTCCCACTGTCACCCTGCTCTTCATCCCCCAGCTCAGGTAAGGGGAACGCAGGGAAGGCTGAAGAGTGCTAGCTGCGGAAGCACTGAATTAGGGTGTCCTCAGCCCTCCATTCCCAACTGGAAGCCAGTAGTTCACTTAGTGTATATAGCAGAGCCTCAAAAGCACAAGCATTTTGAGTGTCGTTTTTCTGTGCCCTCCAGCGATGAGATGGCAAATGGTGGGAAAGTGTCAGCTGTGTGAAAAGATAGTGATTGTTTGGTTTTGCTAGGACAGTTTTAATGTTGATAAAAATTGTTTATACATTTCTGAGAAGTACAGACCAGAAGAACTGAATTCTTGTTCTGTCTTCTTCATAGGTAGTTGTGTGATGCTGAAGTTAAGACAGATTGCTGATGTAGAACCCGATTTTCCTTTTTGTCTGATGTGTGTGTATAATTTCAAATTTGCTTCACTAGGATGCTATTTTACTAATGCGTTCCTGTGAATCCTTTCCTTGGAATCTTAGGGGGCCTCTTGTAGAGGCATTTGTCTGTTAGCAAATGTCACTTAGAGGCAAGTGACTTTGAGATCCCTGTGACCACCACCCTCCTGCTTATGTGGGATGAAGCTGTGTTTCTGTCCTCTGAGTTGGATTAGACTATTACATGCTGGTGAAGTAAGCTGGCCTGGAAATTGTCTACCATTAGGAATGCTGTTTCTGTGAGAAATGGTGCTCTTTTTCCAAAAAGAATATAGCCACATTTGGAATATATTCACTTTCATAAATTGGACACTTCCTGCAGTGACTCCTGCCCTAGCTGCCTCACGGAGTTGGTGTGAGGCCTAAATTAGTCAATTTTCCTGAAAATGCTTTTGAAACTGTAAAACTGAAGGTCCTTCCCCAATCCCTCCAGCCTGAGGAAAGTCTGAAATGTAATTTAGTTTGAAGTTGGCACACACTTTTATAGGACTGTGAATCAAATGAAGAAAACCCCTAGATAACATTAAACCCTTTCATTCTCAGAATCGATGATGCAACCAACTTGGTCCAGCTGTATCACGTGCTCCATCCAGATGGCCAGTCGGCTCAAGGGGCCAAGGATCAGGCTGCTGAGGGAATAAATTTAATCAAGGTAAAGTTTTTTTTTCATATTGGTTGTTTTGTGGTGGTAATTGAGCTGGGAAAAATTCAGAATTGGGTCATAATTAATGGTAACTAAACAGATTTGTGAATATGGGACATCTGTGGTCTTGAAAACATCAGTATGATTTGTCCCCATATTTCTTCAGCCTGGACAATAGAAACAGACAGGGGAGGGGGGTAAAGTGCAGTAAAGTAGGTTGAGTGATGTGGTGCTAGCAGCTGGAGTCCAGAGAAGTTCTGACAGTGCAGGGAGCAGCCCCTTTGTTCTTTGGAGCACTGGAAGGGCTGAGCTGCATCTGAGGTGTTCAAGCCACCAACAGGACAGGGTAGAGGACTAAGTAGCACATGTCCCCCAGAGCAGCTTCCTGTCTTTGTGTGGTCACATCACATCGGGGGAAATGGGCATGTGTCAAGAAGTGGAGAGTGTGATGCTTGTATATCATCAAGCCTTAGCTGTATTGTCATTTTGGAGCTGCATACCTCTCAAAACCATGGGCTTATGTACATTTATCTGTAAGTGCTGAGAGTTGAGATGATATTTTCAGGAAGGGAAGGGGAGGAGATTGTATAATTAATTTCATCTCTTCTAATGCTCAGAATATACATGGTTTTGTGGAACTGGCTTCTATCCTAGTAATACTGTTTGCATGCTGCAAAGCTAAGGAAACAATGACCTGTGATGACATCCTAGGAAGAGTAGAGAGAAACTACAGTACTGATTTTCTTTATGAACCTGATAAAGCGCAATGTTTTTGGAGAAAATATTCTTTAAAGTCAAAAGTTAGTTTGGTAACTCTTAGCCTCCAGATTTCTCTCTAACCTAATGGTTTTTGTTTTGATCTCGAAGGAAGTATTAATATTAATACAATGTCAGGGTCTTAATTGGATACTTCTGGTGTTTAGAATTAGTATTGCTTGAAATGTGTTGGGTATTGTTTTTCTGTCCATGTGTGTTTATTAATTATTGTATAATCGGGGGAAAAATTGTGAAATCTGAAAGCCCTTTTTAAGTAGGACTCTTTGCTACTACAGAAATGCTAATGATGTCTTAAAACTGAAAAACTTTATAAATAGCATATGTCCTATTGTTTTAAAATTTTCTTTTTAATTTAAACAGGTCTTTGCAAAAACAGAAGCACAGAAGGGAGCCTATATAGAACTAACACTGCAGACTTATCAAGAAGCACTCAGTCGCCATTCTGCAGCTTCCTAAAAATATTTTAAAAATACATTTATTTTACTAAATACTGACTACATTTCTCTGTTAATATTGAGCTAAATGTTAAAAAATGGCCAGATTAAAAGATATCAATTTGTAGTTCTCCCTACAAAGCAAAAATTATTACCCTACTCACTTTTCGTAGGCTACAAGGATATTTGAGTGCCTGGTTATGAATTTCTCAAATCATGTTAGATGAGCGTACGGTTAAAAAGTCTGGTGTGTTTTTGTGTTACCAAATAGGGCAAACGTTAACTTAGACAGACCCCCAGCTTAATGAGGTCAGAGGAACAGAGGTTTCACATCCTGACTCCAGAAATGGGTAGCTGCTAGACAAAATCGGGGCAAGACCTGTGGAATGATGCAATGAGGTCAAGAAAAAGGGTTTAGAGAATTACAGCCTGGATATTCAGCTCTAAGAAAAATGTGATTGACAACATTTGAAAATGCAGATTTAGTTATACAAAGAAAAGACAGTGGGGCTGATCCCTAGGCAAGGTGTAGTTTCGGCTCAGCCTTCTAAAACTAGAAGCCTATTTTCATTATTGAGAAAGGAAACAAGTACCTTCATTAATTCAAAAGGTTTTATGAGATATGGTCTAATAGTATGAAAAAAATCAAAGCCCATGTCTGTTTTAGTTAACAAGGAAAACACAGTGATTTAAATGCTGCACATAAACTCTTCTTAAGATGATGTGGGCATTGTGCTCCCAGTGGTCCACAGCATTTACATATAAAAATCTAAGAAGTTTCTCATAGTCCAAAGCACTGTGGTCAGGGTAGCAATCAATACCTATATATAATAATGATCTGTTTAGTCAGGTAAATGGAAAGCATTACAGTCAATCATCCAAAATATCTTCATCCAGATTGATATCTGTTGTGTCAATATCTTCTAATTCCAAATTATCCAAATCTACTTCTAGTTCGAGTAAACTCTGCAGACAAAAGGAAGAGGGTAATTAAGTTTTACAGTACTGTTAAAGGAAAGTTATCCGTGGGTTCATGATTCAAAGTGAGAACTAAGATTTTCTTAATAGTCAAAAAGAGCATCTTCCCATTTCAAAGCCCCTGCTCTGAAACTGATGTCACTTAAACCACAGAGGCCTACGTATCCTCCAGATATTGATGGGGAGGAAGATGGGGTAGAGGGAGGTTTGAGTATGATGTCTGACCTACCTTTTCTTCTTTGTTGGCTGTGTGGGAGGCCACAATAACCGGAGTAGGAGAAGCAGGTTTCCCATCAAGTTCCTGAAACCACAAGTGAAGATATATATGAAGACAAGGGAATTTACTCGGGAATTTAAAGTTTTCCCCCAAGAAAAGGATGATCAGAATTAGGAAGTGGGAGATGATGTTTAAAAGTGAACCATCTCAGCCAGGCACAGTGGCTCACGCCTGTAATCCCAGCACTTTGGGAGGCCGAAGCAGGTGGATCATGAGGTCAGGAGATCGAGACCATCCTGGCTAATGCAGTGAAACCCTGTCTCTAATAAAAATACAAAAAAATTAGCCGGACCGGTGATGGGCGCCTGTAATTACCCCAGCTACTCGGGAGGCTGAGGCAGGAGAATGGCGTGAACCCGGGAGACAGAGCTTGCAGTGAGCCTAGATCGCGCCACTGCACTCCAGCCAGGGCAATGGAGCGAAACTCTGTCTCAAAAGAAAAAAAAAAAAAGTGAACCATCTCAGCCAAATTTATCACATGAAGTGCTCTACTGACCTGTTGAGCTGTAGATCTTGAGGGCTGAAAGTCTTTTCCCTCTTCCATGACATTTCTCTCTTCATTTGGCTATCAGAGAATAAAGCAATGATGAAATGAGATATTCTGAAATCATAATTTACCTATGAACTTGGCCTAAATCCCAGATATCAGCTCTTAATTTTAAAAGAAGACAGCAGTTCAAAATCTGAAGTCCTGAATGTACTTCCACCCTGTAGTTACAATAAATGAAGCTTGACATCCTGGCCACTCACCGTGACAAGTGGGTATTGTTTGGCTGGCCACAGATCAGCATGTGTTTCCTTCACCCATTCTTCAACAACAAAGGCTTCTTTTAATCCAGGGAACAGGTTTTCATACTCTGTTGGGTCAGCAAGGGATTCTGCTGCTTTCTGATTGACTTTTGAGAGATTCTCTCTCCAGAGTTTCACTACCCTATTATAGACATCATGGAACCAAAGAGAGACTAAGTAAATGTGCTCTCTTTTTATTGGAAACATTTCTTCCTAAAATTAAAAGTCTGTACCTTGAAACCTGACTGGGTAAGTAAGTTCGGGCCAAGAAGGCAGCTTCTGGCAGCCGTCCAGTTCTAATTAAGAGCTCTAGGCAGGCATCAACCCTAAACATTAAAAAGGAGAGGTACTGTTACCAAGAATAAACACTATAATAATGGGTACTTAACACAAAGTAAATTTAGTGTTACAAAGCCAAAAATCTCCCCAATCTTCACACATATATCTCATTTCTGTCACTTGTCTTTTAATGGTTGTTAATCAACACACTGCAAGGGTATGAGGGATAAGACAGCTTTCCTGACTACTTTGAATCTACTTAACTTAATTATTATAATTCCTAAGAACCTAAAGGGGCTTTTCAAGAGGAGTTAAGGCAGGTTAGATTAGCAAATTTTAAAGGCATAAGGATATATGCCAGCAGAAATTCAGTTCCACAAGACAAATATCTAGGGCAGTGTCTCCAACATGGGAAGGGCCAGACAAGCCAGTGGTGCCCAGCAGAATACCATGGTGTCTTATTTTTTCTTCTATTTTAATTTCATTTTTTTTCTGTGCAAGTTTTATGATGTGGACAATATGTTTCAGAATTCAGGATTTTTTGGATTTTCGAAAGGTGATACAGTATGTATACTATGTATTACCTTACATCCTCAGCATGAAAAAGCCACAAACATTAATACTGCAATAACTTACATAGGAATGTTAAATGCAATAAAAATGTACCAAGTTGGTATAAAAGCAACTAAAAATACTAAAGCAGTTCAGCTCAGGTCTTGCCATCAAAACAGTTATAACTGTTTTCAGAATATTTTTGGATTTTTGAATTATGGATAAGGAATAGGGTCTATTCTTACAGGTATATAAATTCATAAATACATTCACATACATACAATGGGGTGCACGTTCAAAGTTATATGGCGAAGTATGGGATTGTAAAAAAAAAAAAAAATCAGTATGTAGGAGAAGGTTAAAGAATACTTTCGGGCTGGGCGTGGTGGCTCACACCTATAATCCCAGCACTTTGGGAGGACGAGGCAGGCGGATCATTTGAGGTCAGGAGTTTGAGACCAGCCTGGCCAACATGGTGAGACCCCATCTCTATTAAAAACACAAGCCGGGTGTGGTGGCGCATGCCTGTAATCCCAGCTACTTGGGAGGCTAAGGCAGGAGAAGGGCTTGAACGAGGGAGACAGAGGCTGCAATTAGCCGAGATCATGCCACTGCACTCCAGCCTGGGCAACAGAGTGAGATTCCATCTCAAAAAAAAAAAAAAAAAAAGGAAAGAATACTTTTGTGTTTTATTTCATAATACTGCCAACTAATGTCCAAATGATTTGGTTTATGCTAACTCGGTTAGACTTAAAAATATGAGACATCTTTATGCTTTATAGTGGGCTCAAATCTACAAGTAAGTGGCATACTTATCCCCTTTTGTTCTTGCCATAAATGGATCAAAGTTATCCAATTTGGGTAAAATCACCTGCCCTTCAGGTACCTACTAGAGCAGCTCAATAGCCTCCTGCAATCATAAAATAAAATGCTTCCACCATTAACTGGCAGGGCTGTTGAAGAAGGTGTTTAACATTTCTCCCACTTGAGCCTCCCTGAACAGCTCATTTAGCTCAAACATTTAGATAGATGTGCTAAGGGCATCCCTTGCTGAAGGTGAGTGCCACCAAGGCAGCACTGTCCTGTTCTGACTGCCCCGTCTATTCAACACCATTTGGCCATTCATCAGTTCTCTCCAGGGTTCATTCTTCACTTCCCTCTCCAAAAACCATCCTCAGTGTAGAATTAATTAATCTTTTAAATTAATACTCACTTGCCCTGTAAAAAGTAGCTCATGAATGCCACATTATTTTTGCCATCTCTCTCCGCACCCTCTGCTAGCTTGTTCACCATATTAGCATTTCCAGAGGCAGTGGCCAAAAGCAGCAGGCCCCCATAATCCTGTGCATGATGCAGGCACTCCTGGGCTAGGCCAAACTGACATTTACTAATGGCAAGTTCAGCAAGTTGTTTCCACTTCTGTTCTGACTGTAAGAAAAGAGTTTCCAAGTTAAAATATCTTTAGAAATAAGCATTTACATTTCCAACATTATTCTGTTAACTGTGCAGACAATGTTTATAAAAAGAGCTGTGTTTGTTAAGTTGGCTCTATCAAAATAAGAATGGCATTGCAAAATGTACAGTGAGGAAATGGAAATTATTAATGTATACAAAATGAATTTAAACACAAATCAATTTTAATGATGTGCAAATAATTATCGTCAACCCATTATACTTTTATCTTATAATTACACAGGGAAAGTAAAACCATCTCACTGGAGTTTTAAGGCAATTAGACTGCAATTATTTTAACAAGTGATTTAATATCACTTTTTTGAAAGCATACAAAACTACGTCTTTAAATATTTCACAATAATATTATGTCTCACTTGTAGCTTTTCAGAACTCAAAATGCTGCATGTTTAGATGATCTTAACGTAGCTAAAATTTATTTTGCACATCTGAAATTAATTTACCAGTAAATGCCAGTCTGAAACAATTGGGAGCCTCAATATACAAAGATCTATAAAAATATCATTACAAAAATGGTATTAACATTTCTCCCACTTGAGCCTCCCTGAACAGCTCATTTAGCTCAAACATTTAGACCAGATGTGCTAAGAGCATCTGCTGCTGAAGGTGAGTGCCACCAAGGCAGCACTGTCCTTCTCTGACTGCCTGCTCTATTCAACACCAAAAGATGAGGGGGTTGGGCTGTCTTTCAAAACCAACATATTTTTAGTTAGTTTCAGACATTGGCAAATAACTGCTATGTCTGTACTCTTAGGCTTTCCAGACTAGTTTACATACTATTTTACATCTTTTCTTATCTTGCAAAATAGAGCTCACATAAGATATGAAAACAATTTTTCTTAAAACAAATTAGAGTGCTAAGAATATCTCCAATGTAATCAATTTAACTTATGCAAAGTTTAACATAATACATCTTTTAAAAAGATAAGAGAGAGACAATAACTTCAACAAAATGAGCCACTAATTTGCATTTGGGAAAACTTTAATAACAAAACATTACACCAAACACATAGAAGTACCTACTGACTTTTCCATCAGTTATGAAAAATCATGAATTAGTACATACCTCTGCTTCCACTGCTAACTGGTATGCAATTTTTAACTCTCCAAGCTGAAGAGCAAGCTCAAAACGATGCTCAGGATCTGTGGATACTGTAAGAGCTTGCTGCTTGAAGCCCTAAACAGATTTTTAAAAATTATATATATTTATGCATACAAAAATGTATGTATGTTTTATATATATATATATACACACACATATACAGTGTACACACATTCACAGAGCAAATCATTTCCCTCTCAAACTAGAAACCCCACTATTTAATAAGAAGATGGAATAATTAAGGAGTCATTAAAGGAAGTGGTAAGAACAAACCTGGCAGATAAAATATTCAGTGACAGAATTCTTACTGTTTATTAGGATAATGGAAGCTGGCTAATGTTAAACTCAAGTAACCAGTAAAACTGGAAATGTAAATATAAACAGATATGTCAAAAAGAAAGGAATTTTGCAAAGTTGACTAAACAAGAATCATTTCAAAAGAAGAAAACTAGGCACAGCAGTGTAAACTTAGCTGTTGGTAATCTACTCAACTAGGCTGGGAAGTAGAGATCATCTAGTCCAACCCCTCATTTTGCAGATGAGACTATTAGCAGTAAATGGCCAAAGAAACGGGAGTCAAATATAAAACCTTCCAACTTTCTGTCATCTGTAGGTCATAGCAAACATTGTGTATTCAGGTCCAGTCACCAATTAGGTGTCATTACCTATTCCTTTATTGTTGGTCTCAAGTCCAGTTCCTCAGCAAGTATCCAAAAGACAGGAAGTCTAAAATTTCCTTCCCATGCTCCATTAAGGCATTAAGAACAAGCTTTTAAACCAGGGGTCTCCCAAACAACCAGTCTGTGGCCTGTTAGGAATCAGGCCGCACAGCAGAGGGTGAGCAGTGGGTGGGTGGGTGAGTGAGCATTACCGCCTAAACTCCGCCTGTAACGGCATTAGATTCTCATAGGAGCATGAACCCTATTGTGAACTGTACATGTGATGGATCTAGGTTCTGTGCTCTTTATGAGACTCTTAATGCCTGACGATCTGAGGTGGAACAGTTTCATCCTGAAATGTACCCCCTTCCCATCTGTGGAAAAATTGTCTATCTGCCACGAAACTGGTCCCTGGTGCCAAAAAGGTTGGGGACCACTGTTTTAAATCAACTATTGTAATTATTAAATTAGCTTCTCCTTCAAGACAAACACTACTGATGGGGTCATTTTTAGCTCTAGGGATGTAATGTGTTACACAAAAAGCTCAGGGATAGTTTACCTCTTCACCAGACTGAGGGAGAATGCTCATTTATGGGATAGTCAAGATTGAGAAGCTGGACAGCTTTAGGGTTCTGTCTGGCTATATCTTCAGGATGGCTTTATCATCAAGTTTGAAATGTTTTAACTTCTCAGCTTATACAGGCTGCCAACCCGCCCCGATCCATCCATGAATACGATGTAAATAAGGCATTCTAAATAACCGGAGTTACTTTTTTTCCACTAGCATTGATATAGATAACATAAAACCCAAGAGTGGAGGATGGAAGATCTCTGGAACTAGTCAGATACAGCCAAGGGCAAAACACATGAAATGAGGCGGACTAAAATATATACTTTTGTTTTCTGCTAATTCCCTACTACTAATAAAATCACACTAAAAGGATTTTTTTTTAAAGGCATAAGCTCCCAACGACACACAGAAAGGGAGAGGAAACAGTAACAAAAGTTTGGAAGCTGGAAAGCTGGTGGAGGAATATAAACATTTTGTTAAAACAGTAGAGAAAACAGATCCTAAATCAGGAGTGAGAACAGCATAGAAACAATGTGATTTACACCCAGTGTGTCTCATGAATGGTAGGGCTAAAAACAAACAAACTGCCCTAAAAGCATTCAGAAACTCTAGATCCGCTCCCCTCTCCCACCTCCCCTCTCTCACCTCCCCTCTCCCACCTCATGACAAAGAAGACAGGTTTATTCTTTGGAGAGGACAAACTAAAGAGTCTCCAGACCAGGAGATTCCAAGCACACTTGGAGGAAAAAGTACAGAGTATCAAAGGAAGACAGGAGATTATGAAAATGGATACACAGACTCAATGAAATATTAAATACTGAGACTCCAAGGTATCTTCTACTGAGACCCCAAAATGATGGTGACTGGGGAGCTTTTCAGTAAAATCTACTGAGCCCAAGGGAAAAGACTTAAAAATACTAAAATGTCAACTCCATGAAGGCTACATGTCAGCAGGAACAGTGCCTAGCACATTGTTAAGTGCTTGTTAAATTCATTACATAAATGGAAAGTCATCAAAAATTCATTGGCTAAAGATACTGACATTGAGACTCCCTAATCAAATGGGCCAACCACACCAGATATTGTGAAATCCAAACCCAATATGCCCCACCCACAAATTCAGACCTTCTGATCTGTTTCTTGTACCTTCACTCTTAAATGAGGGCCCAAGGACATCAGATACTTGAGGAAAATCACTAACAGCAAAGATGCAGATCAAAATGAAGCAATAAAAGGAACGTGAAGGAAGCATACCATATAGGGGGAAGAGAAAACTTCAAAATCTAAAAACAGAAATATATCATTCATATCTGTAGAAAGATACGAGAAACTTTTATCTATAAACAATAAGATTTTAAAAGAGAATAGGAAAATCAGTGCAGGACATACAACATGAACAATTCCAGAAAGACAGAATACAGAAAACGAAGGATATCACCATAGAACGATTCATGAAAATCCTTCAGAAATGTAGGACATAAGTTTCCCATTAAAAAAGCTCATCTAATAACTGGCAGAATTAATGAAAACTGATTCCTACCAAGGCCTACCATGATTATAACATTTCAGTACAACAGAGATGACATTCAGAAAGTTTCCACAGAGAAAAACCAGGTCATGTACTAAGAATGAGGAATAAAAATGGCTTTAGACTTCAACAATAACTACAAGGCAATGGAACAATGCCTTCAAAATTCTGAGAGAAAATTACCTCCAACAATTATATACCAGTTAAATGGTTGAATATGTTTTAGGGTAGAACAATGGCACTTTCAGATATTCAAAGTCACAAAACAATTTATCTCTCATTAACAATCCTTTTCTCAGGAAATTGCTGAAGGGCATGTTCCCCTAAAATGAGGGAGCAAAGCAGGAAAGGAGATAGGGGTATAAGAAACAATGGATCCAACAGGACAGAAGCAAAGGAAGCCCCAACATGATGGTGAGGGGAAATCCATGATGAGAGCAGGAAAACCAGTGCAGTCTGAAGGAGACTAAGCAAACTGAAAGGAGATCTTCAGGAACTCTGGAGAACCAGCAAAGTCCAGGGAGAATTAACCACAGGTACATAGAAAATTAAGCAAAGGGGGGAAAAAGACAATTATAAACTAGGGAAAACAAACAATTGCAGGAAAGGAAAGCTAGATAATATGCTACATGTTCACCTGTGAGCAGTGATTACATAGCCATAATAATGTAAACATTTGAGTAGTGATCAATCAAAATTAGAACTATTCTGAGAGATAAAGGATAGGAAAGTGGCATGTATGTGGTAGACGCAGGGGAATGAAAGAAGGCGAAATTCTCATCTTCTACAGAGGGGGAAGTCACAAGAAATGCCTAAAGCTAAGAAATGAAGAAACTGCTATACCTCAAGTTATTTAGAGATATGGAAATAAATACCAAAAGAATTAGATAAAATAATTACCTCTAGGGAGTAGAAAGCAAAAAGGAGGGCTGATTTTTTTCTTAAGCTTTGCAAAACTTACTTTATGCTTTGCACATATGTAACTTTGCTTAAAAAACATTACATAAGAAAAAGTCATGTCATGGTACATTTTATATGTATTTTAATCATTTTTTTTTAAAAAGCAGATGGGATAAAGCTAAAAATGCAGTGTAGAAATGAAAATATCAGGAGACTGGAAAATAAGTGCACAGAAAAGGAAGACTGAAAATCACCTCCAACATTTAAAGGGGGCACTGAGAAAGGAGAAGGAAGAGTGTAAGAAGGGTGTATCATGTGCTGTAATAAGTGCCTTAAACTCACAGGAGAAATTCTATTGCCACAGGAAATCAGTTGGCAATTAAGAAATAAAGTTTTTCAACTCCATAATAATTTGCTTTCAAATTGCAAGTTTTAAAAAACAAAAAGAAAAAAACAAAACCTCTTACCTGCTTTTCCAAAAAGTGTGCAACTCTGGTCCTCTGTTCTTTTGGAATGGTAGGAAGGACCTTATCAGCCATGCTAAAGTCCCTCCGCATGACAGCTGTCTGGTATTCCAGGACTGAAACCAGCAGGGAATAGCTAATGATGTTCAATTCTTTATCCCCCAGATAAAGCCTGTTGTCTTTAGGAATGTAGCCTAGGAGATACATCGTCCTATAAAAGAAACAGAAACCAAGTTAGAAATTCAAATCTGCAATTACACAAACACACACCCCGCCAATCTCCCTCTTGCTCAAAACCTTCCCATTTGATTGACACAATTCTGGTTAACAATAGGCAACCTACTAAAACTATAACACTGAAAAATCAGCCTATCATTGCTACAAGCCAGCAACAGATTTTTCTAAACACACTTTAAAATTTAGGACAAATGCAAAATGATACTCAGGTACCTGTCCAAGTGGGCAATGGTGACTATTTCTCCTCCAACATAATAATTTAATCTGTTCACAGAACTTGTGTAAATGAAGCAATCGCCTACCCAAAGCCCTGTTTTCACAATTTCCTGAATCTCACCAAGAACCTGCAGAAAGAAAAATAAAGACAATTACTTTATCCAACATCAGAAATCTCTCAATAAAAAGCTGAATATATCTGAGGGTGATATGGCAGAATAAGGAATGCAAAGTAAAATCCTTCCTATTTCTAGAAAAAAAAAATTTTCCTTGGAATTTTTTTTTTTTTTTGAGATGAAGTCTCTGTTGCCCAGGCTGTAGTACAGTGGCGTAACCTCTGCTCACTGCCAACTTCTACCTCCCGGATTCAAGTGATTCTCCTGCCTCAGCCTCCCAAGTATCTGGGATTACAGGCGCCCGCCACCATGCCTGGCTAATTCTTATGTTTTTCGTAGAGACAGGGTTTCACCATGCTGGCCAGGCTGGTCTTAGACTCCTGACCTCAAGTGATCTGCCCACCTCGGCCTCCCAAAGTGCTGGGATTATAGGTGTGAGCCACTGCACCCCGCTGGAATTTCTTTCTTCATTTAAGAACAGATTCCTACTCAATATAACCCTTAGGCTCAAAACAGAAAAAAAAACAAAACAAAACACAGAACAGATTCCTAGATTAGTATTTGTAATGTGAAATCTCATTGTTGGGTCAAAATCATGATATAAAAGAATACTGATCTAAACTTAGACCCTTCATAACATGACAATGAAATATTAAGTATTTCACAAAATCTAGGACATCTGCACAATAAATGATTTACCATTTGGGAGCTTATTTAAATCACTGACTAAATAGTCTTAGGACCAAAACAACTATAATTTCTTTACTGAAAGATATCAAAGTAAGTCTAAAGAATTCTTAAAATCAAAGTACAAATTTCTTTTAAACATATTTATTTTAAATTTTGATCTATGAGTTACGATTTTAATTTTTCACATTTCACCAGAAATCCTTAAATGCTGTCTCCCTACACCTAATTTATAACGAAATGTTAAAATCAGTAAAGTCTGTTGTAAGAATATAAATCATTTAAAAACAAAGCTGAAAGCGAAAGTTGTGCTGATGCAATTACCTCAAAGGCATCTTCAATGCCATCTTCAGTAACTCCCTCATGTGTTTCCTGTGCAGCCAAGACTTTTTCTGACAGATACTTAAGGATAAAAAATGATTCCTCAGTAGCAATACAGACTAGCTCTCCAGAGTCAGACCAGAAAATCTGCAACACAACAAAATCATAGACAACTGATTTGGATTTCTGAGTGGATATGACAAACTGCACATACTTGGTTTCTTACAACATTTACCTTCTTATATCAAGATGATAAGTATTCACTTAACAATTTTATGTGGCATTATTTGGGAGGGTGGCCAGCTATTATGTGGCTATGCTATTTAGCCTAGCAATGGAAAGACCAAAGGGAGACAGGAAAGGAGAGCTGTCAGTAAACACTGAATGTGCTACACAGAGGACCAGTAGCCTATTCCCTCTTGCTCTAGAACAGTGTTTATCACCTTTTTTATTTTTTTCATTTTCACCCACCCTCCCTAGAAGTCTTTCTGGACATTTTTCTAATCACCTCCCCCAATGAAATTTTAATACCACAGATATACATATATAATGCATATACATATGTATAGCTATGCTTTATTCATAAAGAGTAAGCCCCCAAGTCAATGTTTACACCCACTGAGGATGCGTGCTCTAGAACCAGACCCCAGAAAAGCTGGTTTGTTTCCAAAGATAATCTCCTGACAGTGAAAACTGTCAAAGCAGCGGGCAGTTCTAAAGGTAAACACTTTGTCACTGGAGATGGTCACCTCAAGTTCAAGCAGCTATCATCAAAATGTATGAAAAGGTTTTCTGAACTATGTGGAAGAAGGCATTTCCAAGTCAAGAATTCTCTGACTTCTTGTTCTCAAAGCATGCTTTTTTCCTGTCAAAATGGCACTGCCACTTACCTCCAATTGCTCAGAAAATCAGGATTGTTGTATCCTAATGAGGCCGTAGACAATGTGTATTTCAAAAGTATAAGAAGTTATTTAAATTCTAAGTGCTGTTTTATATTTTAAATGGCTTTTGATAATCGAAGAGGGAGAGCAGGGTACAAAAGACACTTCTTGGCCTTAGGGACCCAGAACTCATCACAAAAATAAATATTCCAAAAACAACAATGGAGGGGAAACTCACATGTTTGGGCTGAATTTCAATTCTTCGTATGAGTTCTGTATTGTCCCAGTCATAGAAGGCTAAGCCATTTACAGATCTGACTCCCAATAAGAAGCCGCCGTAGATACCTAAAGGGAACATAAAAAGAGTTTTGCTTAGGCATTTTTGAGCCATTACAAAGAATTTAAAAATGTATCATATGTAGATCACACTCACTTTCTGCTCCAAAATCTGGTTTAAATGATTTTTTTTCCTTAAAGTTCTTAAATATCTTTACAATGCTGTTGCTCTCTCTTATTGCATACCTGGGAGAAAAAAGGGAAGGCAAACATAACATGTTATATACTAAATCATAGTTCTACCAAATGTTGGAAATATCTTCAAATATTTTTCAGTAATTATGCAAAAATATAAAATAAATATTTGAAGATTATCTGATGTACTGTTTTCCTAAGAGATCAGAGAACTCCTTACAGTTGGACAAATGATGAAAGGGTTTTATACTGTGTATGACATGAATTACTAGGGCTTACAAACCACTTTAGAAACTGAAAATGACCCAAATGTCCACAATAGGTGAATGATTAAACAAATTATCGTATATTCATATAATGGAATGCTACTCTGCAAATAAAGAAACCAATTACTGATCCAGGCAAGAATATGGATGAATCTCAAAAACATTATACTGAACAAAAGATGCTGGACTCAAGAGTACATACTGTATGATTCCATTTATATGAAACTCCAAAGACAACTCTAATCTATATAGTGACAAAAGGCACTCATCAGTGTTTGCCTGGGACTGGGGAATGGGTGGATGGGGGGTATGGACAGACTGTTAATGGAGACAAGGGGATTTTGCGGGGATGATAGAAATGTTCTATAATTTGATTGTGTTAGTAGTTACGGATTACATACATTTGCCCAAATCTACTGACATGAACAGTAGTCCTCCCTTATCCATGGGGGATACGTTCTAAGCCCCAATGGATGCCTGAAACCTCAGATAGTACTGAACCCTATATACACTATGTTTTTTCCTATAATGTAAGAGGTGGGCAGCATATACAATGTGGATATGCTAGACAAAGCGATGATTCACGTCCCAGGTAGGATGGCTCAAGATTTCACCATGCAACTCAGAACACTGGGCAATTTAAAACTTATGAGTTGTTTATTTCTGGACTTTTCCACTTAATATTTTTGGAACACAGTTGACTGTGGGTAACTAAAACTGCAGGAAGGGAAACCACAGATCGGGGGATCGCTGTACAATTAAGTGGTACATTCTGTCTTCTGTAAATTATACCTCAATAAGGGCGATTTAAATAATAAAAACTGTGACAAATGGTTCATTAATCAGCCATCATCAGCAACAACTGCTTATATTCAGGCCTCTGCCTTGAAAAAAGGAGCTGTGGCTATCACTGGATATTTAAGATTGTCTGAGGAAGTGATGTGATGAGGGCTTTGCTCAGGACAGGAAAGATGCTGAGCAAGGTCTTGGCTGGATAGAGCTGAAAAAAAGGACTATCAAAATAGAGGAAGAGGTGTGCTGAGAGAAGGCAATTCATCAACTATAATTTTGCTTAAGATAACACATTACCTTTGAATACATAGAACTGTATGTATATGTGTATTTAGGAAATTTATGAAAATATCAGAACAATTCCATACCTCTCAATAAATCTTACTGTTGTAACATTTTAAAAAATGTATCTTATTACACAACGCTGAGGCTTAAGTTACCCCACTGTTGGGGGCAAGATGCAACATAAAATGTGGGGCAAACAAAACTAAAAAAACTGTGAAAATGTAATTCAGTTGTGTGGTCTGAAAACACTAAACCCCTAATGTTTATTACGTGCATTAAACAGGAATCAAAAAGGAACCAGAGCCAATGACTAGTAAAAAAGTCAGAGTTAAATGATCTTTCCTGCTTTTAATGAGAACATTTTATGAACATTCTGAATTCAGACAGAAATTTGTTAAGAATGGGCAGTGGGTACTATCACAGAAAATAAGTTTTAAAAAAGATTTAATAAATTTCTCATCAAAATGATCAAACCACAACATCACTCCCAAGTAGCTCATAAAGGGGCAGTAGCACCTCAGGACACTACATCACAGGGAGGGCATGCCAAGGCCTGCCAAGGCAGACATGAGGGTCTACTGTGCCTTAAGCCCATAAAGCACCAGGTCCTGCCATGGGCTCCATCAAAGAAATGGGTGCTGGGTCCCCAGTTAAATGGAATTATTGTATCAGCTTGAGTGAGCCAGCCTAACGCAGAACAAAGAAAGCACTAAGACGGCTCATGCTATACACTCGCCTCTGACTCTCATCTTCCAATGGACAGCTCTGGTGAGAACTGTTTTTTAACACGGAGAATCACAGCCCACATCAAGCCTTGAGAGTCTTCAAGCAGCACACAACACATCTGCAATCAGGGCATGCTGGCTATCATACAATCAAAACTTACTCTGAAGAATCGTGGGCCCATGCAAACTCCTGAGCAGATCCAAAGCTCTTGTTTCTCAATGCCATTGCTGTGTAGATGATATACTCCCCATCACCACACACCACCACAAACCTAGAAATCACAGAAGCCAGGGAGGGAAGTACAGAGGACCAAAGACATGTAGAAGTTAAGGAACAATAATTCATGTTATGGTAAAAGAATTCTAATAACAAATGTTATTTAGTTCATTATTACAATTTAACATCTTTTAAAAGTTATACATTTCTTTGAATACAAAGTTACAAAAAAAATTCTAGCCAACAAATTGAAAAGGAAATTATGAATATGGCATTACTGCTGAAATGTTATTGGAATGGTCTTCTCATAAATAAAGGCAACTGGAGGCAGGAAGGTGAGAATGGCTGGAAATGCAAAGGAGGAGGATTCCAATTATTCAACCAGTATTTGTTGAGCACCAAGATGCCTAGAACTTTGCTCATGACATTTATACCACAGGAAGGCACTATATTATTACAAAGACTATCTTCATTTTAAAGCTGATCATTCAAATGAATAAAAATATCTCACTCCAGGTTTTAAAGACTTAAATTCAGCAAAATACAGAGGATATTTTAACATTTAAATAATGAGAAAACAGAATGCTGCAGAGTCAACGAAAATTTTCCCAATGGACATAAGACAACTATCTTTAAAGTTGTTTATAACACTGTAAAGGCTGGTATCAAAAGACTGCCAAAGGCAAAACTTACAGCCAAGAATGTTTTACGATATTAAGGGAAATATGCATAATGCATTCTTAACCTTTATAAGACAATTATATTACAAATAATTATGGATACCATTTACTGAACTAGGCGGCATACTTGGTTTATATCTTTTGTCTTTTTCAATACTCAGCACAGCATTATAAGATGCCCAGACCTGCTGTAAAATAATTTTAAAGCTCCACAGGTTTAGACTTCACTGTGCTAGAAACTCCTCTCTCACAAGATGTTTGGTGACTTACAAATCTTAAGGGAGAAATTCAACTGACAGTTCGAATTACAAATAAGAAACAGAATTATTATCAATCCCAAAACTTTTTCAAAAGACACATATCTCAGAGTCAGGTTTTCTTCTTGAAAGAGCAATGAGTCAGCAAGCATTTAGAGAGGGCACCTACTAAGTCTCAGCATAAGACATACTCCTTGCCCTCAAAGGAGCACACAAAAACACAAACTCAATGCATGCGAAATAACAGGAAACTACTATTTAACTATTCAAAATTGTGTGGTATAGAACAAGTCCAGATGGGAAACATGCTCCATCTTTTGTGCCAACTTGATCAAGTGGCATGGCTGACTGCAGCTGTGTTGAGGATTGTGAGGCCAGGGCAAAAGCACATTGAGGAATGATTAGAGATGCCAACCACAGGGCAAGAGTGGACTGTGGATCTGCAAACCTGTTCTAACATACACAGAAGCTGAGGGACAATTTTGGTGATGGCTTACCGCCCATTAGGATTGTGCTGAATAGTCTGAGGGTATATTTCACAACTGCCCATATCCTTTACTGCCAGTGGCAATCTTTCACCATCTTTAATTTCAGCATCTCCCATTGCTTTTAGGTTGGCCTGCTGGACTTCTGAATGCTTGGCCCAAATTATCTTTCCATTGGCATCCATGGACATGGCAGGTTCCTCCCGACCAAGCTGAAAGAAAGAAAAATAGCTCTCAGCAATGAAAAGGAAAATGAATAAAACCAAAACAAAACAGATTATTTTTTTCACCTAACAGAGAGCTCCATTTCCTTTCTTCCACTTTAAATCTTCATTGCTTAATGTCTAGTGCTTAATGAAAGAAGTGCCAGTTTTATAAAACTGGTTACTTGGAAGATGACAGTACTAAAATACAAAGAAAATGGTTTTGCCTATGTCCACCTACTGAGAGGGATAGTATAATTACCTTAACAATGATGCTCCCTTCATCATAGCCCAAAGCGACATTGTTTGACCCTCTTAGACTGGCCACGCACCATACCCTCTCCATTCCATAATTCAGTGTGCTCTCAAGCCGGTAGGTGCTTGAATGCCAAATACGTACTGTTCCTAAAAAGAACAATGTAAATACTCCCTTTTGATACAAACATCCGACAATAAACTGTGTCAGGTGAAAGAGACCCATAGAAGTCTTTCTATTCAAACAGATAACACTTCCTGGCAGCTTAATGACCAATTTTTTGACCTACTGTCTTTAAATGATTTTTAAAAGCAACATAAACATAACACATAACATATAAGAAACAAAAACTAAGAATTACGATTTTAAACATGAAATAATAACAGGATTTCCTGGGTAAAGTGTTTCCTATGTGCCAGATGCTTTCTACCCACAATTTCTTCTCACTATAATTTTATGAAGCAGATATATATGTTTCCATTTCATAATTTGCCCAAACACACATTCATGACATAACAGAGCCTGATTTTGAACCCAGGTTTGTTTGACTCCAAAGCACATGCTTTTTCAGTTTCTCTTTAGGACAGCTGACGGTCCTCTTATTTAAGTGACAGAATCAAAATACATGAGAATGATGACGATGATGATGATGATGATGATGATGATGATGAAAATAATGCCCCTTTACTCTTTTATAGCTTAAGTCTGGTACTTTAATAAAAATATCAAAATCCTTGGAAACCTACAATTATAATGCAGAGACATTACTTGCTTTAAATGCCCACTGAGTAGTTACTAGCACAGGAATAAACATACCCTTCTAACTTACCATCTTCTGAACCTGTGATAATGATTGGCAACTCAGGATGAAAGCTGGCACAAGACACATTTTGGGCATGTCCTTCCAGTGTCTGCACACATGTTTTATTCTGTAATTAAGACATAGAAAACATGTTTTATTAATGAAAAACATGTAACCAGCCCGCCCTTAATTTTCTCAGTGTACAGATACATTATAAATGATAGTAGTCATGAAAATCTAAATAATATCCAATATAGAAATTTTTGAAATAGGATGATCTTGTTGTATATATGAATATTTTATCTAATTACTTTGTAAAATAAATGTAAATGTAACTATCACATTTAAAGAAGGGGAAAAAAACCCAAGAAGGCTTTTGTCTGAATATTATTCCCCCAAATTCTCAGGATAATAGATTTCCCCCTTAAAACTCACACCTACCATCACTGGCTAAGTAGACAGTGCTGCTTTAGCCTTTAATATTTTTATTCTGGATTTAAGTACAAATCTGAAAATGTTTCAAGGAAAAACTGACTTTCTAGACCTCATTTTATTAATTGCTTATGGGAACTTTTGATGTGGAAAACAAAAATATCAAAATATAAGAAAATCTTAGAGATAGGAAGCATGTTAACAAGAATTCATAACTAGGTTTACAAGAGTACGATTTGGCAAAATGGTTGGTAATTGTTGATCTGCTAGCTTACAAAAATGAATAGAAGTCTATCAATGAAGATTATGGAGGATAATTCAACATTAAAATGTTAAAATTTCTAAATGCAATTATGAAATGAAATATGAACATGTTGGTATTTTATTTTTAAAATCTTGATATGCATTGTTTTCATTTTTATGGAGAATTCTGGGAACACAGTTTAGGTGCAAATACTGATACCTTAAGTTATTATGCTGTGAACAGTTTTCAACAACCCAAGTCTTAACTGTCCTATAAGAAATAGTAAGAAACATATCTAACATATGGAAGTAAGGTTATGAAAAACTGTACCTGATAATCCCATATTTTAACAAGACGGTCATCTGCACCTGAAATGAGGTATGGCTTGTCCCCACCACTGTAGTAATCAATGCAATTCACGCCTTTCTCATGTCCTTCCAAAGTGAAGTTTGGTGACGAAGAGCCCAACTGCCACACCTGCAGAGAGAAACAGCATCGGCCAGTCAATATGGGGCCTTGCTTTACAAAAGGCAAATCCACCATATTTCTGACACATTATGTAAAATGCCAAAGCCCAGGAGAGAAGAGCTATCAAATTTTATTTTTTATCCTGTTTGGTTTTTGTTCTTTCTCATTTTACTTGAATTTTCAGGGAGCAAAATCACTATGGCGTTCTTTAAAAGAAGTGCCAATTTCCAGGCTTTATCTCTAGAGATTATAAGTCAGTCAATCCACAGTGACGCCCAGGAATCTAGATGTTATGAAATTATTTTATTATAGATTTAATATACAGCTCATGAAAGTAGATTTAGTAAGATATATTAAAAGTTGCTGGGTGTGGTGGCTCACACCTGTAATCCCAGCACTTTAGGAGGCCGAGATGGAAGTTATCACTTGAGCCCAAGAGCTCAAGACCAACCTGGACAACACAGCAAGACCTTGTCTCTACAAAAAAGTAAAAAGTAAAAAATTAGCTGGGCATGAAGGCACACGCATGTAGTCCTAACAACTCAGGAGGCTGAGGCAGGAGGATCGCTTTAGCCCAGAAGTTTGAGGTTACAGTGAGCTGTGATCATGCCACTGCACTCCAGCCTAGGCAACACAGACCGTAACTCAAAAATACATAAATAAATAAATAAAAATAAAGGCCTATTAAAAGGAGAAAATTACTGCCTAATTACCAATTTAAAGTGTAGAAAATTGTTAAAAATTACCACAGCACAGAATTAAGCTTTATCTTTACAAATATTTATTGAGTGCCTATTATATGGGAGGCCCTGTGGGGAGTATAAACGTGTAACAAATGTTTATCAATTACTGTATAAAATAAACTTTATTGGAACTGAAGATAAGACAATTATTGTTCTCAAGATAAACCTAAATTAGTAAAAATAAAAGTTTACAACTAATTTCAAAGTTAATCTATGTCAAAAGCAAGGATAATCCAATCAAAGGCAAAATAGCTAAGGTTAAAACCCTAAGATATTCAGACACATAACATTTTACATAAAGGAAAACTACTAACAGTGTTTTATATAGGTGAAAGCAAACATGTAAGCAAAAGTTAATTTATTTTAAGTCAATGCATATGGAAATATTTTAATTAATTAATTAATTTATTTATTTATTTGAGATGGAGTCTCGCTCTGTCCCCCAAGTTGGAGCGCAGTGGCGCAATCTCGGCTCACTGCAAGCTCTGCCTCCCAGGTTCATGCCATTCTCCTGCCTCAGCCTCCCGAGTAGATGGGGCTACAGGCGCCTGCCACCACACCCAGCTAATTTTTTGTATTTTTAGTAGAGACGGGGTTTCACCGTGTTAGCCAGGATGGTCTCGATCTCCTGACCTTGTGATCCACCTGCCTCGGTCTCCCAAAGTGCTGGGATTACAGGCGTGAGCCACCGTGCCTGGCATGGAAATATTTTAAATATTATGATAAAAAAAAGAAGCATGATTGCCCTCACTGCAACATGTATTAAGCATCTAGGTCAGGTAAGGCACTTTGCTGTTTGCTATTGAATGGCTGGGGAAAGGGAGTGACACAGTTTCTATCCCCCAAATCCAGTATTTCAGGGGATAAAGATTTCCAAAAACGTGTAATAATAATTCAATCTGAGAAAGGCTGAAACAGAGGCAAAAAGCAATGGAAGAAATGGGATAAGCATAACTGGCTCTGTCTAGAGGTGAAGTTGATGTCTGACAAGAGGTTCTCAAGAGTAAATATTTGTGCTAAACCTTAAAAGCTGAGTAATTCTCCGGAGGAAAATATATCAAAATAGGAAAATAAAGAGAAGTGCAGGAAGATGGAACAGTTCAATGAAGTAAGGTTTTGTGAACATTCATAGCCTCTCTAGAGGATGGTGAGTAGACCAGGGTTTTAGGAGATGTCGCATAATATTAGCCCAGGCTAGTCCTGGAAATCCTTGTATTCCACACTAAGGCATTTGGACTTTATCCTTAGATCAGGAACTGTTTCAGAAAGATAACAGACAGCAGTGTGGTAAAATGGAGTAAGAAAGAGAGAATAGAGGCATATGGAATTTAAATGTAAAATAGATAAACGATGAGCAGAAGTCAACAATGAATACTAAAAGGAGAGGACAGTAGTATCCTAAAAAGATATTGGCATTTTTCTTATTCTGGGTTTCCAAAGGCTAAAAAATTTTTATAACATGCTGCCTCCACACAGAAAAACGCTCCTCATTAAGAGCACTGAGTTGCCACAATATTTTTCTAAACAGAACATGTCGTTTGGATTAAAATGAGAAATCCTATTTTGACTTCAAAACAGGCTTTTGAGGAAAATTTTTAAGATGGGTACATTTCTGACCAGTCAACAGTAAAACACCTAAGGCAAGTATAGTTCACTAATAATGATAACTGACACAAAATGTGGATGCCCTACCTTGATAGTCCTGTCCAAAGAGGCACTGGCAAACTGATTGTTATCTTTGGGGTTGATCACAATCTGCATAACATAATGGGTGTGTCCTTCAAACACTTGTGAGCAAGACCATTTTTTATCCCAGTCCCAGAGCTTAATAAGCATGTCATCTAGGCCAAAAGAAAGTCTCAAGTTAGTTGTAATTCTATTTTTTCACTTCATAACTAAGACACAGTCTTTAGAAGAAGCAAACCTAACACAAACCATATAATCCATGACTTACAGAAATAGAATCAAAACCAAATAGAGTTTTCAAAATGCTTATTTATCTTAAAAATAAATTTAACTCTCTACAGAAAAGTGGAGATAAAATAAATAAAATAGATTAGAAATAGAAAATATAAAAATTCTGTGAAAAAACTTAAAAATTCAGTGGGCATTAAAGAATGGCCAAAGAGTAATATAAGTTTGACTAGATCTAAGCATGACTGAATAGTGATAGCAATGACTATGTAGAGAACAAGCATTTGCCCTCACAAGATTGGTTTTTAAAAAGTTTTTAATTACTTCTCAATTTTTAATTTAAAAACATTTCAAAGAGCTATTACTAATTCAGTGCTACCTCTTTTTCCAGTCCTCCAAGAGGTCTACTATTTATACACAATACCAAGGAGCAAACTAGTTTGAATATAAAGATTGAACTGAATAGGGTCTATGGCAATCTGCCAAAAACTCACTCATCAACATGTAAATGACCTTTCTGTTCAGCAGATGTTTAAACATCTAGACTTGTAGGTCTTCTCTGACAGGAACTGGAGCAATCATTACACAAATCCTAAGTACAGTTGATATTTCATTATAGTACAAACACAAGCAGCATCAATAGCACAGTAATGGATCTAAATAGTTTAAAGGCCGCTTGGAATTAGAATTATATTTGTAACAGCAGTTAAAGCATAGCATGTCTCAGTGAATGAAAATGAATTACCCAAAGAGACGCACATGACCAAAAAAGGTCATCTCTTACCACTGCTAGTTAGAATGAAAGGCTGGGTTGGATGAACAGCAATACAGCGAATGTAGTCTGAGTGTGCTTCAAACATATGAACTCTCTCCAGAGTATTGTAATTGAACACTCTAATCTGCATGTCATCCTAGAAACAGAAATTTTAAAACCATCATCCCTGTTATCAAGTAAATTATACAAAAAAACTATATCACAGGCTCAAGGAATAAAGTCTATGCCTCAAAACATTGCTGTAAATAACAAAACAAATCGGGAATCAAAATCCTGCAACAAATTTACACAATCATTGACCAATTCAGAAAATGGGAATAGAGATTCATATTAATTACTTACCGCTCCTGTCACAACCCAATTCTTCCTTGCAACAAACTTTGCAGCTCGAACAGGAAGATCACATACTTCAAATGTCTTCACCAGTGTCTTTAAAATGTAACAAGAATACACAAATTGAGCTATAAGAAAATAACCACAAAATCTACTCTGTTATATTTCAAACATCCAATTTTTAAGATCACTTCTCATTTTAGTATATTCTCAGGCTAAAATATAAAAGCTCAACATTCAAATTTTTAAAAAAGACCAACTATCTTTTAATAGATTCGAAATTAAAACACTTTTTAAAAGATAAGAGAAGGCAAATATCCACAAGATGGTATTCCAGATCCTCTGTGCTCCAGCCCTTCCCTCCCTTTTCCAGCCTCACCTTTGGCTACTCCCAGCCTCACCTCTGCTCTTGTTGTCTCTGACTTGAAAATCCACCCATGGAAACTTGTACTTCCCTTTCATAATGTAGCACCTCATAATTATGTTTAGTGCCAATCTTTCCTGCTAAGCTCTCCAAAGGCAGGAATATTTTTCACACTGTATAGGCAGAGGATAGAACAGTGGCTGGCACACAAGTAGTGTGTAATAAATATTTGTTGAATGAATTAGCTCTTAGTTTCTTTTTTTCTTTTCTTTTTTTTTTTTTTTTTTTTTTTGAGACAGTCTTACTCTGTCACCCAGGCTGAAGTGCAGTACAGTGGCACAATCTTGGCTCACTGCGACCTCCGCCTCCCAGGTTCAAGTGATTCTCATGCTTCAGTTACCCAAGTAGCTGGGATTACAGGTGTGCACCACCATGCCAAGCAAATTTTTGTATTTTTCGTACAGACGGGGTTTCACCATGTTGGCCAGGGTAGTCTCGAACTCCTGGCCTCAAGTGATCCACCCGTCTCAGCCTCCCAAGTGCTGGGATTACAGGCGTGAGCCACTGCACCTAGTCAGTCTTTTTGAAATTGAAACCCATAAAAGTGACTCATGAATAAGGTACAATTCTTTTGCATGCTTTAGCAATATGATTCCATACAAATGTTATTATTTCTTTTTAATAAAATATGAAAACACCGTGACTTATATGTTCCTCCGAGCTGCTCAGAATGGAATTATACACATAGGATAAAGGTAGAGACCCTCCTAGAAAGAGCAGAGATCATGGTACCTCTTTGTTCTCCTTCTTTGATGCCTGTTCTTAAAAGTCTGAAAGTCAAACTATCATTTTCTAATCCTTTTTTGTATCAGAGAGCAAAAATGAAATAACTAAGAAACACAATATAATCTTACTGATTGATTAACCATGTGCACTAAAAAAGTAATAGGGACCGGTTCATAAGAACTGTCCTACTCTGACTTTTCAAGCCAGAGTTCAAAGATTCTTTAGACAAAGGCTGAATGAGTAGGCACTTCAACTCTAACCTGTAGAATCACTACCAGCTGACTATGATACAGAAACTGAGAGTAGACACAACATGCGATCTATAACACGGCAGAAAAATCCACAAAAGCTCATGAGGAGCCAACAAATCCAGGGATCTGCTGAGCAGTAAAAATAAAGCAGCTGCAGAAGAAATAGCCAAGGTTCAACGCCATGTTAGGGGCTATGACTGATGCAAATAAAGAGTAAGAAAAGCTACACACACAATACATACAAATACTCAACGTAGATTAGGAAAGTATAACTAATGACTAATACTTATATGGTACTTTATAGGTTTCATACACAATTTTATCTAATTTTATTTTATCTTTTTGACAATCCTGTGATGTAGGCAAGGCAATAATATCATCTTCACTTCAGATAAATAAAGAGGCTCAGCATGGTTAAAAGGCTTGCCTATATAATTTAATCAGCAAGTTGGCTTCAAATCCTAAAATACTATGTTTTTTAAACCACTGCATGTACCACCTCAAAGAATATATAGCATCTCCTTATTTGAAATTCAAGTACATCTAAAAACCTTTTTACTTCCAAAAACCTTTTTGGCTCTCTCAAGAATTTGCTCTCAATATAGGAGTGGTAAATGCTGTTGGTGATATAAACACAGGGAAAAAACAGGGAGAATCAAAGACAGATTAATCATTCAACAAAGACTTACTATCTACCAGGAGCCTGACAGTGTATCAGGTAGTGCCTCATGCACTGGACCAACAGTGGGAAATAAGATGAGGGTAATCCTTGTCCTCACAGAACCTCCATTCTTAGAGGAAAGAAGGAAATTAAACATGAAATTACCACTGAGATGAATTATGAAAGGGGAAGCAGATGGTCCTGTCATAGGGCAGAAAAAGGTATAGAAGAGAAAAAGGAGGCAAAGTGGAAATGCAGATAAAGCAGAGATATATTACAATAAAGCCTAGAGAAAGATAAGAAAAGTACGCCTGGGCTTTAGAACATACGATGATCAAGTGATAGAGCTGAGATAGGTAAATGTAGCTGATAAGAGGGAATCCCTAGGAATAATCAGAGAGAGAGGACACCAACGTATCTGTTAAACATAAAATCAGAAATATTTTAAACATCTCAAGAACTAAACAAAAAGCAAAAAAAAAAAGTTATTTGCATCAAAGCAAAAACAATTCACAAGATAAAGATCTGAAATTGTAGAGAACACAAATACTGAACTAGTGATAAGTGAAATGCATATTATTCATTGGTTGAACAAATAATTATTGAGCATTTACTATGTGCCAGGTAATGTTATAGGTACTGAGATACAGCAGAAAACAAAATGTTAATTTATATAAAATGTCACTGATGGACTATGATATGGTTTGGATTTGTATCCCCACCCAAATCTCATGTCAAATTGGAGGAGGACCCTGGTGGGAGGTGATTGGATCATGGGGGTGGATTTCCCCCTTGCCGTTCTCGTGATAGTGACTTCTCATGAGATCTGATGGTTTAAAAGTGTGTGGCACTTCCCACTTTGCTCTCTCTCTCCTGCCATCATGTGAAGAAGGTGCTTGCTTCCCCTTCACCTGCTGCCAAAATTTTAAGTTTCCTGAGGCCTCCCAGTCATGCTTCCTGTTAAGCCTGTGGAACTGTGAGTCAATTAAACCTCTTTCCTTCATAAATTACCCAGTCTCAGGTAGTTCTTTACAGCAGTGTGAGAACAGACTAATACAGGGTATGAGTTTAGTGTACAGTCATTTCTGTTTCATTACAGTGAGTATAAAAGTATAAAGGTGTTTTTAGGTTTACTTCTGGCTTTGGTTCCTTGATGTCATTTTGCCATTTTAAATTCCTCAAATGCGAATTTTACCTGGATTTCAAGAACTTAACTTTGGACGTTAAGGATAATTACTATATAAGTAGACACAACTGTATAGTATAGTGCTAACTATATGCTTTGTACTCTTAAATACAGTCTAGGAAGACTGGAAAATATGAGACAAACTAATTTGAAGGATATGTTATTTACTCAGGTGAAAGAGAATGAGTCAAGCATTCAGGCAGACAATCTGTAAGATGTGTGTATAATCAAAAGCTGACTATAAATATTTCCCTGATATAATCTATATGGCTGAGTGAAAGATTTATCTGTGTATCATTATATTGGGCATCTGGGAGAAAAATAAATTTAACGATATCATTCTTAAGATAGAGTATTCACTGAATGGAAAACTAACGATTAAATACTTTAGCAAGTGATTCTATAATACCATCAGTTTTCTCAATTTCAAAAAAGAGCTAATACTACCTAAGTCAGAGTTGTTATATTTAAATATTGTATATAACATACCCAGGACAGTTTCTCCTACAAACTATCCCCTCATAAATGTTAGTTCCTTCATATTTAAAATACTTTGTACCAACTTGAGAAAGCAGTTTGCATATAGATTCTGGATTCTGTTATAATATTTCTTCTCTTTCATTATAAACACAGTCTCACATAGTATTTTATTTCTAATACAGTCCTGAAAAATTCCTACCTGTGTTTCATGATTCCAAACACACACACTGCCATTGTAAAGACTTGCCAACATCCATGGCTCTGTAGGATGCAGATCCACACTCTTAACTCGATCAGATCTAGCAGTTAGCTTTCTTTTGATATCAAGTCGCAGAGGCTAAAAAGAAACATTAAAAAAATTAAATTGCTAAGCCAAATAAAATATGTTTGAGATTTTAACTAAATAAGTGCATGAATAGGCCTACAAAACAATTCAGCTACTACTTTGCTAAGCTTTTGAAACAGTTTCAAGTCTAAGCACTTATTTCTTCATTTACACATCAAAAAAATCAGAATATTCAACATTTTAAGATTTACAGCAGTGGTCTTCAAGCTTTTTGCTCTAAGGATTCCTTTATAGTCCTTAAACACTTTGAGGACCCCTAAGAGCTTTTGTTTATGTGAGTTTTAGCTATTGGCATGTTACCATGTTAAAAATTAAACCTGAGACAACTTTAAAATATTTATATATTAATTCATTTTCAAATAACAAAAATAAATCCAGTACATGTTAATTAAAATAACATGTTTTTATGAAAAATAACTATGTTTTCAAAAAATTTAGTGAAAAGAGTGGCAATATTTTACATTTTTGCAGAACTCTTTATAATCTGACTTAACAGAAGACAGATGGTTTCTCATTATCTGCTTCTGCCTTCAATATGTTGTGATATGTTGTTTTGGTTAATGTCTACAAAATAATGCCTGGTCTCACAGATACCTAGTTGGAAAGTGAGGAGTATCTTAATAGTTTTTTCATTACTTGAAATTCTTCGAAATTCGAGAAGTGGTAGTTTCTTAAAGGCTACTTGCAAGGTAAAATCTGAAACCGTATCAATAAGCTGTTTATACTTCGTTACATTAAAATCCATTGGTTAAGTCCATACTTTGAATGGATCTTTCTCTCATGCATGTTTTTCTACCATTAAGCATTGGTCGTTTGGAAAATGCTGGTCCACTGAATTATGCACATCTTCTAGATGCTAACAACATCATGATACTGTATTAAAAAAATTACACATTCACTAATTTCACCACCTACTTCAACTGATAAGCCTTTAAGCATTGGAAATCCATCAAGTTCAGTGAGTTTTTCAAAATTCGAACTTTCACTTGAAAGCTTTAATTTTATCATTGGCAAGAAATACTGTCAGGGACCAGCCAACCTCTTTCAGGTTTTTAAAAAATGTCGACCAAATATTCAAGTCTGAATAAGCAGAGTTTCTCAGTCATTGTTTCAAGTAAAGCTCACAACTTAAAAACGCTACAAGTGTTTCCCCTTGAGACAACTACGATACTTCGGTATGCAGTAGAACTGCTTTATGCATACTCCCCATTTCACCACACAGAATTTAAAAGATGCATACTCAAGTGTGGAGAGGTAATAACATTTTTACTGTTTCATCAATGACATTCTTAAGTGAAAATGACTTTTTAAAAAACTGTCACAATGAAGAATATACTAACAGTACAATTTGGTGTCACTTCACTAGCAGTTTTACCTTCCACTACTTTTACACCATCAGTGCAAATATCAACATTGTGAAAGGTGCCAATAGCGTCTCACTGTTAAGAAAATAATTTTAATTTGTGGACCTCCTGAAAGAGTTTTAGGGACTCTTAAGGAATCGCAGACCACATTTTGAGAACCTCTAGTTCATAGAATTATCTAGTAAATAAATTTACTTTTTTTCTTTTTGAGACGAAGTCTCGCTCTGTCGTCCAGGCTGGAGTGCAGTGGCGAAGTCTCGCTCTGTCGTCCAGGCTGGAGTGCAGTGGCGCTGATCTCTGCTCACTGAAACCTCTGCTTCCCGGGTTCAAGCGATTCTCCTGCCTCAGCCTCCCAAGTAGCTGGGACTACAGGCGCATGCTACCATGCCCAGCTAATTTTTTGTATTTTCAGTAGAGACAGGGTTTCACCGTGTTAGCCAGGATGGTTTCGATCTCCTGACCTTGTGATCCGCCCGCCTCGGCCTCCCAAAGTGCTAGGATTACAGGCGTGAACCCCCGCACCCGGCCAATGAATTTTAAATATTCACAAATCACAATTTTGTGCCCAGGTCAATAGTGTCATATCAGGAAATATTCTGAAGAAGTGTTATTCATGAAGTCCTAGTAACCATAAAGCATAATATTGAGTTCTTTGGAGAAAAATGGTAGATTTATCTTGTCAAAAATACTAGTAAATGCTAGGTAACATAATGTGTGATCAATAAGGGTTATATCCCTATGCATGATGGCCTTTGGTATCAAATGGGAATGTCTGAAATATTTTAATGGATTTAAATTACAGAAACAATGAAAATTGGAAAAATTTAAAACAAAAATAAAAACATTCTCTCAAGTCAGAAAATATGAATAGTTTATACTAGCATTTTCAAGCCAAATTCTTCCTTTGAATTACAGAACAGATAATTATTTGAATAACTATTTTCTCCATTCTCCAAAAAATGCCATTATAGGAGAAAAGTTAATTCAATATATACAATGATCCTTAGGGCAGTGGGCTTAATTCTCTCTAGGAGGCATGCTGAGAAAAGACTGATTTAAAATATATTTCCCCTTCAACAGGTCTTAAACACAACCTAAAAGCTCATTTGGCAAGTTGAGTTACTGTCAAATCTTTATTGCTGTGATCTTCTATGATGATCATGAATGGGACAGAAATTTAAGGTTACTTTTGAATATAAAAAGAAGATCTAGCAGAGACAACTTCCTGAGACAAAACACCTCACAATGCTTTTACTCATCTTTTTTGGGGATTTTTATCAAATTTGGGTCATTGACTACTTCAAGTCTTGTTCTACCCACGCCTCCTTCATTTTCAGCAACAACCTTTACCTCTTACTTTAAAAGATCAGAGTTCTCTGGCTCTTCTCTTCAATCTCCTCAAAAATGTTTTCACTGTCATCAGTCCCTTCCTCTCTCCAATTTTCTACTTTCTTGTTTTTTTTTTTGAGACAGAGTCTTGCTCTGTCGCCCAGACTGGAGGGCAGTGGCGTGATCTCGGCTCACTGCAACCTCCACCTCCCAGGTTCAAGGGATTCTGCCTCAGCCTCCCGAGTAGCTGGGGACTACAGGTGCCTGCCACCATGTCCAGCTAATTTTTGTATTTTTAGAGACAGGGTTTCACCATATTGGCCAGGCTGGTCTCGAACTCCTCTCCTGACCTTGTGATCCACCCACCTCGGTCTCCCAGCTCCAATTTTCCACTTTCAAATCATCATCTTAACATTCCTTGCTAGTTCCCAAAATCAAGGCTTTTTACTTCATTTCTGAATTCTGCCCCATAAATTACTATTACAAATTTTAACTTCTTTTTAAATCTCTATGGAGTCAACAGGTATGAAGAGTCTATTATGTACCAGGCAGGAACCATGGTGAGGGTTTTCATATAAGCCAGCATGTCTCACAATTTTCCTCCAGTAATGAGGAAATTGGACACTTACAAATTGTGAACATTTTACTTTAAAATATTTTAAATTATTGATTATTGAGTAAAAGTGATGCTCCATAAGTTGGGCCAATGAACTCTGAGCAACCCCAGTAAACCTCTACATACTCCCAAAGCACAAATCTCAGTTTAAAAAAGAACAGGCAGCCAGGCGTGGTGACTCATGCCTGTAATCTCAGTACTTTGGGAAGCTGAGGCGGGAGGATCACCTGAAGTCAGGAGTTTGAGACCAGCCTGGCCAACATGGTGAAACCCCGTCTCTACTAAAAATACAAAAAAAAAAAAAAAAATTAGTTGGACGTGGTGGCACGCGCCTGCAGTCCCAGCTACTCGGCAGGCTGAGGCTGCAGAATCACTTGAATCTGGGAGGTGGAGGTTGCAGTGAGCCACGATTGCACCACTGCACTCCAGCCTGGGCGACAGAGTGAGATTCTGTCAAGAAAGAAAGAAAGAAAGAAAGAAGGAAAGAAGGAAGTAAGGAAGGAAAGAAAAGAAAAAGAAAAGAAAGAAAAGAAAGAAAGAACGAACAGGCAAGGGTTCTTGTGATAATATTTCTCCCAACAGTTAAGTGACTATTTTGAATAAGACAATGTACTAGGTACTTTGGGACAAAGATGATTAGGATGCTCACACTGTATCCTCAACTTTAAATATATCCCTCCACCTTCCAAAAGCTGGATGCATTTAGGACTCAGCTTAAATGCCACTGCCACCAGTAAGACCTTTCTAGTTACCCTAGCCTGAAGCATTCTTTCCTAGGGAATCCTATAGGATTTCATTTTAACTGTTCATGGTACACTTGTGTACACATCTTTTCTTGCTTTCTAGAGTAGATCCTCCTTAAAGCCAGGGTCATTGCTTATACATGTCTTTATCTCCAGATCACCTTATATATTTGAGTATGGGGGTTTAAGAACAGATACCATAACACAAGACTAGAAAGCCATGATGGATTTAAATTTCAGTTCCACCACTCATTTCAGATGTGCAATAGTGGGCAAATTTACTTAACCTCTTTCAAGTTTGACTTATGTAAAACAGGAATATTATTATTATCTACCTCTTAGTGCTGTAAGAATTAAATTCAGAGTTAGCCAGTTAGAGCAGTGCCTGACCTACAGTAACCACTTCACAAACATATAACTCTATCTCCCAGCTGCTGTGAGAATTAGGCAGCCATGTTTAGCAAAGTGCATGGCAGACACTAAATATTCTATGGTAAATGTACAAATGAATGAATTCACGTTTTGTATTTTCCACAAAGGATTTAAAATATATAAAGAATGAAGGCAATATTTCATTATAGAAATACACTGGTAAATGTAAAGACGGCAAAAGAAAATGAAATTAGGCAGATCCAAGAGCCTTTTCCAAAAACGTCCATTACTGCAACCACAGCAGACCCAAACTACATCAGGTAGTTAGTAATACGAAGTGCTCTAATTAAGAGGCTTGAGGTCTTGTTCAGGGACTGTAACCTGGGTGCCCAAGAAAGTCCACGGATAGTGCTAGCTTCGGCAGCACATAGAGAGGAGATTAGCGTGGCCCCTGCGCAAGTATGACACGCAAATCCGTGAAGCGTTCCATATTTTTTATAAAACAAATTAAAAAAAAAAAGAAGGTCCATGGATTGTGGGGGGGGGTGTCTGTGAATGAATGCACTGAATTTTATGCAAAAATGTTTGTTTCTCTGTGCATTTTCCCTGGGAGTATTCCTAACTTTTTCCTAGTTCCAACTTTGCCACAATTAACCTTGTAGAAACATAATTTAAAAAAATTTTTTAACTTAAGATGAGGGACTTAATCCCTAGCGTCTTCAAGCTCCAAAATGTTTGATTCTGTGCTTCATAACAAGTTTTTTTTTTTTTTTTTTTGAGACGGAGTCTTGCTCTGTCCCAGGCTGGAGTGCAGTGGTGCGACCTCGGCTCACTGCAGCCTCTGCCTCCCGGGTTCAAGCGATTCTCCTGCCTCAGCCTCCTGAGTAGCTGGGACTACAGGGGCCCGCCACCACGCCCGGCTAATTTCTTTTTTTTTTTTTTGCATTTTCAATAGAGACGGAAGATATTCTTATACTATCGTTTTCTTTCCTTATTATTATAACACTCTTGTGCAAACTAGTCTAGGGCGTTTTTTAGGGTTACGGTGATAATAACAAAGTGCTCTAACAATTACTATTCTTACCAGCCACTGGATTTGCAAATGCATAAAAGCACACCAGCCAGTGTTATAAACAGCACCCCCTTCCTCCCAACCCTTCTTCTCCCCTTAGAAACCTAACAGCTGAGATATCAAAGCATTTGAAATTCCATTTTTGACTCCATATACATTTGTTTTTGGCTTCTTTGCTTGTTTATAGTTTGTAGCCAGCACACACTATCCCCAGAATAAGCCCAACAGGAGTGTAGATTAACTACCACCGTTTTAAAGGCAAACTTTAGTTTTACCAAAGCCTCCTACGGAGTTCAACACATTCGGCTTCTGTGTTTCCCTACACCACCGATCCCGCTGCAGACTGCAGGAGCTCTGGCAAGCGCCACAAGCGCCAGGGGAGACAAAACCCCTCACTAGCAGGCTTTGCCTCCCCAAATCACCCCGGTCCCCTAGGCCCCACCGCCTTCTCCCTTCCTGGAATCAAACGACCAAGACCCCGCAAGGCCTGAGGCGGCGGCCGCAGCGGGAGCCCAGACCACTGCTTACCGCGGCCCTCAGTCCAGAAGCTCCAGGAATCGGCCGTAACCTATGGGACCCCGCTCCCTTCTACGGGATCTGGACCTACCATGGCTGCGTCGGTCCAATCCCGGGAACCCTCGTTTGTTACCGGCTACTCAGGCCTTGAGATAAACCCACCGATCCACTGACCGTCAGACTGACTGACGTGGAACTTCCGGGAGCCGATTCTCGCGATAGTCAGAGGCCAGGGCCGGAGCGCCTGCGCAAACTGCGCGCAGGGCCGTCGTTTCCCAAGCCCCGCCCCAGTTTCCTAGGCAACGTGGCCTTCCAGACCGCTGGTAGTGGACTTGAGGCTGTCGGGAAGGAGGGGTGTGGCCTAGACCACTAAGGGCCGTGACGTGGTGCCGCTGAGCTTGGACCCCGACCAGAAGATAGAGATTGAAACGATGAGGAAAACGAAGTGCCTAATCCCCGCTGGACGCTAACTGCAGGGCAAGCTCCCCAGTGTTGTAGTTGTGTTTCGGAGGCCGAGAACCGCTATCGGGCTTCCTCGGACTCTGGCCCTGGAGGGGGGAAACGGCGAGGGAGAAGGCGAAACGAGTCTCCAGTGTGTTCTTGGGGCCTGGTGCGAGGCCCAGAGAATTCTCTGCAGGCCTTTGCCCGGGCACTGATTAAGGCTGCGAAGAGACGCACCGGGCTGCGGGCTTAGTAGCTTCAGGCTTCTGAAGTCAGAGGGAGGGCTGAGAGCTTACACTTCTGGAGCTCCCCGGGAGACGGCAACTACCCAACCGTGTGGGTGTGTTTGTGTATGTGTCTTTTGTTGAGCTTCGGCTGGCTGTGTTATTCATTCAACAAATATTTATCGATCTTCGGCAGTGTGTCAGACATACCTTCTTCTCAAATCTTCACATCAAACCTGAATTATCTCCATTTAATGATGAGGAAACTCGGGCTCAAAGAAGTTAAGTGTTCTAGCCAAGACTGCATAGTAAGTGGCAGATAAAACCTCAAAGTTGGGCCGGGCGCGGTGGCTCACGCCTGTAATCCCAGCACTTTGGGAGGCCGAAACGGGTGGATCACCTGAGGTCAGGAGTTCGAGACCAGCCTGGCCAACATGGTGAAACCCCGTCTCTATTAAAAATACAAAATTAGCCTGGCGTGGTGGCGGGCGCCTGTAATCCAAGCTGTTCCAGAGGCTGACAGGAGAATCGCTTAGAACCCAGGAGGTGGAGGTTGCAGTGAGCTGAGATCGCGCCACTGCACTCCAGCCTGGGCAACAGAGCAAGACTCTGTCTCAAAACAAAACACCTCAAAGTTTGTGCTCTTTCTACTACATAAAAATATCTCTTCATTAATGTGGCTGAATTCTAAGGGCCTGTGCCATAGGGGTTACACTACACAATAAAGTTCGAGAACATTTGCCTGTCACACGCACTGCACATCTCCTGTATTTCCTTTTTTTTTTTTTTTTTAAGAAAACATGTGGACCATAGAAAACTTGCCCTCTGGTTACACGTACAAACGTGTATTTTTAACTTGAGAGAAATCTTAAAGTCTTTTCAGACCTCCAGATTTTCAGAAAGGCAAAAAGAAAAATTATGTATTTGTGTGTGTAGATAATGATAATCAGAGGGAGATGATTTTGCACGAAATTATTTGGCTTTAGTAGGAGCCTTGAGCTAATGTGACTCTCTTCATGGGCCTCAGTTTTCATCATCTTAAAAAAAATCCAGCTACATGGTTTCTAAAGATCCTTCCATTTTTTTTTTTTTTATGTTTCTGTGGCATTCAATAGTGGAAAAAAGAGTCTGGAACTGGAGTTTAGTGCCAGCAGTGTGATCTTATGTAAATTGAGACTAATAATTCTAGTAATTGCATACTTTGCTTACTCTATGGAGTGACTGAGGATCCTGAGTTGAAAAAATTATATGAACTATACCTAATTTGCTTGAATAGTGGAACTTTCAATATTTCTAACTCCTGAATACTCTTGCACTTGAGAGAGTATTTTTGGATTTGGCACAGTACTAAGTGATACAAAATAAAATGATGTATCTCTATTGTCAAGGGGCTCAGCTGGGAATGCTTAAATCTTTGTATACCACTGGGCCACCTAAGGGTCTACCTAGCTGGTGTTGCGGGCCTGAACCCTCAAGTGTCATTCTTACTTGGACTATATCTTTTCTCATGTTTTCCACTGCAATTAGCCAAAATTAAGTCCTGCAATTGTAGACTGTAAATTCACTCTTTTAACCATTACATACTGAATGTGTACTATATACAAAGCACTATACTAGGTGCTGCCTTAAGATATTACCCATAGAATTTGGTGTTGGATTTTGGTTGAAATAAATTTTAAAGAAATAAAATTCTTAAATAGGAACTAATACATAACATTAAATATACACGTGTATTTCACTAGGCGTTCGACTGTGGGTTTAAATTAAAATCTTTTGTTTACTTGGTTTAGAGGAGACTGGAAGGTTAGGAAAAATAACCGTTGGGAAGAAAAGAAATATAGACAAGCTTAGCAGATTGGTAAAGGGTTTCCCAAGAGGTTGACTGCAATCGATTAACAGATCTTAAAGTCTTACCTAGTCAATTTCTATAATAGCTATTTCAGCCCTGCCTTTTTGCAGCAGCTGGGAGAATTCCAAGTGGGAATTCAGGTTGCAGTGCCTCTGTAAGTACCCTATATACACTGTTCCCTTCCCACCCTATTCCTACCTCTTCATAAGAAGTTGAGGAAAATAATTCGTTGAGAAAGAGTCAGGGTTTTTTGTTTATTATTTTATTTTATTTGTATTTATTTATTTATCTTGAGATGGTGTCTCACATTGTCACCCAGGCTGGAGTGCAGTGGCGCCATCTCAGCTCACTGCAACCTCCACCTCCCGGGTTCAAGCGATTCCCCTGCCTCAGTCTCCCCAGTAGCTGGGACTACGGGTGCACGCCACCACGCCTGGCTGATTTTTGTAGTTTTAGAAGAGATGGGATTTCACCATGTTGGCCAGGCTGATCTTGAACTCCTGACCCCAGGTGATCTGCCTGCGTTGCCTCCCAAAGTGCTGGGATTACAGGCTTGAGCCACCACACCCAGCCTTGTTTATTATTTTTAAATATACATGTGTTATCACTTAGCTAAGTGGTAAGTACTAGCACGAATAGGAACCTAGTTTCTCCCTTCAAAGGGGTTACAATTTATAAGCAGGAAAGGTTATTTATGCACAAATAATTGAATACCAGGCAGAATATGAGTACCTTCTGAGAGAAGTACCAGTAAAATACTCTGAAGATAAAATATCCAGCTAGGGAGATAAGTTTCATAAAGGAGGTAGAATCTGAGGTGGACTTTGAGGTGAAGAGTATACGGCATGTTTGAGAACCAAAAAAGGTCCAATTTGTTTGGAGAATGGTATTCATTTAGAAGAGCAGTGAGGGAGAAGGTTGAAGAGGAAGCTTGGGGCTAGAACCTGAAGATTTTTAAATCGGGAGAAATTGAGCTTTGAGTCAAGCAGTTGGGACTTACTGGGCCAGATAGGAAACCTGTTTATATCTGTACTCTAGATGATTTGTCTTTTGTTGATGTGTATGACACACTAAAAGAAGTTGAAACAGACTATATAAGTTTGGTGGAAGTGAGTGTGGAAATAACAGTAATAAGGAAAAATTTTTATTAAATGCCCACTATGTACCTACCTGCCATTGGAATATGTACTTTGCATACTGCAATTCATAAAGTAATACTAAAAGATAGGCATTATTTTCTCCAATTTATAGATGAAAAACAGAGGCTTAAATTGATTAAGTAGTATACCTCATGCCACATTGCTCATGACTGACAGACCTGAGATATGAACCTAAGTTATATTTAATGATACTAACATCTTTTTTTACTGGATTGTAATTTCTCCTTTTTTCCCTGAGAAGCTAGAATCAACTGGATACACAAATGCGTTTGTTGAATTGAGGGAGTGGGAGGCATCCTATTGCTGATGTTTTTAATCTAATGAACCCAGAAGAATATCTTTAATCAGAGGAAGATGTGGAGCCAGTGAATGATAGTGGAGCCAATGAAGGAACAATCAGAGAAAGAGAATCAGGAAAGAAGAAAAAGTGAAAGAAAAAGAAGTGGAGTCAGTGTAGGAACAATCAGAATAAGAGACCCAGAATAACTTTATGTCACAGAAGGAAAAGAAAGGGAAAATGTGACTGGGTGACTAGCATCTTGATAGCTTTAGAGAATTTAAGGAGGCTTAGTATTTGCCAAAACTATTGCCAATGAAATAAATGATTATGAGGACACTATCAGCCTTCAAAAAAGTTGAGTAATGGTAGGGAAGGCAAGTTTACAAAGGGTTTAGAAATTATTGGATGATAAAAAAAGTAGAGGTCATCAGTATAAACTATTTTACCAAGCGATTAGTGAAGAAAGGCAAATGTTGATGTGAGAGGTGTCTCACTGTAAGTGGGTTGACTGTTCCTGCATTTAGGGCATGCTTGATTTAATTATGATAGGCTCCAAATGGATGCAGGCCACTAAATGGACCTTTGTAGTGTGAGTAGGAACTAGCCAGGTAAATGTCAAGAGAGTATATCTAGAGCATTTGACTTTTCCAGAGAGCTAAGAATAGTTCAGCATGCCTGGGCCAGAGAGTAAGAAGGGGGAGGATTGAGAAATGGTATTAGAAAGATAAATGAGATTCAGATTCTGAAGATCCATGATAGCCAGTTAAAGGAGTCTGGACTTTATCCTGTAGGCTCTGGGGAACCATTTAAGAATGTTAAGTAGGGTAATCTTCATGCTCCATTACTGATACATCATCACATGTCAGTTACTTTTCCTGTTAGAGGAAATGTTAAGATTATCAGCCTGATTTCTGTATGAGGTGAATGAAAGCAAAAGTTTTGACCACATAGTCAAGTAGCAGCCAGCAGCAGACTAAATTGAGTTGGAGATCCACTGAACTGTCTTCCAAGAAAAATGGAGTTTGTGGTTGCCCAACACTTAGAGGCAAATGTTGGACTGATTGCAAAAGCATTGACCAACCACAATGTGCTGTACACTTCATGTGACTACCTTCTAAACATTTTAAATTTGTTAAATTTACTCCATGGGAGTTTGATGTAGAATTCCAGATGCAGAGGATGCTAACTTTTGTTTACCTGAAAGTGTAAAAATCCAGATTATTAGTAATGTGTTTGACTTGTGTTAATTTTACCTTAAAAATTACATTAACCTTATGTTTTTCTAATGAGTATTTTTAGAGGAGTCAAAGTTTAAAGTGAGCTTTGAATGAAACAAAGGAGGTGATTTCATAGATGGGAATTGCTAGACATTGTAAATATGGCAGTAGACTGGGGAGTTTGTTAGTGATCTCCACAGTTCTCCATCTGCGGATTCGTTCTCTACCCCACTCTTCACTCATGGGGTACAGACCCCATGGTAAGTCATGACCAGTGGGCTCTGGGTACTTCTTTGCCCCAGGGTTGTCAAGTGAAGTGAATCTCTGGGTCTTAGTTTTATTACCTACAAAATAATAATGGACAGCATTAGCTCCAAAGTCTCTTCCTGTTGTAAGCTTTTTTATACTTTTGAGTCTGTGATTCTATGTTCTTGTCAAACGAAGTGGATGAGGGGAGTGCCTGCAGGGTGTTTTAATGGGCATTTGTCTTTACTTAATTCAAGTGCCAGTGTAGTAGCGTTTCCCACATCTTTCATAGCATGCATTGTTCTTTTTCTCTGGAAGCCACCTTCCATCAGCAAATTTTTGTTGAGATTTTGTTGTGCTTGGAACAATGCTCTACAAACCTGAGGCTCCTGGGGCTCAGGACAAGGAGGCTGGTAGGCATGAGGGGACAAGGAATACAGGCCAAGTGTGCCTGGTATGTAGAGGTCCCAGGTGAACATTCTCTCAACCAATGTTTAACTTTCTTTCTAGGAAAAAGATTTCACAAAGTTTTATATAAGCAAGTAGATAGGTTTAGAGTAATTATGTTTCATTAAGAATTATGTCCTTGGAAATGACAGTGCTGCATATAAATAAATGAATAATAATGATGAATAGCCTGAATATCTGGCATATAGCAGTTACCTTTAAATTAATTGAAAAAAAATTTAATGTAAAAGTGAAATATCTGGAGTGACAAGGCACTGCACAGTGTGATTTTCATCAAATTGCTTTATTCCTCTTTCTTCTGAAGCATTTGTCAGTTCAAGTTGATCTAAGGGCATTACTGAATTTGAATTCAAATGTACTCCAAGTCCCAAGGTTTAAAAATGAATTCCTGGGGTTCTGAACTCATGATATGCTTTTGTATCTGAAGATGATCATCCAAAACATATTGAGTAGCACTACGACAGGATTTTTCATTTGATGTCAAAGCAACTTCACATTGATAGTGTTTGATATAGTCACTAAAATCCAAATAAAGCTATTGTCTCTAGGAAGAAGAAATTGTTTCTTTAGCTAAATATGGCCATACTTTGGTGCATCTGACACTGACAATGAATATAGATATAACTTTATCCTAAAAGGGTTTATATATAAAGTGTAACATTCACTTTATATACATACATATAGATAGACGAATAGACATAAATAAAGTCAATATCTGAAAGAAGTAGAAGATTATAAGTGATTTTATTTGTATTTTCTATTTTTCTATTATATAGTGTGTAATAAAAAAACAAAGTTATTTATTTTTTGAGATGAAGTCTCGCTCTATCACTCAGGCTGGAGTGCAGTGGCGCGATCTTGGCTCACTACAACCTCTGCCTCCCAGGTTCAAGCAATTCTCCTCCCTCAGCCTCCCGAGTAGCTGGTTCTGCAGGCGTGTGCCTCCATGCCTGGCTTGTTTTTTTTTTTTTTTTTTGTATTTTTAGTAGAGACGGGGATTCACCATATTGGCCAGGCTGCTCTCGAACTCCTGACCTTGTGATCCGCCCACCTCAGCCTCCCAAAGTGCTGAGATTAAAGGCGTGAGCCACCATGTCCAGCCAGAAACAAAGTTATTTTAAGCAAACAAAATGTACCAAAGGAGCTTGCCATTTTGAAGAAAGCTTATTTTAAATCTGCCCACAGCAAAGAAATACCTCTTATTTTCTGCGTAAATCTAGATTCTCATTTTATAAAGCCCACTAGGGTGAAACGAAATGATACAGGCATATTCAGGAATGAACAGTCCACCAAAAGAGAATATGCAATTTCTGTCTCAGTGTTTCAAGGGAACTCAGAACTAGGTTCTGAGAAAAAAATGGATTTTATGGTAAGGGGTATTCCTGGTAGAACTAGACAAGAAAGCAGCATTATTGAAAGGTTTAAAGTTGAAAGGGGAATCATAAGGCAAATGATCCGGGAGCAGAAGGTTGAGAGCTGTTAAGGTTCCTGGTGGAAGGGCTGTAAGCAGGGCTCTTATTCAGTTAGTATGTACTAGTGTTGCCAATGCATGTATTAAAATATGGAAATACTTGTTGCTAAATAGCCTCTGCCTTGAATATCTGCATTATCCTAGCGGATCAGGTTCCTCCTCTGGGGCTTTTCCACAATCCAGCTACTAAAGTGTTTAACAATTTATACCACAGGGGGCCCCCAGGATCTTGATCCTATGCAGCAGCCAGGATCTGGACTTACATTAGGTGTCTTTTCTGATTGATACGTACTGGTACTTAGCATTATTAAATATTTTGAATGTCAACCCTGCCGGTAAGGGATAAGGAACTGGTCCTTGATGTACCAAGTGATGAGGAGTCAAGGAAAGGAGAAAGCAGGTATTTTCCACCAACAAGCTATATTCGCAGCAGGGAAGATTTTAAGGTAGGGCTGGATGGTCTCTGTCAGCCACCTCCCACCTCTCAGGTACCCTCTCATCCCTTTTCACCAACTCTGTGTGCCATAGCAGGGCCTTGTTCTACAACTTTCTCAAACATGGGTCTGATTAACTTATGACCTTATCCATTACTCTTAAAATGCAAGCAACGTGGATTTTTCAAGCCTCTCCCAGAGTGTCCAGAACTTTATAGGGGATCACAGACTAAGAACAGGGACCAAATTTGTTCTTGAGTGGCACTCTTTGTTGTTATTGTAAATTCTAGGTTAGCACTAATTTTCTTTGACCATATTAAACCTGTATCGGTCTACCCTTTACTGACACGCTGTTAAGCAGCCTATTGTTAGTTGCTCCTTTGAAGAGAATTTTCTCTGACTGTTTTAAGATTTTCTCTTTATCTTAGGTTTCTGCACTTTCATAACCAGTTGTCTAAGCATGAGTTTCATTCTTTTCTGCATGGAATTGACCGAGTCTTAAATCTGTGAATTGGTGTCTTATCAGTTACAAAAAATTCTCAAGCTCTACCCTACGCTCTTATCCACTGCTTCCTGGCATGCCAATGTTAGAACTTTGTACTATATTCTCCTATGTTCTCCACATCTTGTATATGTGGTTATTTTTTTCCTCTCAGTACTGCATTCTATGCATGGTCTTCTGACCCCACCTCCTCAATCGGCCCTCCAGTTCATTATTTCTCTCTTATACAGGTATTGGCAATATGTTGCAAATATAATTGTTGAGTTTTTATTTCAGTTACTATGTTTTTGTTTTTAGTTTCATTTCTTTTCAGACATGATATGTGACTTTTTATAGTCTACTATAGTTAATTTCAAGGTTGCCATTCATTTCTATAAACATCGTAACCATAATTGTTTTTTAATCTAGGTCTAATAGCTGAAGCCTGTGTGGGTCTATTCCTTCTCTCTGTTGTTTTGCTCGTTCTTATTCCCTTGGTTATTTGTTATCTTTGACTAGATAACTGGCAATTGTCCTCAAATTATTTAGGAGGATACTCTGAAACCTAGTCTGGGTGTGTCCTCCTCTAGAGAGGCTTTATTTTGTTTTTGTCAGGCACCTGGGGACAACAGTTGAGATCTCCTCACAGCACATGCTTGGCTTAAAGTCTGGCTCATGCAGGCTAAGTGTACCCATGGTACAAAGCCATAAGAATTTGGTCTATGGCCACAGCTTCTCAAGGACATTTTGTTCCTTTTTTTTCTTCTTCTTTGCTTAGTACCAAGGCAGTTTTCCTGCAGTCCTTTCAGGTTGAGGGGTAAGAGAGGCAAATTTAGGTCTGGTTTATCCTTAATTTGCATGTGTATTAATTTGGGAAGAATACCCAGTAAGACTCTCCAGTTTCTGTGGGCCGCACTTGACTAGTATCCATTTGGCCCATAGTGACTACAGCAGTATTGACAGATACTTCTAAGGATTTTGATCATTCAGTAGTCTTCTTACTATTTTGGTAGCAGGATTTTATCCAAATGTTGACCTGGAAGTTCTTAATTGTGTTTTCAAATATTTGATTATTTTAAGGTAGTGGTGTTTGTTTAAATATATGTTATCAGTATTTTTGTTGTTGTTTTCAGCAAGAGTGTTGACCTGAATAACCTAGCCTGCTATTGCCAGAAACCAGAAGCCTCTGAGGGAGTTTATAATTGAGTCTTAATAAAAGCATTTTAAAGATGAAAGACAATAATAGCGGTAAGTTATTCTGATTTAGAGTAGATGAAAGAGGTCAAGGCTTAATTGGCAAGGAACTGCATAATGGAATAGTAGCTACATTTTAAAAGGAAGTGAGACAGAGGCCTTCCCAGTGCCCTGAAAATGGAACTCATCTTTGGGTGATGTGGCTGTATAAAATTCTGACATATTTGGCAAGAACTTTTCTCATGTTTCTTCATATTCTTATTTTCTTGCAGCATCTCGTGGCCTTGGCTCTCTAACAGCTTCTGTTCAATCACCTGTCTCAAGTTCTGCCTCCATTCTCTCTGTCACTGCTCCTTCTCTCACCTGGATAAGAATATGAGTGAATGGTTCATAGCAGTCACTGGTATTCCCTGGTTACAGCAGAATCTTCTCCCAAGGGGAGAAGTGTACATATGCACATTTTTTTTCATACAATTTCTGGGGATACTTGCTGCCTTAGGAGATTGAGGAAAATTTCATGGAGAAGGAGACACTTAAGAATAGGCCAGAATCAAATGAGATACCTCATTTGAGAGAAATTAGACATCCCTTGAGAGAAGACATATACATGGCTAACAGGTATATGAAAAAATGCAAAGATACAGAGAATATTTGAAAATGCAAAAAAAAAAAAAAAAAAGACAACAAATGCAAAAATACAGAGAACGAGAAACTCTTATATATTGTTGGTGGGAATGTACATTATGAAAAACAGTATGGAGGTTGCCAAAAAAAAAAAAAACCTAAAAATAGAGCTACCACATGATCCAGCAATCCCACTACTGGGTATATATTCAAAGGAAAGGAGATCAGTGTGTTAAGGAGACATCTGCACTCCATGTTTATTGCAGCATTATTTATAATGGCCAAGATGTGGAATCAACCAAACTGTCCATCAACAGATGAATAGATGAAGAAAAAGTGGTATATATACACAATGAAATACTAATCAGCCATAAAAAAGAAGAAAATTCTATAATTCGTGGCAACATGGGTGAATTTGGAGGACATTATGTAAAGTGAAATAAGCCAGGCAGAGAAAGACAAATAATACATGTTCTCACCCGTATGTAGAAGCTAAAAATGTTTATCTTAAAAATGTAGAGAGGAGAATGGTAGTTACTAGAGACGAGGAAAGATGAGGTAGTGGGAGATAGCCAGAGGTTGGTTAATGGATACAAAATTACAGCTAGATCAGAGGAATAAATTATAGTGTTCCATAGCACTGTAAAGTGATCATAATTAACAACATTTACTGTATATTTTCAAATAGCTAGAAGAGCAGATTTTGAATGCTCCCAACACAAAGAAATGATAAATGTTTGAGATGATGGATATGCTAATTACTGTGATTTGATAATTACACATTGTATACATGTATTGAAATATCACACTGTACCTCATAAATATGTACACTTATTAAATATTAATTAAAAAAATAAAAGTAGAAAAATGGGCCAGATTTCAGAAGGCAGAGATAATAATAGCAGTTGGCCATATTTCACAGAGTTTGATGCTTTTCATTCAGCAACCCTGAAAATATTCCCACTTTATTACTTTTTCTTTTTAATTTTTGTGGGTACATTGTAGGTGTATATATTTATGAGATACATGAGATGTTTTGATATAGGCATACAATATATAATAATCACATCATGGGCCAGGCGTGGTGGTTCAAGCCTGTAATCCCAGCACTTTGGGAGGCTGACGTGGGCGGATCACCAGGTCAGGAGATTGAGACCAGTCTGGCCAATAGGGTGAAACCCTGTATCTACTAAAAATACAAAACAAAAACAAACAAACAAAAAAAGACAGCCAGGCATAGTGGCACACGCCTGTAGTCCCAGCTACTTGGGAGGCTGAGGCAGGAGAATCGCTTGAACCTGGGAGGCAGAGGTTGCAGTGAGCCGAGATCACGCTACTGCACTCCAGCCTGGGTGACAGAGCAAGGCTCCATCTCAAAAAAAAAAAAAAATCACATAATGAAGAATGGAGTGTTCATCCCCTCAAGCATTTATCCTTGTGTTACAAACAGTCCGATTATACTCTTTAGTTATTTTCAAATGTACAATTAAAATTTTTAAACTTTTAGGTTCAGAGGCATATGTGAAGGGTTGTTATATAGGTAAACTTATGTCATGGGGGTTTGTTGTATAGATTATTTCATCATGCAGATATTAATCTTAGTTCCCAGGGGTTATCTTTTCTGCTCCTCTCCCTCCTCCCACCCTCCATCCTCACGTAGACCTCAGTGTCTTTTGTTCCCTTTTTTGCATTCATGGGTTCTCATCATTTAGCTCTCACTTATAAGTGAGAACATGTGGCATTTGGTTTTCTGTTCCTACATGAGTTTGCTAAGGATAATAGCCTCCAGCTACATCCATGTTCCCACAAAAGACACAATTTCATTCTTTTTTATGGCTGCATAGTATTCCATGGTGTATATATACCACATTTTCTTTATCCAATCTGTCATTGATGGGCATTTAGGTTGTTTCCATGTCTTTGCTATTGTTAATAGTGCTGCAATAAACATTCACGTGCATGTGTCTTTATGGTAGAATGATTTATATTCCTCTGGGTATATACCCAGTAATGGGATTGCTGGGTTGAATGGTTGTTCTGTTTTTAGCTCTTTGAGGAACCACCATATGGCTTTCCACAATGATTGAACTAACTTACACTCCCACAAACAGTTTATGAGTATTCCCTTTATTCCACAACTTCTCCATCATCTGTTATTTTTTGACTTTTTAATAATGGCCATTCTGACTGGTGTGAGATGGTACCTCACTGTGGTTTTGATTTGCATTTCTCTAATGATCAGTGATGTTGAGCTTTTATTCATATGATTTTTGGCCGCATGAATGTGTTCTTTTGAGAAGTGTCTGTTTGTGTCCTTTGCCCACTTTTTCATGGTTTTTTTTCTTGTAAATTTGTTTAAGTTCCTTGTAGATTCTGGATATTTGACCTTTGTCAGATGGATAGATAGCAAAAATTTTCTCCCACTCTGTAGGTTGCCTGTTTGCTCTGTAGCAGTACCATGCTGTTTTGGTTACTGTAGCCCTGTAGTGTACTTTGAAGTCAAGTAATGTGATGCCTCCAGGTTTGTTCTTTTTGCTTAGGATTGCCTTGGCTATTGGGCTCTTATTTTGTTCCATATAAATTTTAAAATAGTTTTTTCTAGTCCTGTGAGGAATGTTGTTGGTAGTTTGATAGGATTAACATTGAATCTCTAAATAGCTTTGGGTACTATGGCCGTTTTAATGATATTCATTCTTTCTATCCATGAGCATGGGATGATTTTCCCCATTTGTTTGTGTCTTCTCTGATTTCTTTGAGCAGTGTTTTGTAATTTTTATTGTAGAGATCTTTTACCTCCCTGGTTAGCTATATTCCTAGGTATTTTTTCTTTTTGTAGCAATTGTGAATGGGATTGCCTTCCTGATTTGGCTCTTGGCTTGGCTGTTGTTGGTGTATAGGCATACTAGTTATTTTTGTTTTTTTTATTTTTAATTTTTTTCTATTTCAAAAGTTTTTGGGGAACAGGTGGTTTTTTATTACATGGATAAGTTCTTTAATGGTAATTTCTGAGATTTTTGGTGCACCTGTCACATGAACAGTGTACACTGTACCCAATGTGTAGTCTTTTATCCCGTACTCCCCTCCCCACCTTCCCCCCAAGTCCCCAAAGTCCATCATATTATTATTATTATTTTGCATCCTCATAGCTTAGCTCCCACTTATAAGTGAGAACATGTGATGTTTGGTTTTCCATTCCTGAGTTACTTCACTTAGAATAATGGTATCCAGCTGCATCCAGGTTGCTGCAAATGCCATTATTTTATTCCTTTTATGGCTGAGTAGTATTCCATTGTGCATATACACCACATTTTCTTTATCTACTTGTTGGTCGACGGACATTAAGACTGGTTCCATATTTTTGCCATTGTGAATTGTGCTACTATAAACACATGTGTGCAAGTGTCTTTTTCATATAATGACTTCTTTTCCTCTGAGTAGATACCCAGGAGTAGTGGGATTGCTGGATCAAATGGTAGTTCTACTATTAATTCTTTAAGGAATCTACATACTGATTTTCATAGTGGTTGTACTAGTCTACATTCCCACCAGCAATGTAAAAGTGTTCCCTTTTCAACACATCCACAGCAACATCTATTATTTTTTGATTTTTAATTATGACCATTCTTGCAGCAGTAACGTGGTATCTCATTGTGGTTTTAATTTGCATTTCTGTGATAATTAGTGATATTGAGCATTTTTTCATATGTTTGTTGGCCATTTGTATATCTTCTTTTGAGAATTGTCTATTCATGTCCTTTGCCACTTTTTGATGGAATTATTTGCTTTTTGTCTTGCTGATTTATTTGCATTCCTTGTAGATTCTGGATATTACTTCTTTGTCGGATACATATTTTGCAAATATTTTCTCCCATCTGTTGGTTGTCTGTTTACTCTGATGATTATTATTTTGCTGCACAGAAGCTTTTTAGTTTAATTATGTCCCATCTATTTATTTTTGTTTTTGTTGCACTTGCTTTTGGATTCTGGGTCATGAGCTCTTTGCCTAAGCCAACATCTATAAGAATTTTACCAATGTTATCTTCTGGAATTTTTATGGTTTCTGGTCTTAGATTTAAGTCTTTGATCCATCTTGAGTTGATTTTAATATAAGGTGAGAGATGCAGATCCCATTTCATTCTTCTACATGTGGCTTGCCAATTATCCCAGCACCACTTGTTGAATAGGGTGTCCTTTTCTCACTTTATGTTTTTGTTTGCTTTGTCAAAGATCAGTTGGCTGTAAGTATTTGGCTTTATTTCTGGGTTCTCTTTTCTCTTTCATTAGTCTACATGCCTATTTTTATAGCAGTTCCGTGCTGTTTTGGTAATGATAGCCTAGTAGTATAGTTTGAAGTTGGGTAATGTGATGCCTTCAGATTTGTTCCTTTTGCTTATTCTTGCTTTGGCTATGTGGGCTCTTTTTTTGGTTCCATATGAATTTTAGGATATGCTTCACACAACTAATATTGCTTTTATTAATTGTGTGAAGAATGATGTTGGTACTTTGATGGGAATTGCATTGAACCTGTAGATTGCTTTTGGCAGCATGGTCATTTTCACAATATTGATTCTACCCATCCATGAGCATGGGATGTGTTTACATTTGTTTGTGTCATTGATAATTTATTTCAGCAGTGTTTTGGAATCTTCCTTGTAGAGATATTTTACCTCCTTGGTTAGATATATTCATAAGTATTTTATTTTATTTTTTGCAGCTTTTGCAAAAAGTGTAGAGATCCTGATTTGTTTCTCAGCTTGGTCATTGTTGGTGTATAGCAGTGCTACTGATTTGTGTACATTGATTTTGTATCCTGAAACTACTGAATTCATTTATCAGACCTAGGAGCTTTTTGGATGAGTCTTTAGGGTTTTCCAGCTATACAATCATATCATCAGCAAAAAGCGACAGTTTGACTTCGTCTTTACCAATTTGGATGCCCTGTATTTCTTCCTCTTGTCTGATTGCTCTAGCTAGGACTTCCAGTACTATATTGAATAGAAGTGGTGAAAGTCGGGGGTGTTCCAAGATGGCCGAATAGGAACAGCTCTGATCATGCAGCTCCCAGCATGATCAACACAGAAGATGGGTGATTTCTGCATTTCCAACTGAGGTACCTCGTTCATCTCACTGGGACTGGTTGGACAGTGGGTGTAGCCCATGGAGGGTGAGCTGAAGCAGGGCAGGGTATCACCTCACCTGGGAAGTGCAAGGGGTCGGGGGATTCCCCTTTCCTAGCCAAAGGAAGGGTGACAGACTACCTGGAAAAACGGGACACTCCCGCCCAAATACTGTGCTTTTCCCAAGGTCTTAGCAACCAGCAGACAAGGTGATTCTCTTCCATGCCTGGCTCAGTGGCTCCCACGCCCACGGAGCCTTGCTCACTGCTAGCATAGCAGTCTGAAATTGATCTGCAAGATGGCAGCCTGGCTGGGGGAGGGGCATCTGCTATTGCTGAGGCTTGAGCAGGTAAACAAAGCAGCCAGGGAGCTCAAACTGGTTGGAGCCCACCACAGCTCAACAAAGCCTACTGCCTCTAGACTCCTCCTCTGTGGGCAGGGCATAGCTGAACAAAAGGCAGCAGACAACTTCTGCAGACTTAAACGTCCCAGTCTGACAGCTCTGAAGAGAGCAGTTGTTCTCCCAGCACGGCGTTTGAGCTCTGAGAACAGACAGACTGTCTCCTCAAGTGGGTCCCTGACCCCCGTGCAGCCTAACTGGGAGAGATCTCCCAGTACGGGCCGACAGACACCTCATATAGGTGGCTACCCCTCTGGGACGAAGCTTCCAGAGGAAGGATCAGGCAGCAATATTTTCCATTCTGCAGTATTTGCTGTTCTGCAGCCTCTGCTGGTGATACTCAGGCAAACACAGTCTGGAGTGGAACTTCAGCAAACTGCAACAGACCTGCAGCTGAGGGACCTGACTGTTAGAAGGAAAACTAACAAACAGAAAGGAATAGCATCAACATCAACAAAAAGGTCATCTACACCAAAACCCCATTTGTAGGTCACCAACATCAAAGACCAAAGGTAGGTAAAACCACAAAGATGGGGAGAAACCAAAGCAGAAAAGCTGAAAATTCTAAAAAATCGAGAACCTCTTCTCCTCCAAAGGATCGCAGCTCCTTGCCAGCAATGGAACAAAGCTGGACGGAGAATGACTTTGACGAGTTGACAGAAGTAGGCTTCAGAAGGTCGGTAATAACAAACTTCTCCGAGCTAAAGAAGGATGTTTGAACCCATCGCAAGGAAGCTAAAAACCTTGAAAAAAGATTAGATGAATGGCTAACTAGAATAAACAGTATAGAGAAGATCTTAAATGACCTGATGGAGCTGAAAACCATGGCACGAGAACTTTGTGACCCATGCACAAGCTTCAATAGCCAATTTGATCAAGTGGAAGAAAGACTGTCAGTGATTGAAGATCAAATTAATGAAATAAAGCAAGAAGAGAAGTTTAGAGAAAAAAGAGTAAAAAGAAATGAACAAAACCTCCAAGAAATATGGAACTATGTGGAAAGACCAAATCTACATTTGATTGGTGCACCGGAAAGTGATGGGGAGAATGGAACCAAGTTGGAAAACACTCTTCAGGATATTATCCAGGAGAACTTCCCCAACAGAGCAAGGTAGGCCAACATAGCAAGGTAGGCCAACATTCCAATTCAGGAAATACAGAGAACACCACAAAGATACTCCTTGAGAAGAGCAACCCCAAGACACATAATTGTCAGATTCACCAAGGTTGAAATGAAGGAAAAAGTGTTTAGGACAGCCAGAGACAAAGGTTGGGTTATCCACAAAGGGGAGCCCATCAGACTAACAGCGGATCGCTCAGCAGAAACCTTACAAGCCAGAAGAGAGTGGGGGTCAATATTCAACATTCTTAAAGAAAAGAATTTTCAACCCAGAATTTCATATCCAGCCAAACTAAGCTTCATAAGTGAAGGAGAAATAAAATACTTTACAGACAAGCAAATGCTGAGAGATTTTGTCACCACCAGGCCTGCCTTACAAGAGCTCCTGAAGGAAGCACTAAACATGGAAAGAAACAATTGGTACCAGCCACTGCAAAAACAGGCCGAATTGTAAAGACCATCGACGCTATGAAGAAACTCCATCAATTAATGGGCAAAATAACCAGTGAACATCATAATGACAGGATCAAATTCACACATAACAATATTAACTTTAAATGTAAATGGGCTAAATGCACCAATTAAAAGACACAGACTGTCAAATTGGATAAAGAGTCAAGACCCATCGGTGTGCTGTATTCAGGAGACCCATCTCATGTGCAAAGACGCACATAGGCTCAAAATAAAGGGATGGAGGAAGATCTACCAAGCAAATGGAAAGCAAAAAAAAGCAGGGTTGCAATCCTAGTCTCCAGTAAAACAGACTTTAAACCAACAAAGATGAAAAGAGACAAAGAAGGCCATTACATAATGGTAAAGGGATCAATTCAACAAGAAGAGCTAACTATCCTAAATATATATGCACCCAATACAGGAGCACCCATATTCATAAAGCAAGTCCTAGAGACCTACAAAGAGACTTCGACTCCCACACAATAATAATAATGGGAGACTTTAACACCCCACTGTCAATATTAGACAGATCAACGAGACAGAAGGTTAACAAGGATATCCAGGACCTGAACTCAGCTCTGCAACAAGCAGACCTAATAGACATCTACAGAATTCTCCACCCCAAGTCAATAGAATATACATTCTTCTCAGTACCACATCGCACTTATTCTAAAATTGACCACATAATTGGAAGTAAAGCACTCCTCAGCAAATGTAAAAGAACAGAAATCACAACAAACTATCTCTCAGATCACAGTGCAATTAAATTAGAACTCAGGACTAAGAAACTCACTCAAAACTGCACAACTGCATGGAAACTGAACAACTTGCTCCTGAATGACTACTGGGTAAATAACAAAATGAAGGCAGAAATAAAGATGTTCTTTGAAACCAATGAGAACAAAGACACAACATACCAGAATCTCTGGGACACATTTAAAGCAGTGTATAGAGGGACATTTATAGCACTAAATGCCCACAAGAGAAAGCAGGAAAGATCTAAAATTGACACCCTAACATAACAATTAAAAGAACTAGAGAAGAAAGAGCAAACAAATTCAAAAGCTAGCAGAAGGCAAGAAATAACTAAGATCAGAACAGAACTGAAAGATATAGAGATGCAAAAAAAATCCTTCAAAAAAATCAATGAATCTGGGAGCTGGTTTTTTGAAAAGATCAACAAAATTGATAGACCTCTAGCAAGACTAATAAAGAAGAAAAGAGAGAAGAATCAAATAGACGCAATAAAAAATGACAAAGGGGATATCACCACTGATCCCACAGAAATACAAACTACCATCATAGAATACTATAAACACCTCTAGTCAAATAAACTAGAAAATCCAGAAGAAATGGATAAATTCTGGGACACATACACCCTCCCAAGACTAAACCAGGAAGAAGTTGAATCTCTGAATAGACCAATAACAGGCTCTGAAATTGAGGCAATAATTAATAGCTTGCCAACCAAAAAATGTCTAGGACCAGATGGATTCACAGCCAAATTCTACCAGAGGTACAAAGAGGAGCTGGTACCATCCCTTCTGAAACTATTCCAATCAATAGAAAAAGAGGGAATCCTCCCTAACTCATTTTATGAGGCCAACATCATCCTGATACCAAAGCCTGACAGAGACACAACAAAAAAAGAGAATTTTAGACCAATATCCCTGATGAACATCAATATGAAAATCCTCAATAAAATACTGGCAAACTGAATCCAGCAGCACATCAAAAAGCTTATCCACCACAATCAAGTTGGCTTCATCCCTGGGATGCAAGGCTGGTTGAACATGTGCAAATCAATAAATGTAATCCATCACATAAACAGAACCAATGACAAGAAACCACATGATTATCTCAATAGATGCAGAAAAGGCCTTTGACAAAATTCAACAGCATTCATGCTAAAAACTCTTAATAAACTAGGTATTGATGGAACGTATCTCAAAACAATAAGAGCTATTTATGACAAACCCACAGCCAATATCATACTGAATGGGCAAAAACTGGAAGCATTCCCTTTGAAAACTGGCACAAGACATGGATGCCCTCTCTCACCACTCCTATTCAACATAGTATTGGAAGTTCTGGCTATGGCAATCAGGCAAGAGAAAGAAATAAAGAGTATTCAGTTAGGAGAAGAGGAAGTCAAATTGTCCCTGTTTGCAGATGACATGATTGCATATTTAGAAAACCCCATCATCTCAGCCCAAAATCTCCTTAAGTTGATAAGCAACTTCAGCAAAGTCTCAGGATACAAAATCAATATACAAAAATCACAAGCATTCCTATACACCATTAACAGACAAACAGAGAGCCAAATCATGAGTGAACTCCCATTCACAATTGCTATGAAGAGAATAAAATACCTAGGAATCCAACTTACAAGGGATGTGAAGGACCTCTTCAAGGAGAACTACAAACTACTGCTCAAGGAAATAAAAGAGGACACAAACAAATGGAAGAATATTCCATGCTCATGGAAAGGAAGAATCAATATTGTGAAAATGGCCATATCGCCCAAAGTAATTTATAGATTCAATGCCATCCCCATCAAGCTACCAATGTCTTTCTTCACAGAATTGGAAAAAACTACTTTAAAGTTCATATGGAACCAAAAAAGAGCCCGCATTGCAAACACAATCCTAAGCCAAAAGAACAAAGCTGGAGGCATCACGCTATCTGACTTCAAAGTATACTACAAGGCTACAGTAACCAAAACAGCATAGTACTGGTACAAAAACAGAGATATAGACCAATGGAACAGAACAGAGGCCTCAGAAATAACACCACACATCTACAACCATCTGATCTTTGACAAACCTGACAAAAACAAGAAATGGAGAAAGGATTCCCTATTTAATAAATGGTACTGGGAAAATTGGCTAGCTATATGCAGAAAGCTGAAACTGGATCCCTTCCTTACACCTTATACACAGATTAATTCAAGATGGATTAAAGACTTAAATGATAGACCTAAAACCATAAAAACCCTAGAAGAAAACCTAGGCAATACCATTCAGGACATAGGCTTGGGCAAGTACTTCATGACTAAAACACCAAAAGCAATGGCAACAAAAGCCAAAATAGGCAAATGGAATCTGATTAAACTAAACAGCTTCTGCACGCAAAAGAAAGTACCATCAGAGTGAACAGACAACCTACAGAATGGGAGAAAATTTTTACAATCTACCCATCTGACAAAGGGCTAATATCCAGAATCTGCAAAGAACTCAAACAAATTTACAAGAAGAAAACAACCCTATCAAAAAGTGGGCAAAGGATATGAACAGACACTTCTCAAAAGAAGACATCTGTGCATCTAACAGACACATGAAAAAATGCTCATCATCACTGGTCATCAGAGAAATGCAAATCAAAACCACAATGAGATACCATCTCACACCAGTTAGAATGGCAATCATTAAAAAGTCAGGAAACAACAGATGCTGGAGAGGATGTGGAGAAATAGGAACACTTTTACACTGTTGGTGGGACTGTAAACTAGTTCAACCATTGTGAAAGACAGTGTGGTGTTTCCTCAAGGATCTAGAACTAGAATTACCATTTGACTCAGCAATCCCATTACTGGGTATATACCCAAAGGATTATAAATCATGCTACTATAAAGACACATGCACACGTATGTTTATTGTGGCACTATTCACAATAGCAAAGACTTGGAACCAACCCAAATGTCCATCAATGATAGACTGGATTAAGAAAATGTGGCACATATACACCATGGAATACTATGCAGCCATAAAAAAGGATGAGTTCATGTCCTTTGCAGGGACATAGATGAAGCTGGAAACCATCATTCTCTGCAAACTATCACAAGGAGAGAAAATCAAACACTGCATGTTCTCAGTCATAGGTGGGAATTGAATAATGAGATCACTTGGACACAGGAAGGGGAACATCACACACCGGGGCCTGTCATGGGGTGGGGGGCTGGGGGAGGGATAGCATTAGGAGAAATACCTAAGGTAAATGATGAGTTGATGGCTGCAGGAAACCAGCATGGCACATGTATACCCATGTGTCAAGCCTGCGCGTTGTGCACATGTACCCTAGAACTTAAAGTTAAATTTTTAAACAAAAAGGAGAAGAAGAAGTAGTGGTGAAAGTGGGCATCCTTATCTTGTTCCAGTTCTCAGGGGGAAGATTTCAACTTTTCCCTATTCAGTATAATGTTGGCTGTGGGTTTCTCATAGATGGCTTTTATTATCTTCAGGTGTAACCCTTCTATGTCAATTTTGCTGAGGGTTTTAATCACAAGGGATGCTGGATTTTGTCAAATGCTTTTTCTGCATCTGTTGAGATGATAATAAGATTTTTGTTTTTAATTCTGTTTATGTGATGTATCACATTTATTGACTTGTGTATGTTAAGCCATCCCTGATGCTTTGGTATGAAATCCACTTGATCATGGTATATATTATTTTTTTGATATGCTGTTGGATTTGGTTGGCTAGTATCTTGTTGAGGATTTTTGCATCTGTGTTCATCTGGGATATTGGGCTGTAGTTTTCCTATTATGTCCTTTCCTGGTTTTGGAATTAGCATGATACTGGCTTCACAGAATGACTTAGGGAGAATTTCCTCTTTCTTTATCTTTTGGAATAGTTTCAGTAAGATTGGTATCAATTCTTCTTTGAATGTCTGACAAAATTCAGCTGTGAATCCATCTGGTCCTGGACTTTTTTCGTTGGCAACTTTTTTTTTTTATTACTGTTCCAATTTGTTTACTTGTTATTGGTCTGTTCAGAGTTTCTATTTCTTCCTGATTTAATCTAGGATAGCTGTATATTTCCAGGAATTTATTCATCTCTAGATTTTCTAGTTTCTGTGAGTAAAGGTGTTCATAGTAGACTTGAATAATCTTTTGTATTTCTGTGGCATCAGTTGTAATATCTCCCATTTCATTTCTAATTGAGTTTGTTTGGATCTTCTCTCTTCTTTTCTTCGTTAGTCTCACTAATGGTCTATCAATTTTGTTTATCTTTTCAAAGAACCAGCTTTTTGTTCCGTTTATCTTTTGTATTTTTTTTTTTTTTTTGTCAATTTCATTTAGTCCTGCTCTGGTCTTGGTTATTTCTTTTCTTCTGCTGGGTTTGGGTTTGGGTTGTTCTTGTTTCTCTAGTTCCTTGAGGTGTGACCTTGGAGTGTCTATGTGCGCTCTTTCAGACTTTTTGATGTAGGCATTTAATGCTGTGAACTTTCCTGTTAACACTGCTTTTACTGTATTCCAGAGGTTTTGATAACTTATGTGACTACTTATCATTCAGCTCAAATAACTTATTAATTTCCATCTTGATTTCATTGTTGAACCAAAGATTATTCAAGAGCAGATTTTATTTAATTTATTTCCATGTATTTGTATAGTTTTGAGGGTTGCTTTTGAAGTTAATTTCCAATTTTATTACACTGTAGTCTGAGAGAATACTTGATATAATTTTGATTTTCTTAAATTTATTGAGACTTGTTTTGTGATCTATCTATCTTGGAGAATGTTCTGTGTGCTGAGGAAAAGAATGCATATTCTGCAGTTATTAGGTAGAATGTTCTGTAAATATCTTTTAAGTCCATTTGTTCTAGGGTATAGATTAAGTCCATTGTTTCTATGTTGGCTTTCTGTCTTGATGACCTGTCTAGTGCTGTCAGTGGATTATTGAAGTCCTCCACTGTTATTGTGTTGCCATCTATCTCATTTCTTAGGTCTAGTAGTAATTGTTTCATAAATTTGGGAGCTCCAGTGTTGGGTGCTTATGTATTTGGGATTGTGATATTTTCCTATTGGACTAGTCCTTTTATCATTATATAATGTTCTTCTTTGTCTCTTTTATAACCGTTGTTGCTTTAAAGTCTCTTGTCTCTGATATAGGAATAGTTACTCCTGCTTGCTTTTAGTTTCCATTTGTGTGGAATATCTTTTCCCACCCCTTTACCTTAAGTTTATATGAGTCCTTATGAGTTAGGTGAGTCTCTTGAAGGCAGCGGATACTTAGTGAATTTTTATCCATTCTACCATTCTGCCATTCTGCATCTATTAAGTGAAGCATTTAGGCCACTTACATTCAATATTAGTATTGAGATGTGAGGTACTGTTCTATTCATCATGTTAGTTGTTGCCTTAAAAAACCCTGGTTTTTTACCTATTATTGTTTTATAGGTCCTGTGAGAGTTATACTTTAAGGAGGTTCTATTTTGGTGTATTTCAACGTTTTGTTTTAAGATTTTGAACTCCTTTTAGCATTTCTTATAGTGCTGGCTTAGTAGTGGTGAATTCTCTCAGCCTTTGTCTGAAAAAGACTTTATCTCTCCTTCATTTATGAAGCTTAGTTTTGCTGGATTCAAAACTCTTGGCTGACAATTATTTTGTTTCAGGAGGCTAAAACTGGGACTTCAATCCCTTCTGGCTTGTAAGGTTTCTGCTGAGAAGTCTGCTGTTAATCTTACTGGTTTTCCTCTATAGGTTATCTGATGCTTTTGTCTCACATCTCTTAAGATTCTTTCCTTCATCTTGACTTTAGATAACCTGATGGCTATGTGCCTAGGTGATGATCTTTTTCTGATGAATTTCCCAGGTGTTCTTTCAGCTTATTGTATTTGAATTTCTATATCTCTAGCAAGGCCAGGGAATTTTCCCTCAATTATTCCCTCCAATAAGTTTTCCAAACTTTTAGATTTCTCTTTTTCCTCAGGAATGCTGATCACTTTTAGGTTTGGCTGTTTAATGTAATCCCAAATTTCCTGGAAACTTCGTTCATTTTTTAAAATTCTTCTTTCTGTGTCTTTGTCTGATTGGGTTAATTCAAAATCCTGGTCTTCCAGCTCTAAAGTTCTTTCTTCTACTTGTTCTACTCTACTGTTGACACTTTCCAGTGCATTTTGTATTTCCCTAAGTGTGTCTTTCATTTCCAGAAGTTGTGAATGTTTTTTCTTTATGATATCTATTTATCTGGAGAAGTTTTCATCCATACCCTGTATTTGTTAAAAATCTCTTTAAGTTGGCTTTCACTTTTCTGTGCTATCTCCTTGAGTAGCTTAATAATCAACCTTCTGAATTCTTTATCTGGTAATTCAGAGATTTCTTTTTGGTTTGGATCCATTGCTGGGGAACTAGTGTGACCTTTTGGGGAAGTCATAGAACTCTATTTTGTCATATTACCAGAATTACTTTTCTGGTTCCTTCTCATTTGGGTAGACTATTTCAGTGGAGAGGTTTGAAACTCAAGGCCTGCTGTTCAGATTCTCTTGTCCCACAGAGTGATCGCTTGATGTGGTGATTTTCCTATTCCCCTAGGGATGGGGCTTCCTGAGATCTGGACTGCAGTTATTGTTACCGCTCTTCTGGGTCTAGCCACCCAGTAGGGTTACCTGGCTCTGGGCTGGTGCTGGGGGATGTCTGCAAAGAGTCCTGTTATGTGATTGATCTGTCTTCAGGTCTTCCAGCTGTGGATACAAGTACCTGCTCTGGTAGAGGTGGCAGAAAACTGAAGGGGACTCTGTGGTTGTAGATATGTTTAGTGTGCTGGATTTTTTGAATGCTGGTTATGCTAGCGGTGAAGTTGTCATGTGGACACACTCAGGACCTCTGGTTAGCCAGGATGTTGCAGGCAGTGGAATTAGGTGTTGTATTCTCCTTCCTGGATTCATAGTTATTCTGTCATGAGTTGCTGTAATGGCCTGAATTGGTTGGCCTCCAGCCAGGAGGTGGTACTTTCAAGAGAGTGCCAGCTGTGGTAGCAGTAGGGTTCCCTAAGCTTGCTCTAAGATGGCCAGGGTAAGTATTTGGTTTTTCAGGTGGTGGGCGGGGCCCTAAAGTTCCCAGGAGTTTCTATATTTTGTGTTTGGCTACCAGGGTAGGTGGGGAAATACCCTTAGGTGGGGGCAGAATTAGGTGAGTCTGGGCTCAGACTCTTCTTGGGTGGGGCTTGTTGTGTCCCCTGTAGGGGATGTGGGGGTGTTTCTCAGGCTAATGGGGTTATGTTCCAGAGGGGCTCTTGGTCACCTCTGCTGTGTCATATAGTTTGCCAGGGAAGTGGGGGATGGCTGGTAACAAAAGGCCTCCCTCATCTCCCATGCAGTTGGCAGAGCTAGTGTTGCTCCCATGGTGCCTCACTCAGACCTTGCCCCAGGCTGTGAACTACCCCACAGAGAAAGAAGGCATAGCCTTTGGACCTTGCCCCTCCCCATCTGCTCACCCTGTTGCCAACTCCTGTGTTCCTACACTCATACCTGCAGCAGCTCCCACTCATCCCCCAGACTCCACTTGAGAAAATTTGTGCCCATTTGAAACCACTACCAGTTTCAGATGGGAGTTTCCTTTGCACTGTGACCTCTCGTTAATACCACTGGCTGCCTTCCCTAAGGGCCCATGTGAGTTATACTCGGGGAAGGCTTCCCTGGGCTCAAGCTAGTGGGAGTGCCTTCAAGGCACTTCCTACTGCTACTTCTATTTTTATGTTTCATGTGACTCCCTAAATCAATTTCATTTCTAGGTAAGGTTAAATCATTCTCCTGAGATCTGTATTTTCAGATTCCCCAGTGGGGATGTGTGTTTGGAGGCAGGTTTGCCCCCCTCACACTTTGAAAACTCACAGTTTTTCACCTGTTTCATGGAATTTGCAGTGGTGTCACAGTTCTTTCAAAGGATGTATGAATTCTTTTGGTTTTCCTGGTATGTTTCTGCAGTGATTCTTGGAGCAAAAGATTACAGTGTGAGTCTCCACATACTGTTCTGTCTGTCTATGTGGGAATTGCACATTAGCCCTGTTTCCTATCTACCATCTCCCCCACATCTCCCAAAGGCTAGTAATTTTTGCACATTGATTTTGTAACCTGAAACTGCTGAAATTATTATTATTTCTTTTCTTCTACTAATTTTGGGTCTGGTTTGTTCTTGCTTTTCTAGTTTTTTAAGATGCATCATTAGATTGTTTATTTGATGTTTTTCCTCTTTTTTGGTATAGACACTTATAAACTTCCATCTTAGGACTCCTTTTTCTGTATTCCATAGGTTTTGATATGTTGTGTTTCCATTATAATTTATTTCAACACATTTTTCAATTTCCTTAATTCCTTCATTGACCCACTGGTTATTCAGGAGCATACTATTTAATTACCATATATTTGTATAGTTTCATAAATTCCTCTAGCTATTGATTTCTAGGTTTATTCTATTGTGGTCAGAGAAGATGCTTGATATTGTTTCATTTGTTTCTTGAATGTTTTAAGACTTGTTTTGTGACCAAACATACGGTATATCCTTGAGAATGATCCATGTGCTGAGAAAAAGAGTGTGCATTCTGCAGCTCTTGGATCTAATTTTCTGTAAATATCTATTAGATCCATGTGGTGTATAGTGCATATTAAGACTGAAGTTTCTTTATTGCTTTTCTGCCTGGAAGTTTGTCCAGTGCTGAAAGTGGGATGTTCATGTCTCCACATTATTATTGTATTGGGTCCTATATCTCTCTTTAGCTCTAATAATATTTGCTTTATATATCTGGATGCTACAGTGTTGGGTACATGTATATTGTTATATTCTTTTGCTGAATTGGCCTCTTTATCATTATACAGTGATCTTCTTTGTCTCTTCTTACACTTTTTGTCTTGAAATCTATTTTGTGTGATATAAATATAGCTACTGCTCCATTTACTTCTGCTCCTCTGTTCTTTGGTTTTCATTAGCATGGCATATCTTTTTCCATCCTTTCATTTTCAGTATATGTATATATTTATAGATGAATTGTGTTTCTTGTAGGCAACAGATAAGTGGTTCTTGTTTTTTCATCCACTCGGCCACTTTATGTCTTTTGATTGGAGAGTATAGTCCATTTACATTTATTATTGATGAGTAAGGACTTACTCTTGCCATTTTGTAATTTGTTTTCCAGTTGTTTTGTGGTATTCCTTTTTTTCCTTGTCTTCCTTTAGTGATTTTCTCTGGTAATATAATTTACTTCCTTGCTTTTTAATTTTTGTGTATTTGGTGTATGTTTCTTGGTTTGAGGTTACAATGAGACTTGCAACTACTATCTTATAACCCATTATTTTGAGCTGATACCAACTTAACACTATTTGTCATAAACAAACAAGCACAAAAAACTAATAAAAATTATATGCCTTAACTTTATCCCTCCACTTTTTAACATTTTGTTGTTCCTATTTATATCTTATTGTACTGTCATTGTCTTGAAAAGTTGTTGTAGTTGTTATTTTTGATTGGTTCATCATTTAGTCTTTCTACTTAGGATAAGAGTAGTTTATACAACCCAGTTACAGTCTTATAATATTCTGTGTTTTTCTATGTACTTACTATTACCAGTGAGTTTTGTACCTTCAGGTAATTAGTTATTGCTCATTAACATCCTCTTCTTTCTGAAGTACTCCCTTTAGCATTTCTTATAGGACAGATCTGGTGTTGATGAAATCCTTCAGCTTTTTTTGTCTGAGAAAGTCTTCATTTCTCCTTCATGTCTGAAAAGTTTTTCATAAGATATATTATTCTAGGGCAAAAGTTATTTTCCTTCAGCCCTTTAAATATGTCATGCCACTGTCTCCTGGCCTGTAAGGTTTCCACTGAGAAGTCTGCAGCCAGATGTATGGGAGCTCCATTGTATGATATTTGTTTCTTTTCTCTTGCTGCTTTTAAGATCCTTTCTTTATCCTTGATCCTTGGGAGTTTGATTATTAAACAACTTGAGGTAGTCTTCTTTGGGTTAAATCTGCTTGATATTCTACAGCCTTCTTGTACTTGGATATTTAATATCTTTCTCTAGGTTTGGGAAGTTTTCTGTTGTTATCCCTTTGAATAAACTTTCTACCCCTATCTCTTTCTCTACCTTCTCTTTAAGACAAATAACTCTTAGATTTGCCCTTTCGAGGCTATTTATTAGGTTCTGTAGGCATGTTTCATTGTTTTTTATTCTTTTTTTGGTCTCCTCTGATGGTGTATTTTCAAATAATTTGTCTTTAAGTTCACTAATTTTTTTCTTCTGCTTGATTCATTCTGCTATTAAAGGACTCTAATGCATTGTTCAGTGTGCCAACTGCATTTTTTTGCTCCAGAATTTCTGCTTGATTCTTTTTATTTCAATCTCTTTGTGAAATCTAGCTGATAGAATTCTGAATTCCATCTCTGTGTTATCTTGAATTTGAGTTTCCTCAACACAGCTATTTTGAATTTTCTGTCTTAAAGGTAACATATTTATGTTTCTCCAGGATTGCTCCCTGGTGCCTTATTTAGTTCATTTGGTGAGGTCATGTTTTCCTGGATTATCTTTATACGTGTAGATGTCTAGGCATTGAGGAGTTAGGTATTTATTATAGTTTTAACTGTCTGGGCTTCTTTGTACCTGTACTTGTTGAGAAGATTTTTCAGATATTTGAAAGGACTTGGGTGTTGAGATCTAAGCTGTATCTGCTTTAGGGGGCACCCCATGCTTAGTAATTCTATAGTTCTTGAAGACTCATAGAGGTACCACCTTGATGGTCTTGGACAAGATCTGGAAGAATTATCTGTATTACCAGGCAGAGATTCTTGTTCTCTTGCCTTACTTTTTCCCAAGCAAACCGTGTCTCTCTCTTTCAGTTCTGAGCCACCTAAATCTGGGTGTGGAGTGACACATGCACACCTGCAGCCACCACCACTATGACTCGCTGGGTCAGACCTGAAGCCAGCACAGTAGTGGGTCTCACCCAAGGCCTGCTGAACCACTCCCTGGCTATTGCCTATGTTTGCTCAAGGCCTTGTGGCTTTACAATCACAGGTAGCAAAGCCAGCCAGGCTTGTGTCCAGGTTGGTGAATCCCCCCAGGCCCCAGATGGGTCTAGAGGTGCCATCTGGGGTCAGAGACTAGAGTCAAAATCCTTAGAAGTCTACCTGGTATTCTATTGTATTGTGGCTGAGCTGGCCATCAAGCCACAGGATGGCAGTCCTTCCCATTCTTCCCTCCTCTTTACAAAGGCAGAAAAGCTTCATCCTCTAGCTACCACCATTACAGGCCATGGGGAGTTCTACCAGACTGCCACTGATGTTCCCTTAAGACCCAAGGGCTCTTCAGTCAGCTTGTGGTGAATGCTGTCTTTCCTGGGACCCACCCTTCAGAGCAATGGGCTCCCTTCTGGCCCAGGGTGGGTCCAGAATGCCATCCAAGAGTCAAGTCTTTGAATCGGGGACCCCAAGAGCCCCCCTGGTGCTCTACTCCCCTGTGGTCAAGCTGGTACCTGAAGCCAGCAAGTTTCAGAGGCTCACCCAAGGCCTTCAACATAGTACCTGGGCATCACTGCTGGTTATTCAGGACCCAAAGGCTCTTCAGTTAGCATGTGATCAATGCTGCCAGGACTGGGTTCTTCCCTTCAAGGCAGCAGATTCCTTTCTGCCCCAGGGTGTTTCTGGAAATGTCATTTAGGAGCTAGGGCTTGGAACAGGGGCCTCATGACTCTGACCAGTGCCCTATTCTGCTGTGGGATCAAAGATACAAGACACAGTCCCCTCCACTCTTCTCTCTCCTCTCCTCAAGTGAAAGGAAGGGCTCTCTTTTGGAGCCATGAGTTGTGCAGCCGGGGTTAGGGGAGGGGTGATGCCAGCACTTTCTTAGCTATCCCTGCTGGTGTCTCAGTAGTCACATGCCCCCAAGTCCACCCAGTTCAGCACTACCACTCACCTAAGAGTTCAGTCCTTATGGCCTAGACAGCCTTTCAAATTTACTTAGAGACCCAGAGCCCTTTAGCCCATCATGGCAATTGACCTCTGGGGATTAGTGATTCCCCTCTGGCTAGGGCTGGTCCAAATGCTTCCTCTGTGGGTGGATATAAGCTGAGTTTGGTTTGGTTTTTCTTTCTGGTCTAACAGACAGCCTTGAGTTCATCAATGCCTCACACTTGCTATGCTCTCCCTCTCCCCAGCACCCAGAAATACTCTCCACACCATGCTGCACTGCTGCGGATGAGGGAAGGATGGTGTCGGGGCTTCAAGACTGTTTTTCCTACCTCTTCAGTGCCTCTTTCAGTGATATGAAGTTAAAACCAGGTACTATGAGTGCTCACCTGATTTGTGGTTCTTATGGAGGTGCTTTGCTCGTGTATATAGTTGTTAACTTGGATTCCTTGCAAGTGGGACAATAGGTGGAGCCTTGTATTCTGCCATCTTGCTTCCCATTTTATGATGAGAAATATGGTGGTTACAAAGGTTAAATAACTTGCCCAAGGTCACAATATCTGGTAGAGCCGGGCCTTAAACCCAGATGGGTGTTGTAAAGTTACAGCTCTACCTCCTATAAGGATAATGTTAAGCTAAGTAGGCTCCTAAAATACTCATTAAATAAACATTCTGCAAAAGTTAGTTCTCTTCTCTTCTTTCTATGTTGTGTCTCCTATAACACTTTGGTCAGAAGTAAATGTCTAAAAAAAAGAGTCAAGAAAAAGTGGACTAGAAGATGGGGTGAAGGTGTAATGGGCAGGGAACTGGTACAAATCACTGGAGCCCGGAAGTCTGGAAAAGGACCCAGTGCAACTCCCATGTAAAGATTTTTAGCCTGTCTTCTACTGCTGAGGTCTTGAAAATAAGGTCTTCACAGGACCCAAACCTACTCATGGTAACCCTGTCTATAAATATTGATTGATTTCCAGAAAACACTAATTTTTTTTAGAATGTATCTATGTATGTGTGTGTGTGTATATATATGTATATGGAATATAATAAATAATATCATATATAGTATTATATATTTATAAATTTGGATATCATATAGGAGTGGCCCTTTATTTTTTTAAACTCATTTACAGTGGATTTGTTGTTCTGGCTGCCCAGTATACCCTTCCTGTATTGAGAATTCCCCATACCCTGGCACCTTGTGCTTAAGTGTGGTCATGTGGTCTCAGTACAACCTTATAGGTTGTTGTAGTAGCACCTTATAGGTGTTCCTGCCAGAACTGAATCTTGAGAGGCTGGTCAGCTGGTGGTAATTTGCAGCAGAGTGGTAGCATAGAGAGCATGTCCAGGGCAGTGAAATGCAACAGCACCAGTGGAGAAGATTTAGAGGCAGCGATACCCATAGTGCTTGTAGCGCCCATGATGCTGTGCTGAGCAAACAGATCCTGTGGTAGGATCATGGCTCTGCCTTGTTCCCCAGCTAATATACTTTTGATACATACCTTTTAGGCTTAAGTTTTCCAGAGTTGGTGTCTGTTTTTTTTAATGCCCCAAATATCACATTGATTTTAGCAATTGTCAAAGCAAGGTTGGGATATCAAATAGCTATTCCAAATTGGACCTGGGTTTGGATATCATTTATGGAAATAATGCTCTTTGCTCTCTAGATATATGGGCAGGAAGAAAACAGTCAGAATCAATAATCAAACCAGTTCTGACTGCTGGCTCTGTATGGCTGTTGGTTTCTTGGTTTATTTCTTATTTTATCTAAAGCCAGGTCACACTATCCAGGTGGAATGTTCATAAAAACCAAAGTGTGAACATTTTCTTTAAGGTCAATGTAATTTACAGTCTGTCCAGAGAAGCTTTTAGAGATGTAGAATGTGACTGTAATCCACAATGCACTCTCATTACCCTTCCCTCCTATTAGAAATTGATTTTGGCACAGTTCCTTCAGGTGGAAAGTGACTCTGTCAGCAATTGCTGTTTCTCTTTTCACACGTTGGATTTCCCCCCCAACAAAAGTATTAAAGTCTCTTTAGTGTTCCTTTAGGAGAGATTAAATACAGTTATCACCAACATTTGGAGTTTCATATCTGCCTGCTATTTCTACTGTGCTTTGCTTTGTAGGCAATTAGCAATCATGTGGAGTGGAAGATCTTTTCCTAAAATTACCTGAGCTTGGCTACTCTGTGTGCTGGTTAACCCTGAAGGAAAATGCTGCCAGCAAGGCATTTAGCCCTGGCTGTGGCTGACAGCATGTGTCTTCCTCTCTCCCTACCCCTGTGGATCTCCTTGTCACTTTAAGAACAGCTAACACTAACAGGGCCACCAAACTATTTATGACACCTTGCAGCTTGACACTCAACAGGTCCAGAGAACATGGCCTTCTTCAATAGATAAGTTGCAGCTGACAAAGACGGTAGTCAGCTTATCTTTGTATGTGGCCAGTGGAGTTCCTGTAACCTTAGGGTATTGGGTAGTGCCTCTTAATAGTGCCCATGGTGCTCACTTTTTTTTTTTTTTTTTAAACAGAGTTTCTCTCTTCTTGCTCAGGCTGGAGTGCACTGGCACAATCTTGGCTCACTGCAACCTCCGCCTCCCAGGTTCAAGCGATTCTCTCACCTCAGCTTCCCGAGTAGCTGGGATTACAGGCGCCTGCCACCACACCCAGCTAATTTTTGCATTTTTAGTAGAGATGAGGTTTCACCATGTTGGTCAGGTTGGTCTCGAACTCCTGACCTCAGGTGATCTGCCCGCCTCGGCCTCCCAAAGTGCTGGGATTATAGGTGTTAGCCACTGCGCCCGGCCAGTGCTCACTTCTTAATACAATGCTTTTTAACCTGTTTAAATTCATGCCCCTTTGGTTAAATGTGAAAATTCTGCCCCATATATTAAACACTACATCTTTCACAGGTTTCCAGACATCAAGTAGATATTAAGTTTAATTTTCTTTATACATATTATCCATTTTTAAAGTTTCCAAATATGAAAGCATATTGACTATGCTTTTGAAAAGTGCAGTAGGCTTTCCAGAGATTTGGGTCAACCTGACTAGGAAGGAGGCTCCTTATTAATAGTTACAGATTATGGCAAAACTGAAGAGGGGTGGATCCAACAGCCATTCTGAACCTTCTCCTCATTGCCATCCGCTTGAAACATTCACTAGCTCTTCCATATTTGCTTGCAGCGAGGGATGGCCATGTGACATCGTTGTTGTAGTAGTGAGATGCAAGTAGAAGTCTGCTGGTGAGGGGTTCTGGAAAACCTTTGCTTACCTAATAAAAAGGATAGACTTAGCTGGTTTCATCTCTTCATGCCTTCTTGACATACAGAAGTTTGCCACCTTCAGCAACCTCAGTCTTTCAGTGTAAAATGATAATAACACCTAACTCATATTGCTGCAAAGGATATAAAGATAATATATTTGAGATGAGGGTATCTTTTAAAACTATTAACCTAATTTTTTGGCACCTGATATTTCCACATACCGTTTGTGCTCTTACTCCCCTCCCCCTCTCCTTTTATTTATGGTGCTATTCTATAATTAGTACCGCAGGGACAAGATATATTGGTGAAAACAGATACACAAGGTGTCCCTTCTAGTCTAGTGGGGGTAGGGAAAGAAAGGACTCAGGACATAGACTCGAGAACTCCTAATGATTCAAGATGTTTTCAAATTTGTAAAATCAGTTTTTTACTTTCACTTCCAGGAACATGGAGGAGACATATTTCCACCTATTTCTCTCCATAAGTATAAAAGACCATAAAAGACCATCTAGGGACTTCAGAACCCAAATAATGACACAATGGTGAGTTCCCTGGGTTTTCTTTTTTGCACTGTATTTCCCAGACTTGGAGCTGAAGAAGTCAGCAACATAGAAACACCAATGGACACAAACAAACGTAGCCCAAATAAAAGCCTGTTCTCATTAACCAGTGGACCAGGAAAAGGCAGCCTAGCAAGGCAGAAAACTTTTAGACGATAACTGTAATAATTTCTGTACTCCAGCCAAGCACCAAAGGAAAAAAATGCTGCTCCACCCCACTTATGCCAACAAAGACCAAGTTATGAGCTTAAATGTCCACCCTCACCTAGCTGTGATGAACTGTCCCAACTCCCCTACTGGGGTGGTGCCAGAGAAGGCCAAGTAGAGAGTTGGGACTTTAATCTCCACTGGGTGATAACGAGACCCACCCTTCCACAGTGTCAGTGGAGACCATGTGGGAAGCCTGGACTTCTTCCCTAAACTATCAGTAATGAGGTGCTCCTCCATCATCCCAGTGGACTAGTATAGAGAAGGCCTAGCAGTAAGAAAGCCACCCTCTCAGCCACCTGCATGGCGTCAGCAGGGGCCATGTGGGGAATAGTAATAAGGTACTCCTACTCCTCCCAGCTAGGGAAGTCTCAGTAGAGAGGCCTTGTGGGAAGCTGGAACTTCTAATCCCACCTAGCAGTAGCAAAGAATCCCTTATCCTGTCAAGTGCCCATGGAGGATGAGCGGGGAACCTACTCCTGGCAAAAATGAGATGCCCTTCCACCCCTTACCACCTTGCTGGAGCAGTGTGTCAGAAGAAGTCAGCTAAAACAGAAGGTTCAGATAAGATAAAGATCATTTCAATAGAAACGATCAGGTTTCTGTTGAAAATCACTTGTCACATCAAGAACCAGGAAGATTTAAAATTGAATGAAAAAGACAGTCAATAGATGTCAATACCATGATGCCAGAAATTTTAGAATTATATGACAAAGATTTTATAACAGCCATCATAAGTGTTTCAATGAGCCATTAATGAACATACTTGAAACAAAAGTTAAAAGTCTTAGAAAAGTAAAAAGAAAGTATCAGCAAAGAAATAAAAGATATAAAGAAGAACCAAATGGAAATTTTAGAACTGAAAAATACAATAATGACACAATATGTGCTTTCCCGCTATGATCAGGAACGAGACAAGGATCTCCACTCTCATCACTCTTATTCAACACAGTGATAGGCGTTTTAACCCAAGCAAAAAAGCAATAAAAGGAAATAGAAAGCATACATATTAGAGAGGAGAAATAAAGCTGTCCCTGTTTGCAAATGACATGGTAGTCTATACAGCAAATCCCAAGTAATCTACATAAAAACTAATAAGTGAGTTTAGCAAACTTGTAGGATACAAGATGAACATACGAAAATGAATTTATTGCTATGTACTAGCAATGAACATGTGGCTACTGAAAAATTGCAAAATAGTACAGAGTTTTTATATATTTTTCACCTATACTATCACAATTGTTAACATCTTGTGTAAACATAGAACAATGATCAGAACTGGGAAATTAACATTGGCACAATACCATTAACCAAGGCTGGAGTGCAGTCGCGTGATCTTGGCTCACTGCAACCTCCGCCTCCAGGTTCAAGTGATTCTCCTGTCTCAGCTTCCCGAGTAGTCGGGGCTATAGGCATGTGCTATCATGCCTGGCTAAATTTTGTGTATTTAGTAGAGATGGGGTTTTGCCATGTTGGCCAGGCTGGTCTCAAACTCCTGACCTCAGGTGATCCGCCCCCCTCGGTCTCCCAAAGTGTTGGGATTACAGGCATGAGCTACCGTAGCGCCTGGCCTCCACTAATGTATTTTTTTTTTTTTTTTGGTTTTTGTTGTTCCAGGATACTATTCAACATACCACATTGTATTTGATTGTCATTTCTCCCTGTTCTCTGACAGTCTCCAATTGTTCCTGGGTCTTTCTTTGTCTTTTGTATGATCTTGACACCTCCAGAGATCAGTTATTTTATTGTATGTTCCTTATTATGAACCTGCCTAGGGCATTCTCCTGATTGGACTGAACTCTTGCACGAAGAAGCTTTCTGAAAGCTTCCAACTTCTGAAATTCAGAAAGAATTCCTAGAGAAAGGAGGGGTGGGGAAGGAAAGTCAAGCTACTGCTGGTCCTGAAGAGGAGTCTTCTCCTTTTGAGTTTTTAGATATATCCCTGGGGAAAAGACCACAGAAGCACCAAATAGATTTGTGGAGCCCAAGAGCTAAAGGCCCATGTGCCTTTTTCCTGCATAAAGGCCCAGGAGGGCTAGAATTACCCAGAGAGGGATGGAAGTGGCTGTGAGGGGTGTATGAGGGAGTAGAGAAGGCACCATATGTGGCACGGCAGGGCATGGCAGAGTAATTTTTTGTGTGCCAGGGACTGGGCACAGAAGCCACTAAGAAAGCTTGAGAGCTGGGAACAAGGAACATCTCCACAGTGAACTCCCTAACAGATAGCTCAGGGGATCTCTCAGCTAGTGTGGACAGGAAACATCAAGGACATTACATAAGCTCCCCCTCATTCCGCCCCAGAATCTAGATGTAATCAAGAGGACAGAGAGATGCTCCAAATTTGCTTCCCACCTACCAGAATAGGGACTCTGCTCTGTATTAACCTATAAATAAAGTATGTTGCTTGTGCTCTTGAGCTATCATCTGGGATTCATACCTCCTAATAAATGCCACTGAATATTATGAATAAAGGTATATGTGCACAGGAGTGTGTGCATGAGTATGAGTGTGTATGTTTGTTCCAAGCAGAGATAGCAGCATTTTCCAAGGTCTGGAGATAAAATGAGAATGTGCATGTGGAGAACTACAAACCATTCATGGGAAAGTACACAAATGGGCTGTTTTTTCAGGTCGGGTTCCCAATGATACCGTCTTTTTTCTATTACACAGTGACGTGTGTAAGGCACCAAATCATGATGCTAGGAAAAACATCTTGATATGTAATGCCATACCCACCATCTAGGTAATGGTACTGCATATCTTTGGTCCTTCCGCATGTGCCAGAGGGTGTGCTGCCATTAACCATGAAAGGAACCCTTCAGCATGTTTATGAGTGTGGATGAGAGGTATTGCCCCTTTTTCCTCCAGATGGTGAGCAGGTTGAAATGACAGCTCAGCCACTCCACCACTAATAAAACTTCCTGACACTCTGTAGTCCTTTATGGACTATGACTCAGTTCAAATTGCTAGACTTACGGAATGTAGAATTTTAGGCCAAAGAGGTTCTGAGTGGGGCCAATTGCCTAAAGGTACAGATGGTGAGACTGAGGTGTAAAGAGGCAACGATGCCTTGCCTAAGTGTCCTCAGCAGGCCTGTGACTGAGTCTCTGGGGCTCCAGGTCCCCAGCCCAGTGTTTTCTGGCTACTTCACCGTGTTTCATGGCTCTCTGGAGTAGCCTCCTTTCAGGAAAGCACTACCTGCCCCTTTCGCTCACTCAACTTTCAAAACCCAGCTCAAATACCCGCTGAATTGACCTTCCCCATGGTAATTCTTATTTATTTGGCAATTAAATAAGTGTTGTCTAATGCCCTATCTTCTAAGGTTATTCTGTCACCTTAAATATTTTTTTTTCAAAAAAGACTTAAATTTTAAAGTCTTTATTATCTTTATTATCTTATTCAATAAAACTATTAAATTTTTGAGGATAGGCATCATAATTTGTGTGTGTGTGTGTGTGTGTGTGTGTTCCCTCAACAGTACCAAGCACAGTGTCTTTTACTAGTAGGTTGCCTCTAGCAGGTAAATAATAAATATTAGTTGATTTGATACTGCTAGCACAAGTTCATTGCCGTGTGAAATGTGATGCAGAGGCAGTATAAAGTTAATAACATGGACTCAGGAATCAGCAGGCCTGGTTTTGACAAGTTGTGTGACTTTGGAAAAGTTGCTCAAGTTCTGAGCCTCAGTTTTCTCATCAGTGATGTGGGTTAATGACACTAATCTCTTACAGGATTGACAAGAGGATCACATGGGATTATATATACACATTTATATGTATATATAGCTATCTGTATATTACTAGATATAGTTATTATTATAGTAATATAGTAATAATTACTGTATTATATATTATAGTAATAACTATAACTATGTATAGTAATATATAGATATAGCATATGAAACCCACACATATATATGGCCACAGCTATAATCCTTCAGTTGATGGCAGCTATTACTACTATTAACGTCATGAGTTGGAAATCAGGCCAATTAACTCCATCCATTGAGTTCTATAGGCTCAAACTAAATCTTCAACAAATATAGTCATCTCAACACCTGCAGAAGGGTTAGAGAGTCCAGGCAAAATCATGTGGGTAGGCACCCATGCAAATTCTCACCCACTGTTATTCCACCATACTCCCACACTCATAAAACAGTAGCATATAACACGGGTGCCACGTACCATGGTGATGTGTATTTGATACACAAAAATTATGTGAATTATGCATGTGTGTACATATGTGTATGTGCACACATTTGCAGGATAGTACTCTCCAAAAACAAAAACAAAAACAAACAAAACAAAACTCTTCCACCCCAGCCAACTCAAACAAGTAGTCCTCTTGCCCAATAGTTGTTAGCCATATTCTCTCCTTGCATAAATATAACCACTAGGAGGCGCCTTAATCCTTCTCTTTAGCAGCCTTTCTGCTCGTTAACACCAGGGAGTCAGATCTGAAAGTCTTTAAGTGAATCTTTCTCAACCCACTGCAGAGTGTGCAAATCATTTCCTCAGCTGATTCAGATGTATTTTGATGTGCTGGGAAACCTGAACATTCTCTCACGCTGTGGAGATTAATTACCTTGAAATATTCATTGGATTAAATGTATTTAAACATGTACTGTTTAAAGCTCAGTGCTGCAAAATGCCATCCTCAAGATATATATTACGGGCATTAAATAATTAACTTTAGTGTGTGAGAGGAGAGGGGGAGGGAGAGGAAGAGGGAAGGTGGGGGGAGAGGAGAGAGAGAGAGAGAGAGAGAGAGAGAGAGAGAGAGAGAGAGAGAGAGGGAGAGAGAAACACATGCTTATTTAGTGCTAGGCCAGTGGTGAGACTGAGAGCAACCAAATCTAAAGCTTTCCATAAATCAGCTAAATCCTGGCTTCACCTGTTACTAGAACTATGTGACCTTGGGCAAAATACTTCATCTCTCTAAGCCTCCTCTGTAAAATGAGAATGACAGTATCTCAGAAGCATGAATTTTAGATACTAATACAGGGAAAGCACTGGGTATCCTGCTTAAGACATAGTAGCACTCACACAAAGCAAGACTCGGCTTCCTCTTCCTCTTCCTCTTCTTCTTCTCTCCTTTAGACCTAGATACGAGGACTTGATCTTGGCTTTGCCATTCTCCTTCCTTCTCTGTGCCAAAGTGTTGTCGCTCAGCTCTGGGAACAGCAGCAGTCCATGCGTGTGAGGTGTACTGTCTCTAGAGACAAACTACCCAGGCCCATGGCCCAACTCCATCCAGCACGTACCAGCTGTGCGACCCTCAGCGCCTCAGCTCCTTTATCTGCAAAAGGGGATAATAACAGTACCTTGCCCCACAGGGCTGCCGTGAGGGTCTAAGGAGTTACCATACATATAAATTCATGAGAACAGTACCTGCCACATAACCAGTGCTTTCCAGGGGTTGGCTATTATTATTTTAGGTTCAATTCAGTTTTCATGTGTATTCAACTCCTCAAACTGTATTTCTCCTCGTGCACCATCCTACTTGTCTCAGTGTCACGCTTAGTTCTTAAATCTTTCAGCAGCTGTATGCTCTAAGCTTTAGCCTCCCCTCTTTCACTTACCCAAATTTACCTCTTCTTAGGATCCTGGTTTATGGCCTCTGTAGGAATTGAAGCAAACCAACTCATCTTAACATTGTACTAAGAGGCTACAGCTGAATATAAGCTCTAGTGGGGCAGAGGTGCTGTCTGCCTTATCCACTACCTATCCCTAGTACCTAGTAGGTCCCTGAACATAGAAAGTGCTCAATAAATACATTACGTGACTCTCTGGACTTTCAGAAACACAAAATATTCGTTGAAAGTAATGGATTACCTGAGGTCAGGAGTTCGAGACCAGCCTAGCCAACATAATGAAACCCTGTCTCTACTAAAAATACAAAAATTAGCCGGGCGTAGTGGCAGACGCCTGTAATACTAGCTACTCAGGGGGCTGAGGCAGGAGAATTGCTTGAACCTGGGAGGCGGAGGTTGCAGTGAGCGGAGATCACGCCATTGCACTCCAGTCTGGGAGGCAGAGTGAGACTCTGTCTCCAAAAAAAAAAAAAAAGAAAAAGAAAGTAATGTGTTTTGAATGGTGGGATTTCAGGCGTCTTGACAGGCTGCTGGAGGGGAAAACATTGAAGGTAGGGGACTTTCATCTGTGTCCTTCAGACCACAGTGGCTAGGAGACCTTCAACTTTACTTACACATGTGGCTATTTTTTTTTTAACTTTTTCTTTTGAAACAAATTTTGACTTACAGAAAAGGTGCAAAAAATGTACAGTGAGTACTCATATATGCATTGCTTGGCTTCCCTAAATGTTAAAGGAACATCTTAAATAACCATAATACAGTGATCAAAACCATGAAATTAACATGGGTACTATTAGTGATGTTATGAGTGTTATTAATTACTATTAATCAAGCAACAGGCCTAATGTGAATTTCACCAGTTCTTTCATTGATTGGATCTCACATCGCATTCAGTTGCCATGTCTCCTTGGTCTCCTCTAATCTGTGACATTTCCTCAGTCTTTCCAGTCTTTCCTTGTCTTTTGTGACCCTGCCACTTTTAAATAAGGCAAGTCAGTTATATTGCAGAATAACTGTCAATCGGGGTTTGCTTGATGTTTTCTCACTATTGAATTGAGGTTATGCATTTTTGGCAGGCATACAACGGTGATATGACCTCAGTCTATGGATCAGGGAGTACATGATGTCAATAAGTCTTATTACTGGTGATAATTAACCTTGATCATTTGGTGAAGGCAGTATCTGCTGGCTTTCTTCACTGTAAAATTACCATTTTTCTCTTCATAATTAGTGAATATCTTGAAGGACGTATTTGACACTATGCAACTATTTTGTTTCTCCTCAAAATTTCTTATACTAATTTGAGCAGCCATTGGTAGATTTTTGCCTGTAATAATTATTACTGTGGTGTTTGCCTAATGGTGACTTTTAAAAATATTTTCCCATTTCATCTACATTTATTAATTGGAATTCTTCTGTAAGTAAGAACTATCCCTTCTTCCCAATTTATTTTTGGAATTTTTATTTTTATATCAGTAAGGAATCGTGGATATTTATTTTATGAATTATAATGCAATACTTTTCTTGTTTACTTATTTCTCAATTCATTCCGGTTTTGGCCAATGGGGTTGCCTTCAATTTTACTGTTGTGTTCTCTCATGGGCTCCTATCCTTTTTTGAGCCCTTCCCTAAGGCTGTATTTGCTAACCATGTACATCACCTGGGCCTGTCCCCCATTATGCATGGTGGGTTGGTGGGGAAGTCCAAGGAGGCAGACAACTGGTAGGCAGTGGTTGGGCTTTGAAGCCAGGTCTCCTGAATGCTTGTCCTGCTCTCTGCCAAGGCACCATTCTGCCTCTCCACACATCACAACTTTTATTTACCATGAAATTCACATAATTCCTCCCTGCTCTGCTTCCCTGGGCTCAGCCAGTCACTGACAGGCTAGGAGGCTAGGAAACAATGAGACACATCCAGAATATGGACTATTTACAAGAAAATAGCCCTGTACTGTTTAAAAAGTCAATGTCATAAAAACATAAAACAAAAGTAGTGAGGATGTTGTCAATTAAAAGAGGCTAAAGAGACATAACAATATCAATCTCTTGCAGTTGCTATGGGCTCAATTATGTCCCTCTTCAAAATTCATGTTTAAGTCCTAACCCCCAGTAGCTCAGAGTGTGAGCTTCTTCAGAAATAGAGTCATTGCAAATGTTATTAGTTAAGATGAGGTTGTAATGAGGTAGGGTGGACCCCTAATCTACTATGACTGGTGTCCTTATACAGATTGACAAAGTGTCAATCTCTGATGGGATCCTGCTTCTTTTCAAAAAGTCATTTTAGAGACAATCAAGGATATTTGAATTTAAACTGGATATTATAAACTAGGAATTATTAATTTTCTTAAGTATTACTTTATTATTAGTAGTATTATTATTGTAGTAGTATTTAATAATTAGTATTATTAAAGTATTTAGTATGACTAAAGTATGTAAGTATTGCCCTTTCTTAGGTATTACCATTCTGTAGGAGAATATCCTTGCTTTTAGGAGATACGTGTTTAAGTGTTTAGGGGTGAGGTGTACTGATGTCTGCAACTTATTCTCAAATAATTCTGAAAAATGTGTAGTCTACTGAGTACAGTAAATGTGGCAAAATGTTAACAGTTATTAAATCTAGATGTATGATATAAGTGTTCCTCTTTCAGCATTCTGTATCTTTGAAATTTTTTAAAATGAAAAGCCTGAGGAAAAATTATTCCTATAATCTTATTTTATATCCTCTATTTATTGAGGAAAACCTCCCTTCTTTTATTTCCATAAAAATGACAAAGGCCAGTTCCATCCAACTGAAATGGTCACACAACCCAGAGTTCAGGAACTCACAGGAGCAGTATAATGGGTATTAAGCCTGGATCTGTAGAAGATGGTCAGGTGTGGACAGTAGGGCTCCAGCCCCTGCATAGCTGGGCTTAAGTCCCAGCTTCTTTACTTTTTCCTCATTTAGTGGTCTTGGGCAAAGCACTTAAAACTTCTGGGCCTAGTTTCCTCAACTGTAAAATAAGGATAGTAATATGTTATTTGTTGTGAGAATCATATGTTACATTTGTACATGTTATGTAATATTTTTGTGTGTAACACCTACATGTAAAGCAATAGGCCCACCACAAGCAGTAGCTGTTGTGTTAAGTACCAAGGGCCATCTTGTGAGCCCCTGCAGGCAATTCAGCCCTATTGGAGAATGCAGAGAAAGTTACCTCAAGGAAGCAGAGTTGGGGATCTTGCAGGGCAGGTGGGGGTGGGCTCTGTCTCCAAAAATGGTAAGATAATTTTAGCAAATGAGATTGAATATACAATCAGTGTTCCTTCATAATTTTGGGTTAAGAGAATTAATGTATTAACTGTGAACATTTAAAGTATGTCACAATATTTAAAAATTCTGTTTTGGCATAACTTACTTTGTTTTTAAAGTGTATGGGGAGCCTCAAAAAATAGAAGGGTTGGTAATTGGAGATCTTTATGCAAAAGTATAGAACTTGACCTTTTTGTCACACAACATATAAAAATTAAATAGATCATAGACCTAAATGTAAGAGCCAACTGTAAAGCTTATAGAAGAAAAGATGGGAAAAAGTCTTAGTGATCTTGGGTTAGACAAAGATTTCTAAAATAGGATACAAAAAGGATGAGTTATAAAATAAAAAATTTATTAAATTGGAGTTCATCAAAAGACAGTGTCTTCAAAAGTCATCATTAAGAAAATGAGAAGGCAAGCTCTAGACTGGTAGAAAATGTTTGCAAAATATATGTCCAACAAAGAACTTATATCTAGAATATATGAAAGAATTCTTACAACTCAGTAATAAGAAGGCAACCCAAATTAAAAAATGGGTAAAAGATTTGAACAGACACTTCACTAAAGAACATATTCAGATGGCAAATACATACGTAAAAAATTGCTCAACATCATTAGTTAGAACCACAGTGAAGGCTGGGTGCAGTGGCTCACGCCTGTAATCCCAGCACTTTAGGAGGCCAAGGTGGGCAGATCACCTGAGGTCAGGAATTTGAGAACAGCCTGGCAAACATGGTGAAACTCTGTCTGTACTAAAAACACAAAAATTAGCCAGGTGTGCTGGCACACACCTGTAGTCCCAGCTACTTGGGAGGCTGAGGCAGGAGAATTACTTCAACCTGGGAGGTGGAGGTTGCAGTGAGCTGAGATCACGCCACTGCACTCCAGCCTGGGAGACAGAGAGAGACTCCATCTCAAAAAAAAAAAACTAAATAAAACAACAAAAAAACAATAACAACAAAAAATCCACAATGAAACATCACCACATATTCATTAGATGACTAAAATTTAAAAGACAAGACCAAGTGTTGACAAAGATATGGAGCAGCTGGAACTTTCATACACTGTTGGCAGGAATGCAAAATAGTAAGGCCACTTTGGTAAACAGTTTGGCAGTTTCTTATAAAGTTAAGCATATACTTAATGTAATTTTTAGCAATTCCACTTCTAAGTATTTACTCAAGAGAAGTGAAAATATATGTCCACAGAGACTTGGATGGGAATGTTTATAGCTTTATTCATAATAACCAAAAACTTTGAGGCAACCCAAATGCCCATCAGCTGGTGAATGGATAAACAAACTATACTGTGTCTATACAATGCAATGCTACTCAGTTAAAAAAAAAAAAGGAGTGAACAAAATCATGGAGGACTATCAAAAACATTATAGTAAGTGAAAGAAGGCAGACACAAAAGTCTACATATTACCTACTTCTACCTATACAACATTCTGACTATTTTAAATAAGGGGGTTCTGAGAAAAACAATCTAGTGGTGATGTAGAGGTGGCCTGACTTGCAGAGATTTCCAAGGTGGGGTACCTGGTAGGAGGTTGGTTTGGTTATCCTGGCTTGACCTTATGGGGTGTGGGGTTGGGAGTTGATTAGAGAAGGAGGTGTGAACCTAAGAGAATTGTACAGAGACCTGGCTTTTCATTCTGGCTCTGTTGGGTATAAACTATGTAGTATTGGGCAAATTACTTAACCTCTATGGGCTTCAATTTTCTCATTAGTAAAATAGGGTTAAAAATCTGGTCCTAAGGAGAGTGAGAGGTAAGCTGAGCTTGTAGTACCTCAGCTCCCAGAACTGAAGTAGAACTCTATGAAGATTAATTTCCTTCCCAGTTGGTTTCTTCCCCTTAACCCTCATTGACATGTGTGTCGCTCCTCCCCTCTGCCTCACTTCTTTAGGAAATGTAGGCACAAACCTAAGCTGGGTCAGATGTGTCCCCTAGCCAGCTTCTTCCCAGCACCAGCCCTCAGTGGGGTCTTTCTTTGGCATAGCTTAGCCGTAACCATTTCATGTGATCTTGGGCAAGTTAACTTCCTTTCCTGGGAGTCTTCTTTAAAGTGAAGAGCTTGGGTCAGATAATTGCTATGGGTACCAATTTCAGCTCATTCATTCAAGGACTCCCACCCAGAAATGACAAATCAGCAGAGTTTAACAAGCAGTTGCATATGGAAATTTGTGGGAGGAGTAAGATCCTCTAAGACCTTGGGCCTGAGTCTGTGGTCCATTCCTCAGTGGAAAGAGGGCCTTAGGGAAGAGTGTATTGGGAGGAGAAAGATGATGAAGTCAAGGTGGTTCCTGTTCCCCCTACCTCCCTGCACAACCCTCTACCCAGCAAAGTTTTGTCAGGTGGGTGGGGGCACTGTCCTTTCTTGAAGGAAAATCATTTCTCAGGGTCCAGTCCCCAAATGTTTTTAGCCAGAGGTGCCAATCTCTGCTCTCCCTTGGCACATCAGGTTTATCAATAGCTTCCAACGAATAGTGACCTGTTGCTATATCCCAGCTTCTTCAAGGAATAATGTCTTATGATTTCTGTCAGGCTTAAATGCCAGAGCAATGAAAACAACAACAACAGGAAGTAACTCCTCAGCTGCCTTCTTGGAGGAGTTGCACAATTGGGGTTGTTTTGCTGAGTGAGGAATCCAGCATGCTTGCCTTCCTTGTCTGTATTCCTTGTGATGATTAAGACATTTCACATGAGAATAAACTGCCCATTCAGGGAGTGGTTCAGATCCTGGGACTCACCAGACACTGAAAGGGTCTGCTTCCCTGGATTTCCTCCTGTCCTCCCTCTGGCCTCCAGGAGGCAATGCCTTGTCTCTGCAGCGGAAAATGAGGTGCCAGCCCTGACTTGTATGGCAGCGAGAGGCAAAGCACAATCAGGAGGCATGGGGCGTGGCTGGCAGCACAGGTCTCCACAGGCCAGCAGCACCCACTGCGTGGGGGAGGAAATGGCAGAGCACCGCTGTCAGCCCTATGGCTTTCTCCTCCAAGGCAGATTCTTCCAGCAGAAGGCTGAGCTGCCCCAGGGGAAAGAGCCAGCGAAGAGCCACTCACCTCCCAGGCTGAGGGTGATTGATTTCAGCCAGAGATGCCCTTTTTCTTCAAGCTGCAGTACACAGTAATTTCCCAGTTGTCCTGCTGCATCAACCTGAGTTCTAGCTAGACCAGTATTTTGTCTCTGATGGGCAAATATTTTGTAAAAGACCATGTAGTCACACAGGCCTGGGACTGGATCATGGTTCTTTCCCTTAGATGAGTAACTTAGCTCTTGTGCCTCGGTTTCCCCATCTATAGGAGATTGGTAAACCCACCTCAAGGAGTCAGTGTGACAAGTCACTAAAGGAATGCAAAACATTCAGTGCAGTGGTCTGTATGTGGTATATACTCCGTAATGATGATCAATTTTACAGTTGTTTTTAAGACCCTGCACGCAGACAAGGATCACATATCCCAGGCTGTTTTGGCAATACAAAGGTTTATTTTAGTATCGCAGAAGTTCTCAAAGTGTAGTATGCTGACCAGCAGTATCTGGAAACTGGTTAGAAATGGAAATTCTCAGGCTTCACCTTGGATCTCCTAAATCAGAAACTCTGTAGGTGAGGCTCAGCAATCTGTTTCAATAAGCCTCCTAGGTAAGGCTGATGCACACTCGAGTTAGAAAACAAACTGTGCTTTTTCTGTTGTTGCAAATTCGAGCTAAGAAAATTTAAAATGGTATCACATGATATGTTAATCAGTCTCACTTCATGTACTAAATTTGAAATAATGCCAATCATTATGGTTTGTATCATTTTAAAGCTGAAGGGCTGAATGAATTTTGAACAGTATTTATACTTTACCTACTTAGTAGTGTCTTTTTAGTTGATATCACTTAGAATGCTTTTGGTCACAGATAACAGAAGATTCTGACTCAAATTGGCTTAAGAAATAGGGAAACATATTAGTTAACATGATAAGAATTCCACAGGTGGGGGCATCTGGAAAACATTATCGGGGGACTTGGCTGCTCTGTGATTCTCTCTGTTCTATGTGCATCTCCGTATTGGTTTATCCTGAGGATGGGGACCTTATGGCTGTAGCAGTTCTAGATGTCACACCCAGACTTGACAGTGTTTTGAGAAAGAAGCCTATTTGTGTAACTCTTTAGGACCCAGGAAGGCTTTCCTATGAGATTCTGGAAGACTTCCACTCAAGTCTCATTGGTTATTCCTAAATTACATGCCCACTTCTAAACCAGTGACTAGCAAGAAGAGAAGAACATAATTGGTTTATGTCAATCTCTTGTGGCTGCTATGGGTTGAATTGTTTTCCTCCACAAAATTCATATTTCAATTCCTAACCCCCAGTACCTCAGAATGTGAGCTTCGTCAGAAATAGACTCATTGCAGTTGTTATTAGTTAAGATGAGGTCATAATGAGGTAGCGTGGACCCCTAATCTACTGTGACTGGTGTCATTATACAGAGGGCAAATTCAGAGACTCATTCAGGGAGAACAGGGAATATGAAGGCAGAGTTTGGGGTGATACAGCAGAAGCCAAGGAATGACAAATCCTGGAAAGCAGCATGGAACAGGTTTTCCCTCACAGCGCTTAGAAGGAACCAATCCTGCCAACAACTTGATCTTGGACTTCTATCTTCTAGAACTGTGAGACCATACAGTTCTATTGTTTAAGCCACCCACTTTGTGGTACTTTGTTATGACAACCCTAGCAAATTAATACTAGAGGGAGGACTAGATGTTGGGGAATCCATCACCATGACCACTGTGCCTACCATTAGGTAGTGAATGTTAAATTAATATCTCTACTACAGTGTATGTCTAAAATGTGAGAAAAGCAGCAGCATGAAATAAAAGGTGCCCAGGCTTTGGAATCCAGAGATCTGGGTTTAAGCTATGCCCCTGACTAGCTATGTGACTTTGAACCCTTTAACTGTGAAGTCCACCACTGAGATATGAGATGGGATATCCATGATCAATTATTAGCATAAAAGATTTCAAAGACATTTCCCTCCCTCAGTCCACCAATGAGAATACCCACCAATTTTCCACCTGCTTCAATTCTATCCCTACCTCAATTCCTCTCTACCCCACCCCACACCAGGCAAGTTTGAAGTTGTTTCTGAAGAACTAATTGAGTAGAGAAGGACAAGAAAGTAGAAAAGAAAGAAGAAAGAGAGGAAGAACTTAGACTTTAGGGAAGGAAGTCAGTCTGTAGAATAAAGATTTAAGAGAAGGAAGGGAGGAGATGAGGGGAGAAAATGTTGAGATGGCTGGGAGTAGAGAGAATTTTGAGGGCCTTTAGCCAGTGAAGGGCATCAGTGAGAGTGGAGTATACGAGATTTAGGTAGAAGAGAAAATAGATTTTCAAGGAGATTTGTTAGGGGTTATGGATTAGATCTCCCTATTACATTTTCAAAAAACTCCAATACATAATGGAGTTTCTGAGCTTTGGATAGAGAATGAAGTTAGATTGCACATTTGCCCTTCAGGAGTACTTAATTAAAGAATTTAAACAATAATAAAAAAAATTAAGCCAGCTCCTGTCCTCCAGCCCCACCCTCACCCCCCACCCCAGCAGCAGCCAGTCAAGGAAAGGGGTACAACTTCATGCTAGGAAGTTCAAAAAGTGGCGATCGAATAATAAAATGAAGTCTAGCTTGACTTACCATGACCCGTAAAAGTTTCCAATAAGCTATTCTGATGGAAGAAGGTAAGTGAAAAAACTTCTGAGAATTCACATGACTATGTCCTAATCTGGAGAGAAAGGAACTGAGGTAAGACTGCCAGCTTAGACACAGGATATGTAGTCAAATTTGAATTTCAGATAAACAATGAGTTTAGGGGATGCCTTATGCAGTATTTGGGACATAAATATACTAAAATATTTTTTTTTGTCTTTCTGAAATTCAAATGTAACTGGGTGTCCTGGGATGAAGATGATGATAATATTGATGATGATGGCTAAATCTGGCAACAGTAGGCAATGAACAGGCATTCTGTAGAAAATTAAAAAACAAAACAAAACAAAAAGGCTTAAATAAAAGCCCCTAACTATTCTAGAAAGGCCACAGTGGATATAGGGCTCACTGGTCCTTGAGTTCTTTTCCTGAATGGAGGGACCATTATAAAGCCTCAGGGGAGCTGCCTGTGGACTTTATTAAAATCCCAGTAGAGAGAGAGGCAAAGTCCTTCAGGCTTCATGTCACTTACAAATGAGTTCTTCTCCTCCCTACTGTACCCTGAGGCTACAAAAAATTGGATAGACTTGAATTACCCCAGCCTCTAGAAGCTGGAGAAGACAAACAGCCTTTAGGAACAGTAGGATGGAGTCCATAAAGGAAGTTTTTTCAGAGCCACCTACACTATAATGAGCAAAATAAAAAGGTATGAATCACAAATATGAAAGCAAGCAATAAGTAGAAGGTAAGGAATAGATGAAGAAGTCCCCCAAGGAATAGGAGAAAATCTCCTCTGGTCATTTTGAGGCAGCTGGTTTTTGTTCCGATTTTTATAGCAATGAAAGAAAAAGAAGAGAAAGCAAAGGTCTTAGATTTTTGGTTAACTCACTGCTTTTGGGAATTAATGATTAGGGAGATAATCACAGATACATAAGAAACAAACAGACAAAAACTATATATTTTAAAGGATGTTCTGTTGTTTGTAATAGCAAAAATAATGTATACAGTCAGGGATTCGTTGGAAATTTAAAAAGTGGAATACCACACAGTGTTGAAAAAAGAAGGAATTATACCTGCACTTTCTAATTCTGCGTGAGAATAATTAGATTATGGAACAGCATGAAAGAGGAGACCCTCCTGAGGCTCTTCTGCACACCTATGATCACGTGCTTATGTTCAGAAAAGTGCCCAACTGGGTGTTTGCCAAGATGTTATCAACGTTCTAATTTTTTGCCATTTTTTGCACTTCTCTATATTGCATTGAAGTTTATTTTTTACATCAAATATGTATCACTTTTATTTAAAACAACAATAAAAATGCTTTGCCCTCTTTAAAAAAAAAAAAAAAAAAAGAAAAAGCTTGTCTATCTGCCTTCCTTGAGCCAAGAGGCTTTTGAGGTACCTGAAGCACTGTGGGATAAGGAAGACACAGAAGAAAGGAGACTGGGTTATGTTTGCTTCTTAGTGAGTGGCCACTTTGCTTGTCCTTAGGACAATTCTTCAGCCATGAGCCCTCAGGTTGTCTCAGGAACAGCTGCTTGGCCTGAAGTGACCTATGACCAGCTGGGCAGGCAGCTGATGGGACACTGGAGTTGTGGCAGTTGAAATGTTTTGAAAATCAGAATGAGGCCTTTAGAATCAGCACCCAGCAGCTTATTGACCAGGCAGCCTTGGGGCATTGTCTCTCATCCCTAGCCTCGGTTCCCTTGTCCATAAAATGGAGTTAATGGAACATACATTATAGGGCCATTGTAGGGATCGGATAAAATAATGTACATTAAAGATAATAAATGTCAGTTCCCTACTCAAAGTTTTTCCATTGTGCTGTTAAAATTGGACTTTCATTTTATTGATGATTGGACCTTGGTTTGAGGGCAAATGTATTTGGAAATGTTTGTGGCAGGATGAATGTCTTCTATGCCTCCCAGTCTGTACCTACATACCTCGCCTTCAGCACACTTCAGGATTTCACTACTGCTGGGAGGTTTAGGATTTTATTATTCATTTCCAGAACTTGATTTCCATGTGCATTATCTTGTTTGATACATGAGAAACAACAGAATTTTACTGTAATTTCTATGAATAGAACATGATTAAACAGTTGTCAGAAAATCAGAACAAAAGAGAATGCTTTATACTCAAAAGGCTTGCAATCAGCAATAAAAGGTCAGAATGGTGTCTGTCATCTGAGATGGAGTGGGGTTTCCATTACCCCCTCTGGGTGACAGACTCTTGGTTACCAGCTTTTCATCTCTGGATTTCAGCACAATTAAACAGCAGACTCAGTCTGCTGCCCCAGGCTGAAACACAAGTTGAGCACATGTGGCTACTTCTAGTTTATTCAGAGCAGCAATTTGAATTTAAAAAAATAATTAAGATGAGTTAACCAGTCCTCCATGCTCTTTTTGGAGGGACAGTCTGTCCTGAGGTATGGTGGATACCTTCTCTCTAAAGTCAGTTTAACATAGGAACCCAGCAAAACGGAATTGCTCACCAGATTAGAGTTTCGGAAACAATGTTTACAACAAAAAATATTTTGTGGCAACTAGTATACCAAAGCAGTGAATTCAAAGAGCTGGGTTCCAGTTCAGGCACCAAGCATGTATGCCATGGAATCCAGGATTAAATCAGAACAAATAAACAGGCAGTTTTGTCTCAGATGACAACACGTATGCTTTTCATGGAATTAATGTTAAAAGATGGATATACAATAAACCCTGGACACATGCTTAGGCTGGGGCTTCGGAATTCAAAAACATAGGCAGAGCCATGCCATAACTTTCTTAAGTCAGAGTTCCCTGACCAGGCAGATTTCCCCTCTGTTGGAGTGGGTGTGTGAGAGTACAGGTTTGACGTCTTGAAAGTCACAAACATCCTCTGTATGAGAGGAGGGGAATGAAGAAGGGCCTGTGTCGGGTTGAACACAGTTAGGTAGTGATGACGCTGATGAATCAATAGCCACCAAATTGTCCAGCATTGAGGTCAAATGCTTCATGAATTTGGTCATTGGTAACCATGGCATTAGTAGCATGGCCCATTGTGAGTGTGACTCTGTGTGTGTGTGTGACTGTGTGTGTGTGTGCTTGCATGTATACACATTCAGTGGAATGAGAACAGAAATAAGACATTTTGAACAATTACCCAATTAGCTGTCCTACAATTACGGGAATGTGACATTCAGTTAAAAATGCAAGGATCATTTTATGTTAAATTGCTCATTTTGAAAGCATCCTCTTGGCTCAGTCGCCATGCCAACTGGTTCGTAAAGTGGTGCCCATTGCTTTTGAGAGGCAGGACAAGATAGTATCCTTCATACCATGCCTGAGCCAGCTTTCTTATTTAGCAGAGTTGAAAGCAGGGAGGGAAAGGGTTGTGGTTGGGAGCTGGGGGCTCAGCCAGATTCCCCTTTCAGTGATTTCTCAGGCATGAGGATGACCTGCCTTGGCCACTGCATCTGAGGAAATATTGCAGGGGAGAGGCAGGGCAGGGCTGGGAGACTGCCTGAGCAGGGATGTCATTGTACAGTCAGTTAGAGGTCTCTTTTTAAAGCAGGGTGATGTATGGCAAAAAATGAAAGACAAGTGAATAGGAGCAAAATGGCAGGTTCCAGAGAGTCAGCAGCATCACTGATTGGGGTCCAGCTGGACGCTCACCAATAATTCCTCCTGGCATCCAGAAAGCCACGATGGGGGCAGAACCTAAAAATCCTTCTTCCTCTTCTTTGTTTTCAAGTGCCTCTTCTCATGGTCTGACCTGCTCAGCCACCCAGAGCCCATCTCTAGGGCATACAAGAACCTCAGTTTTCTTTGGCATCATTCCCTGCTGGCCTCATGCGCACCCACTGCCCACCCATAAAGAGAACACAAGCCTGAATACAGTGGAGCCCACTATTCCCACATGTATCATTTTCACATTCTGGAGCTCAGAAAGAAGCAGCTGAGTAGAATCAGGATTTCAAAGGACACCAGGCCTCTGCTTCTGACTTGGGTGGCAGCTCAGATCCTAGAGCCTGGAGAGGGCTCTGCATCCAGTGAATGCTTAACAAACAAAAGCTTATCTGACATGGAATTCCTGAGAAAGCCCCATTAGCCAATGCTCTTCTCTCCTGCACTATGAAATGTAGTGCTCATAACAGTCCTATTGTAGGACATTAACCAGCACTTGCTTAAAGCAAGGGGGGCTTTCCAATCTGTGTTTATTGCAGGCTCTGCTGCTCCACAGCTGGGAAATGTGGACAGGTTCCTTGGGTGTTCTGAGCATCAGAGAGCCTTGTCTGTAAAATGGGGATAAAAATGCTACCTACCCCACTGAGTTATTGTGAGGACTAAATGAGCAAATGCATGGGAGGGGTCTAGCTCTGTGCCTGGCACACAGTAAGTACTCAAAAATGATTACCTTTATTATCATATACGTACTTTCAAAAGATGACTCAGTGTCAAAGCTGAGACTCCTAGAGAGGATCCGTAGCCCCCCAGCCCTGCACACAGATCCCGGGCCCTGGGTACTGAGACACAGGCCAAATGGGATACGATTCGACCTTCACATGACCACCAGTGGGGTCTTTCTGAAAAGGGAGCTTGGAATTCAGGCAATAGATATGAAACGCAAAGGAGCAGGGAAAGGTCTAGGGGACAAGGGTTGGGCAAACAGTGTTGAAGTGCCAGCTCCGTTGTTAGCTACCTAGACCAGGGAAAATCAAATTAACCTTTTTGTGCCTTGGTTTCCTCATCAGCCATTGAGATTTTGATACTACCTTTCCATCCTAGTTCTTATAAAGATTACATAAGATAACAAATATGAACGTGCCATAACAACTGACAGACACCTCATAAATGTAAGATGGTCCTTTTAGTTACCCTGAACCCAGTGCAGTGCTTTATAATGTCTCCTGATTTGAAAGCATGAGAGCCCGAGAGAGGGCAGCATGGCTTTCAGTGTGGTGGCTATTTTCCTTAGACCCTCATTGTCATTGGAAAGAGGTCTGGAATGCAAGACAGGAAAATCTGAATTTGAGTCCCAGCTTCCCCCATCACTAAGTGATCTTAGCAAGTCTCTTCTATGGCTTCTCACAGAGAGGAGTAGTGTCAGATGACCACTGAGGCTTTCATGGCTCTAGTTCTGTGAGTTTTATTGAACTCCTTATCCCTCTAGCCAGAGATAACCAGGTTCCCCTCATAGTCCTTACTTAAAACATTTTTTAAAAAAGGTTTATTGAGGTATAATTGGCAGACGATAAACCGAGGACTCCCACTTCTGGCCAAGGTGGAGAATCAGGGGTGAGAGTCTTGACCCTGTAAGTCTTCCATGGCCTCATGTTTTAGAGAAAATGGAGCCGCTTCCTGGCTGATGCCTTTGCAGCCCCCAGAACCTCATCTGATTAGGGAAAGCAGCACTATTTTTTCTAATTATCCTGACATTTCTGACAAGGCCATTGTTCTTTAATCCTAAAAAGATTTGAAATCATTCTAATCCGGCTGGGCTCATGTCACACGACACTGGCTTCCGGGGTTTCCATGAGCTAGAAGTGCATTAACATTCCCCAAAGGTCACAATGGGACTAAGAAAGGGCCTCCAGGCCTGTGATATGGGAGAGAAAGAACTTTGAGAGAGTGATCTTTAAAAAATCGTAACGAAATCTTTGGAACCCCGACTCTTTCTGCAAAGAAGCAGGTTTTGTCCAGCTCTTCTAGGCTCCCTGAAAGTCAATAAGACCCAGGGAGAGTAGAATGAGCCAAACGGTGCCAACACCCAAAGCCCTACTAGGAGGAAATCTTGTAGACAACTGCAACTGTCTGGAAGTCTATTAAGTTGGGGTAAGATTAATCCTAAACTTGGATTATAAGGCCAGAAAAAAAAAAAAGTCTTTTTAACAAATGTATTCCAGAAAGTCATCAGCCATGTGGTCAATCGTGGAAAATAATGTTATCAAAGAATAATCAACAACCCAGGAAAAGTCTCCACAATACCAGCTTCTCATTCTCTGCAATAGTGACATTTGGGGCTGTCCTGCATGTTGTAGGATGATTAGCAGCATTCCTGGCCTTTACCTACTAGATGCCAGTAGCACCCCACCCCCAGTTTTGACAACTGAAAATGTCACCAGACATTGCTGAATGTCCTCTGGGGGGCAAAATTGTCCCTGGTTGAGAACCACTGCACTAGAGCAATATGGTCCCATTTTGGTTTAAAACAAGAGAGTGATGATAGACTATTGTTTTGGCCACAATTTATTCAGTGACTGTTTCATGCCAGGCACTGTGTAGAGCATGTTACAAATAGAATATCATTCCTCTGTGGCTAGTGGATTACAGGGAACTCTTTTATTTTAATGAGAAACACATAAACCATTGACTTTGGGTCTTCCAATTTCTCCAGTTAATTTGCAGGTTCTCCCTCTGCCTGCCACCCCACCCAGCAAGGAGGAGAGGAAGTGTTGAGAAGGGAAGAGATGAGTCCTGGCCCTGTCACTTCTTAGGGGTGTGCTTTTGAACAACCTGCTCACCATGTATGAACTTCACTCTTCTTGTTTATAAAATGAGGACAATGACACCTGCAAGACTGTGAGGTTTAAAAACAAAATCTGTGTTGAGAGGTAACTTGCCTCTTTTACTTACCAATGATTTCCTCAATGCCTGGTGACTGGGGCTGGTTCATACTAGACGATCAATAAATGCTCCTTGAATGAATAGGTGGATGAAAGAAATGTCTGGCATCTATCACAGGTGCTGGCACTGATAAGTGCTTGATAAATAGGCTGGCTGACTGTGAGTGATGCTGACGGGCAAAGGACAGAGACACCAGGAAGGAGAACAGGACACGAAAGATAACTGTCTCAGCCCTTGGGGAGTTTCTGACCCAGGAGGATGGGAACATCAATTATCAATAGTTACAGATCATTAAATAATTGCAAGTGTGAGGCGCACTATAAAGAGGAGGCTCAGAGTCCCCGCATGCTCACACTCACACCTGGCCACAGACAGGTGACACCCCTGGCTTGCCCAGGCCAGCGGGTCTGCAATGAGGCCAAGGACCTGGGCTCTTGAGAAGTTTTAAGTTTGAAAACATTGCTTTTTAAGCTTAAAACAATGAACCTTAATAAAAGTAAACACTTCCATTGAGCTTTGAAACACTTAATAGGAGTTAAAAGTAATTAGGCTAATAAAATAGTCTTTTGTTCCAATTCAATAAGTGCTTTCTTTTATTAACTTCATTGTCCTTTAAGATTGGGATTAAGGTTTGTCTGCATTTGGAAAAGGTCACATTTGCCCAAAGACTGATGGGTGATAACAGTAAGGCAGCCCCCTGCACAGGGAGAGGCCAGTAAGAGCCTGGGCTCCATGAAACTGCATTTCAACTCCAACCCTGATGTCCTGCCTGTCTCCTGGGCATGTTTATCTTACACTGCTAAGCATCAGTCTCATTTGTACAGTGAGAATAATATCACTGTGTAAGGTTGTATTGAGAATTAAGAGAGCTCACGTATGCCTGTAAAGTACCTGGCATACCGCAGGGTACAAGGAGGGCGTTGTTAGCTGTGATGGCCCCTTTCCTTCTTCCCTTTACTTCAGAGGTGACCTCTCCAAATCACATTTAGTCCTTAAACCTCAGGTCAGGCGATAGTGCTGATGGGCAACCCTCCCACCCAGGTTTGGCTGCAAGTCACTCCTCTGGGCTCCTCTGGGCTCCTACAGCCTCCCGCATGGTCCCTCTCATGCATCCTTGTGATGGTCTGACCAGGAGCTTCTTGAGGACAGGGGTTGGGGCCACTTGCCTGCGTGCTTCTCCATGCCCATTTGCTATCAGATGCCTTCCCCTTTCTGCTCTGCACTGCGGGGAACTACATTTTCCAGGCTCCCTGGGCAGTGGCAGGCTTCCGGCTAGTTTCTACCAAGGGGAGCGCTGATGGGAGATGAAAAAGTGGGAAAAAAGGAGAAGCCAGGATGCTTCTCTGTCTCGTCTTCCTTTTTCTCTTTCAGGGGTTTTTGGTAGTGGCTGTGTCTCCCTGATAGCTCCTCTCTATGATCCAGCCCTGCTTGGCAGCCCTGGCTTCTGGGTTCTGAAAACACCACGTTCCTCCTTGTGTCCCTCTATCTAGTAATTGGCAGCTTTCTGATGTTGCTAAGTTCTGACTTGCTTCACCATCTCCTATTTGGCTCCTCAGCTTTTCCATCTTCTGTGTAACCTGTTCCCCGTACTAAATTTCCTCTGTGTGAAATGCCTAGCATGGTTTCTGTTTCCGTGGTGGGACTCAGACGGATACATTCTGTGTCCCTAAGCCTCTGACACAGCACCTGACCCATGATAGGATCTCAGGAAGCTCTTTTTTGGCTGAGTACATTTCCCATTGTAATATTCCCCAAAGGTGGGATTTTGTTCATCTTTTTACAGGCTTTCCTCTGGCCCTCCCTTGCTTTCTGTAGCTTTAGCAGGCCAGAAGCATGAGGAGCAATTAAAGTGAGCACCAGCCCCAGAAAAGTAGTGATCAAATGTTTAAAGTTCTTGAAAATTCTGTCTAGTTCATTTCTATTTCATTTTCTTAAGCCCCAGATTCTAATTGTATCTGTCTACACAACAAGTGTAATCAGGGAGCCAAAATTAAATTTCCCCAATCCCTGCCCTTCTAATCAATCACAAATCACGAATGAAAAGAGCAGATTCAAGTGGAAGAATCAGCTCCAGGAGGCCAGTCTTTCCATTAGCTCTGTTAGGCTCTCCACAGAGGTGGGACCTATCTCTCCCCACCCACTCCGCCCCAGCAGGGGAAAATGCAAACAAGTCACTTTTGATGACCACCTGTCTGCAGTGGTATTGGTCTCAAAGGAGACCTAAAGTGAATGCCAATTTCAGAAAAATAAAGTTTGGGGATATGGTTTGGATGTTTGTCCCCACCACCCCCACCCCACCAATTTCATGTTGAAGTGTGATTCCCAATGTTGGATGTAGGTTCTGGTGGGAGGTGATTGGATCATGGTGATGGATTCATTATGAATGGTTTAGTGCCATCCCCTTGGTGATAATGAGTTCTCACTTGGTTAGTTTTTGTGAGATCTGGTTGTTTAAAAGAGCCCAGAACCTCCACCTGACTGTTTCTTGCTCTCTTTCTTGCCATGTGACATCACTGGCTCCCCCTTTGCCTTGTGCAATGATTATAACCTTCCTGAGGCCCTTATTGGAGGTAGATGCCAGAGCCATACTCGTACAGCCTGCACAACTGTGAGTCAATTAAACCTCTTTTCTTTATAAATTACCCAGTCCCAGGTACTTATAGCAATGCAAAAACTATCTAACACTCCTGGTTTCAAATGATTGGGAAGAAATGGGATTAGAGGTCTCTGAAGATGCCAGGGCTCTGGAGATTGCTGGGGGAAGGATAGCCCTGTCCCTGTCAGGGGCCGCCTCCTGTGTGGAGGGCCTTAGGGCTCTGGAGAGAGAACCCCTGTGTTCAAATTCTGCCTCTGCTACTTACCAAATATGGGACTTTGAGTATTTCACCTGGTCTGAATGGGCACCTACATCCTAGTCCTGGAAACAGCTCAAATAGGGACAGAGGAGGTGCTTAACAAAGGATTAAGCCTACAACCTGGATCTATTCCTTGCCTTGAAGACCAGTTGAGGGCCCAGGATGAGCCTCCTGTGGGTGCACTAGCTCTGCTTTAATTGCCTAGTTCTAAAATGAATCTTCCTTTGCATTGGAGAAAAAAACAACAGAGGCTACAGAAAGCCCCTGGGGTCTGTCTCAGCTGCTATTGCTCTGACTGTGGTCTGTGAACCCTGGGTAGGCAAGACATAGCTCCCACCTGTTCCTCTTTTCATCTCTTGCTGGTGAGGAGCAGGTGTTCTTTCCAAGCTTCTCCTATCTCTCTCCCCTCTTCTTACTTGTTCCAGTCTTTCTCCCTCCTCTTCCCTCTCCTCTTCTTTCTTCTTCCTTTGCCTTATCCTCTTCCCTGCTTTCCTCTCTCCCATTCTTTCCCCCTCCTCTGCTCTTTTCTCCTCTCTCTTTCTCTCCTCTCCCTTCCTCTTCCCTCTGCCTTCCTCTTCACTTCCCTTTCCTCCTACCCTTTCCCCTCCTTTCCCATCTTCTCTCCTCCTCTACCCCCTCATCCCTTCCTCTTCACCTCTCCCCTCTGTTTCCCTTCCTCTCCCTGCAACATTCTCTCCTCTCCTCCTTCCTCCTTTCTCTTCTTCCTCATTCTCCCCTCCTGTCCCTTCTGTAGCTCCCCTTATCCCTTGTGGCATCAGCATCTCCCAGCCTCAAAACTGGCAGTCACTGTTTCATCAGCTCTGGCCCCAGCCAAAACCTCCCTCCCTTCTCAGCCAGCAGCAGCTGCTGGACTCTTGAAGGGGGTAACAATTAGTCATTGGAGGGTGGCAGTGGTTGAGGGAGACAGAGCGTGCCAGCCTTTGCAGTCATTGCTCTGTCACCTCATGTACAACAGGCTTAACTCAACACGTGATCTTCCCTTTGGCACCCCCCTCTCCCTCTGCCACTGCTGAGCTGTGTTGTGTGTATTTGTCCTCCCTCGTCCCCACACCCACAACCATCTTTATGCCCTCACCTCCTCTGTGAGCTTTATGCAGCCCTGCCTAGTGTGGCAGCTCCTTAAAGCACCTCTCTTGTTCTTCCCTTCCTTCCTGTGACCACTCCCTATCCCTAATATGGGTCCCTCACTGCTTCTCCCCTGAAATACTTGATCCTGGGTTCCTCTCCCCACCTTCATCTGTCCTGTCAACAATGACTGGAGTGCATTCCTGGTTCATGTCCTCCTAGGGATGAAAAAGAGTGACATCTTTCCTCCCCACCACACTCCTAGAACAAAAGATAGGTTAACAAGAGAAAAGCATAACACATTTATTTAATCAAGCTTTTATGTGATATGGGAGACTTCAAAAATGAAGACCCCAAGACCCAGGGGAAACTGTTTTTATGCTTAGGTTTGATGAAGAGTGGACAGCCATGTACTCTTTTTGTATTGGACAAAAGGGGTATAATCCAGTAGTAATAGACTGAATGGGAAAACCCAGCAAGGCCTGTCTGTTCAGATTCTTCTTGGCCTCTCTGTTGTAGCATTTCTTCCTTCTGGGTATGATGCAGGACCCCTCTGCAATGAGGGCCTTAGGATCTAATATCAGATAAGGGTAGGTCAGAGAATTTCTTTTTGGCCACCTCCTAGACAGAAGGGGATGGGGAGGTCAGAGTAGTATTTCCAGGGTTCATGGCTTACTTTGGGGGAGAGGGGTTCCAGTTTTTATGACCCACCTAGGGTACAAGGAATTATGTTTCTATGACTTGCTTTGAGGGAGAAATGAGGGGTGAGAGATAGGAAGCAGGAAGTCAAAGAGACCATGGTTCTGAGGTTGCTTCTGAGGTCTTCCAATGTCCTTTAGTTCAAAGTACTCAGCACACCAAAGTGCTATACTTTGGGGTATCATTTTCTGAGCTGCAGAATCCCAGATACATCACTCTCCTCAGAAGCTCTGGCTCTCCTGGTGCACTGACTGAGACCAAACAAGTGTTCATGACCTACCCAAGCCTGAGAGAACAGCCCTCCAGATCCTGGTCCTCCTGCCTTCCACCATGGGCAAGAACCCCCACCCCACCTCTCCCCAACCCTCCTTGCCTTTTTCTGCTTCCCGCCTTTGCTTGTGCTGGTTCCTTCTCCACCTGTTCCCATCACCCATACCCTGTTCCCATCACCCACTGCCATTATCCAGGGCCTAAACATCTCCCCCATTATGAAGCTGCTCTAGAGAGGGTGACGTCGCTTCTCTTATAGGACTCGTTGGACACAGTCAGGGGCCCTAATACTGCATCAGCAGAAAGATGTGTGAGTGGTTCACATGACCTTTGACCACTGACTTTACTCACCTATGGAGGTGGACTTGGGCTTTTGCTTGAGAATGTGGGTGTGCATATGTGGGAAAATATGTTTAAAATGATCATGCTTTGGATGAACGAGGCTGGGTTTACCAGTGTATTTGCTAAGCACTTGCAGAGGACTCGACTGGGGAGCTTGAAATAATACATATTCCAGGGCCCTGTCCCTGACCTCAGAACCAGATTAGAGGAGCAGGGGAGGTGGCAGTAATCTGTGTTTTTAATAAGTCCTTCTGTTTGATCTTCACATTTGGAAATGACTACAGTAAGTGATCTCAGTATTAAAACTCTTAGAAAGCAAAGAGTTTTCATGAAGGAAATAATCACCTCATTATATATGTATTACAATGGATAAATATATGGGATTGGGGAGGAGAATCTGTATATAGGGAGAGAATTGACTGTTGTTTCAGGCACTGTACCACAGGGTCTTATTCATTCCTTACTACTTCCCATGCAGCAGGTTCTATAATCCTTACTTTACAGATGAGAAAGGGGAGGCTCAGAGAGGGGAAGTAACTGCTGCATAGTCACACAGCTGGAGAGTGACAAGGTCCATGTTCAAACCAAGGGCTGATGCCAAAGTCCAAGCTTGAACCACACTGCAATGCTGCCCATTTGTGAGCCTGAATTTTTTTTTTAACTTTCAAGGACAGGTTTTCTTTAACTTTCAAGAACAGGCCCCACTGGTTAATGGCTAACCCCAATGTCTCTCATGATACTCCCTGGAGGTAGGGTTCTGAGGTTCCAAGAGTGCTTCCCACTGGCCTGCCCTGTCCTCAGTATAAGCCCTAGATGGGTCTTAAAATTTAATCTTTTCTACTGTATTCCCGACTAGGCTTGTTGGTGCTGGAGTGAAGCATTCCTGCCATGGTTTGGTTCTGAAACAGGCTGAGGGAACAGAAATATGAGAGAGGCAACTTGACTTATCCCATCCACAGTGAGTGCTGGAATGAAAAGAAGGCCCTGGCCCAAAATAGATGCCCAGGCTTTTCAATGGGACCTAAAATTTTACTACTTTGAGTTCAGATGCATCTTCTTTGAAAAAGAATTATCAGTAGAATGAATACAGCCACCATGAGTCTTTCATACTATAGGTAAACTAATTCATTCAGTTACTTTTCATTTGTGGAAAAAATATACTGAGACTATTCCACTTGGAAAATGAGAGTTTTAAAGTATATTGTTGCCATGTATAATTGAAAAAGTGGCATGCACATGTTGGGAATGAGTTCATTGCTTCCAAAGCACACTGTGGATGTGGAACTCTTCTGGGTGAAGGGGATTCCATGGTTTCAGGCTGGGTGTCTTTGCTGGAGGACTTGTCAGAGCTTTAAAAATGCTAATTCTCATTGTGAATTTCTAGGAAGGGGATATAGTTCTCCAAATTTATTTGACCATAAACCTTTTCATGGAATCTTAACCCAGGATCAAAAATAAATACTAACCCCTTACCTGCGCAGAATACTTCACAGTGAGTCCCCAGTGGGCTTCAGACACAACCTCATTCAATAGGGTTTTCTTGAGGGACAGATGAGAGGTCATTTGAGCCTGTGGCGAGCAAGGGCAAGCCTGGCGAGAGTGATAGGAGTGGGGATGGGCTCTTGGGGAAGCTCTAGGAAGGTGGGGACAAAGGGCCCACTTCACTGGTCCCTCTACTTGGTTCCCTGTCTGCCCCAGGAGAGGAGGCCTGCACTTCCTCAGGAGGCTCCCCTTCCTCCCCAGCGCCTCTCACTGACTTGACCAAAAAGGCCATGCATGTGAGAGAACTCCGCCTCCTCCGTTCTCCCGGCTAACATGAGGCTCCAGCCAGGCACTTTTCTGGCTTTCTTGCTGCAGGAACATGGCTTGGTTGTTTGGGAGCACAGCTTGCCAGGAGGCCCATAGCATGATGGCTTGATCAAAGGGCTTGAGCCAAGGCTGGCCCTGGGCCACATGGCTGGATTGCAGCCTTTCTATCCATCCCCCTAATCCCATTTAGGATGTTCAGGATCAATGAAAAGATCTGATCATTCAAATCATACCAAAGTGTGCTAACACCATGTGCTACCCCTCTGGGGATAAACCTGCTTTACAAAGAGAATGCTTGCCTAATGGTGGGACAGAAGGATGAAGGACATGCCTTTTACCTGTGGGACCCCATGAATTTAGGACCCCGTGAATGATCCATCACAAATCCGTCTGCATTAACCACTCTGTCCTTCCAGGTGCACTATTCCATCTGCGTATCCAGCAGCAAAATACAATTCTGCTCAGAATAATGAACCTAATGTTCTGAAGGCACCAGAAGGTTGTGGAAGTATTGACCTATCTCTAGTTAGCATCTGCTCACCAGGACCCCTGAGACTGTGGAGGGGGTAACTCAGCAGAAGGACCAGGGCTAACAGGGACTGAATCCTTACCACATACCAGGGCCCGTTCCAAACACTTTGCATGTTTTAAATTGCTTAATCCTCACAATGACCCAGTGGAGGAGATGATAGTTTTGTCTCTTCTTCATATTATGATAGAGGAAAATGAGGACAGAGAGGCCAAATGACAGGCCCATGGTCAACCAGCTAAGAAGTGAAGGGGCAGGACTTGAATTCAGGCCTCCTGGCCCCAGAGTTTGCAGCACCTGGCATGTGGCAGTAGTTGAGAAGTTACACTGAGTCTGAGTAGACCTGTAGTTAGTGACCCCCTCCACAGCACAGGGCTGATGGACAGTGGGCTGGCTTGGGCCAAGAGCAGCTGGCACTGCAGATCTGTTGGAATAGCTCTGCCCAGGCTGCCCAGGGCAAGTTGCAGACTGGGAGGCATATGTATCCTAAAATAGAACTTTTGAGAAATAATGTGCATCCAAAGGAATGAGTCTCAGACGAGGATGTTCAAGAATCAGTAGCAGATGCTGTGCGGGCCACAGAATGTTTCTAGGTAAAATGCCCTCCTCCCCACCCCCCATGTCCCCCACAACCAACAAACAAGCTAAGAAAAAAGAAACAAAATAAAATAAATTGAAACAAATTAATAAACATGCAAAAACCACACAGACAGTCATCTCTTCTGTCTGTGGGTAAAACTGACAGCTCTAGAAATAAACGGAGATCCATATAAAGGGTTTCAAAATATGGGAGTAATTTTTGTTTTTCCATTTAATGCTAGGTTTCAAAGGAGGGGAATATGTCTATCACTGCTACATAGGCATTCTGTTTAAAACCCACCCAGATGCCTTAATGGGGCTCTGTCAAGAGTGGGAAGGTCCCCACAGCTGTTTCTCAAAGCCAGTAGACCACTCAGTGTGGGCAGTGGGGAGCTTGTGCTTGGCAGGCCTCCCACGTCGCCATCATTTCTTTTTGAACACTTGACGGCACACCTGGTCACCACAGGTCAGCTCCTGCAACGTCAGAAAGTGGGTGAGGGTCTAACAAGCCAGGCCTTTCTTCTGCCCAGCCCTCAGCCCCCTTGGTATCTGGGGGTGGGAGGTTGGAATAAAGAGGACACTTAGGTATTCTGGGCAAAGTGCATCTCACAGACCCAATCAGCGGGCATGCCCTGCAGGTAGCAGTAATTTGATTTTGACACTTGAATTGAGCTTGAACAACTATAAAAATGAAAAATGCAAAGAAATGACCCTCTTGGGCAGGATTTCTCCTACTCCCATGATTAAAGTAACATGACCTAATTTATAAAAGGCAGCGAAGCCATGAGGAAGGAAAGGACCTAGTGTAGAGAAGTGTTTGGAAGGTAGGGGCCTGAAAAGATGCTGGCCAGTGAGCTGCCCCTCCACCCTGTGGGCTTTCTGGCCTCTGGTGATTAGAACATTGGCTGGTGGTGGCGCAGGTACCCGCAGGGTGTGAGGTGCAGAAGGGCTTTCCCAGGCTTGCCTGTGCAGCCGACAAGGTCCCGCTTTTCATCCAGATAGAGGGAGCCCAGGCCTTATTTGACCCTCACTGATCCTCGAAGGAGGAGGGAAAAACATGAGTGTGGGAAGGACCACCACAATCATTGCAGTTGACTGTGAATCCATTGTCTAAGCCACAGAGAGCACTGGGGATTGTATTACAATTAGAAAAATCCACCATCCAAACCAGTGCAGGTAGGGAAAGCCATCAATGCAAAACACGATAAATGCCTCCCATATATCATTAGCTGACATTGCCTTCAAAATAAAGATCTCAGGTGAAGCAAGGCTGGCTGTGAAGGGCACTGTGGCAACCTGAATACTGACATTGGAGCCAGGTACCTGCCTCATTCCAAAGGTGAGTGAATTAATGAATGAAGAGCCATTCACTGAATGAGCCATTCATTTACAAATGAGCGAAAAAGGATGAAGGAGTGAGAGATTTTTCACCATTTGAATGCTGAACCCATGAAGTGCCTTGAAGATTGAAGAATAAAAAATTAAGCTGTCTCAACAGGTATAAGATATTTAAGGATATCAGTTATTGTTCCTACTGCTCTGTTCTAGTACCAAATTACCTTAAAATATTTTGGGGTCAGAAGGACATACCTCATGGAGAGAGGTCAATACCTGTGGCAGTTCCCAGGCAGAGTGGGTCCTGTCTCCTCCCCACCCCACTCTCTCTCCCAGGCTCCCATCATTATGAGAAGGCCCTGTCCCACCCTCCTCCAGGGCATCTAAATTCTGTGGCTCACATTTCTCCCCAGCTGGTCTTTAGCAGGTTCCCTGTATTTCTCCTTGGATCTCTGCTTCCTAACTCAGCATTTTGAACTTTCTTTTGAATTGCAGCTGTTCACAGAAACAGCCATATAGATTTCTTCCTGGAGTCCCCTGAGCCAGATGGGAATGGCTTTCTGACTATATGACCACATGCATTTGGCTGGAGCTCGGGGTAGGAGTGCAGGGCCATTTTTCTTGTCAAAACACCTGGCTAGGTGACCACAGTAGCGTGTGTAAGCACAATGGAAGTGAGCTGAGCAGAACCCAGTACTTACCAGGTACAGCTTGTCCCCCTCAATCCACTGCTTCCAGCCGCGGTTCTCCTTCTCCCCCTTTTGCACACACACAAGGACATCACCTTCCCAGGTGACCAGTGCCTGTAAAGACAGATTCCCAGGCAAATCAAACACATGGTCTTGAGGGACTGAACAAATCTAAACCTGCAGCTGCAATTCCTGCAGCCATTTCAGGGTCTTGCTTACTCGAAGGGCAGAGCCCTCAGCCTCAGGGAGCCAAGATGCTTCCAATGTCATTTTCCACATACACCCTCCATTCCAGCCAAACCAGCTTATCTTGGCTTGCTCTGTTTTCTTTCAAGGAATTCTACTCTTCCATTTTTCCTTATGGTAAAAATAGCATTTCAAATCAGTGGGGAGAAGATGATAAATTTCACTATATAACGATGTAAAATTTCTGGAAGGGGAAAATACCTTAAAGTCAACAGAGAAACAAAAAACTGGGGGAAAATGATAACATATCAGCAAAGATTTGATTTCCTTATATATATAAAGGGCTCCTGTAAATCAATAAGAAAAATGTCATTAACTTAATAGTTCACGTTAACAAAGAACATGAACCAACAGCTTACAAGGGGGAGAGAGCCCTAGCAGATGGCTTCTAAACATAAGAAAAGACATTCAGCCTCACATTATAAGAGAAATGCAAATGAAGACTTTGTTTTTCAGATACAATTCATCATATGGTCAAAGATCAAAGAGTTTGATAATACACTGAATTGGAGGGAGAGTAGAGAAGCAGGCACTCTCTCTTATACAGGGCACATGGGGATATAAATTGGTATAAATCTCTTTGGAGGGCAATTTTATATTACCTTTCAAAATATAAAACTGCATGTACTTTCTGACCTAGAAATTCTACTTCTGGGAATTTCTCCTTCAGGAATCACACTGTGAGACCTGCCCACTATAGGACACCAATAAAGGCAGGGGAGCTCCCTAAATAATCAGGGGGTTGCCCAGATGGCTCCAGTACCTGCCTTCTTATCCAGAACCAGATGGGTGGACCTTCTGGTTCTTGGGTTCCTCCCAGCAGCAATGCCAACTGGTTAATAGCACAGGGGCAGCAGCAGAACATGTGCTGAACAGCCAGGCTACAGTGGCCAGCAGGTTGGAGAAGCCGTAGGCCTTCTGAATCCCAAGAGTGCTCAAACCCCTGTGTACATGTTTACAAACTATTTACTCTTCAAATTTCTCCTCCTTCTGTTCCCCACTTTTACCCCTCCTAATACCTGCTATAATCTGTACTACCCCTAGGTGGTCCTACAGGGCCAACCACTTCTGTGCCCAAATTAGGCGTGCCCTTCCTGAGATGATTATGTCATTCCCATCTGAAGAATGCTTCTGTGCCTGTGTTGTTCTTCTTCGGGGATGACCCTGATGCTAGCTGATTTTCTTCCAAGTATGTGCAAACTACATTATGCCTCTCTGAACAATATTATGCTAAGGACCAGATGTTTACTTTTCTTGGTGTCTTGTAAACCCAGTTGGTGATAAACTGACCTGTGGTTTTTTCCCCAGTGTCCTTGTACATTTGGGCCTGTTTTTTTTGGTACAAATCTGTTTTCTACAGATTGTTAAATCTACCTATTTCTAAAATAATATTTGACCTTGACCATATTATATACTTTATGTACAATTTTATTCCTTCTCATTTTACTCCCCAGTGCATCACAGCATTCTTTGTTACAGCAAAGGACTAGAAGCTTCGTAAATTCTGTCAGTGGGTGGCTAGTTAAATATGGTATGGTTCATCCCTGCTATGCAGTCATTGAAAGAATATAGCCGTAGTGTATGGTTTAAGTCGAAAAAGCAAGGAGCAGAGCCAAATGCATAAAGCAGACGGGGGTGGGTATGCATGCATGCATATGTCTGTACATGTTTCCTGCAAGGAAGTAAAAGAAACCCTTACTAGTGATTGTCCCTGAGGAGAGAACTTGTGGCTGGGGCTAGGATAGAAAGAAAATGTTACTTTTTACTTTTTGATTTTTTTTAACCATCTGCATGTATTCATATTCCCAAAGCTAATTTGAAAATAAAATTCTACATGTTTTCTAAAGAAAAAAAAGGTCTCCTTTTCCTTTAGGACCATCCTAAACCTCACATCTTTAAAGGTCTTGGAGAAGCTATATTCATAGGTTGCCTTCCTTGCTCTTTTGGGAGGAAGATGTCTGGAATAATAATTTGCTCTTTCTTATCATGAGCTTTGGACTCTGAGTTTTCCTCTAAAGAGATGAGAAAGGACTCATGTCTTCAATTTGGGCAAGGACGGTGTCGTCTGTCCTCCTCACTCCCAGATTGCCTCACACATGATAGATACCTAACACGTGTTGGCTGAATTGATGCCTGTCTCCCCCAGTAGACAGTAAGCTCCATGAAAGAAGATGCTGTATCTGCTGTTCATTTCTGCAACACCAGACTCAGCACAGTGATCAGCATTGTTGAATGAATCTCTATTTGTTGAAACATAATCTTGAAGTAAATCCATTTGCTTCCTTGCCTTAGTTTCTATGGTCCTACCAGAGTGCACACACGTACATCAATATGGTCATTGTTCATTTACTTGTCTGCCTTCCCCAGGAGGCTTGCAATGCCTGAAGGCAGGAGAGGGCGTCTGATTCATCATTTTATCACTAGCTACTGACTTAGCCCTGGCATGTAGTAGGGGCTTAGCAAATTTTATGGAAGGAAGGAAGAAGGAAGGAGAAAAATGTTAGTGCATGGGCCTGTCCTAATATTTTATTTTAATAACTCATACTGGACAGCAAGATTAAAAGTTGTTCTGACCCTAAAGTAAATTGGTTACCAATAAATTATGATAATACTTACAATATTATAGCCTTACTCCTATATAAAAATAAGAAGCAGAAAGAAGAGAATGGTTAAATGAACTAAAATTTCTCAATTTAATCTGCTTTTAGTTGGTGCCCTTCATCCCTGCATCAGAAGAGATTTTTAAAGGAGGCTCAATTGCTTAAAAGATCCTCAGGTTGAGGAAATGGAAACAAGTGAGGAAAGCCCTTCTTTCTCAGCTAGGGGATAAAGAAGGAGTACATTCCAAGGGCAGATAGCTGTACACAGAATTGAAGAAACCTGGGCTCCCACCATGCTTTCCACTATCACAGTTTCCAAAGCTAACATTGCTTAAAACAGCCCTTTATGATAAATTAGATACAGGCACTGTATCAATGTTAAACTTATAGAAGCTGATAACCATATTGCAGTTTTACAAGAGAATACCTTAATTATTAGGAAATACATACGGAAGTATTTAGGGCTAAGGCATCTGATTGTTCAGAAAAAAATATTTGTATGTTAGAGAGAAAGCATGTGCACATGACAAAGCAAAGGGGCAAAATGTGGTAACTCTTGGTAAAGAGTGTACAGGTGTTTTTTGTTATATTCTTGTAACTTTTCTGTAAGTTGGAATTACTCGCCAACACTTTTTTTTTTTAAAGGAAAACAACAGCTCTTTAAGAGCATTGAAGGACAGTATTCACATGCTCAACCCTCCTTAGCGCACTTGCCCTCAATTAAGAGTTCTTTGGTTCGCCTGCAGGGCCCTTCCTCTGGCAGCGCCTGTCTGCCACTCCTCTTCTGGGGGCTCCCATCTTCTTCTGCCATCAGAATGGCATTATTGGCTCTAACCGCCATTGTCTTCCCTGCTTTTCCCTGCCCTTACTGTCTGCCCCAATTTCAATTACTTATTTTATTATTGAGATATAATTCACAAAATATAAAATTCACCCTTTTAAGATACACAATTCGGTAGCTTTTAGTACATAAGGTTGCGTAACCATCAATATATCTAAATCCAGGTGATTTTCTTCACGCCCCAAAAGGAACCCCTATGTACTAGCAATCACCATTCATTTCCTCTATCCCCTGTCTCTGGGCAACCACTTTCTCTCTCTATGAATTTGCCTGTTCTGGACGTCTCACATACATCACACAATACGTGACCTTTTGTGTGGGGCTTCTCTCACTTAGCTCGTTTTCCAGGTGCATCCATTTTGTAGCATGAGTCTGTCCTTCATCCTTTTTCATGGCTGCATATACTCCACATTCCATTACATGGGTATCAATTGCTTATTTTTAATTTTATTTTATTTTGGGGGTAGCTTGTGTAGTTTTGGAAGGGGCTTTAACTTCTCTTAGAAATCAGCCAGGATAGGAAGTTGGGAATACATAGAACCCACAGGAAGTCCTTCCTAAGGGGAGTCCCTGACTCCTCAGAGGAGAATTGACTCTGTGATCAATGTGGTTGCATTGCTTCTGCTCTGGGCTGGCATAGAACTGGGCACTACAGGGCACAACATGCACCTCTCCTCCACACTGCCGAGTGGGGAGATTTCCAGAGGGCTTGTAAGGGTGACCAAGTAGTTGAGACATGGAGCCCTGGAAAACAATAGCATGAGGAGTACCACACACACTCTCACACTCACACATCCTCACACTCCCACACGTGTATAGGTGTTCACTCAGGCATGCCACCAAGTGTGGGTGACAGAAATTAATCACAGAGGCCAGGCATGGTGGCTCACGCCTGTAACCCCAGCAGTTTTGGAGGCCGAGGCGGGTGGATCCCTTGAGATCAGGAGTTCACGACCAGCCTGACCAACATGGTGAAACCCTGTTTCTACTATATATATGTGTGTGTGTGTGTGTGTGTGTGTGTGTGTATTCATATTTACATATATTTATATATAAATATATATATATATTTAGCCAGGCATGGTGGCGCACGCCTGTAATCCCAGCTACTTGGGAGGCTGAGGCAGGAGAATTGCTTGAACCTGGGAGGTGGAGGTTGCAATGAGCCTAAATTGAGCCACTGCACTCCAGCCTGAGCAACGAGAGTGAAACTCTGTCTCAAAAAAAAAAAAGAAAGAAATTAATCAGAGAAAGAGATTTGCCCACTGTCTAGCACCCCCTTCCAGCTGAAGGGTTCCAGTGAAGTTACAGGAAGTAGGTAGTCCCTTGGGCATCTGCTCTGCATGGTGATTCTCATGGGAATGGCCCATTGTTGGAGGCTGGGCAAACTGTCCTGGGTACTTCTCACTCCCTACTAAGGGTGTGTGTGAGTGTGTGTGTGTGTGTGTGTGTGCATTCACTCTGGCTTTCTAGTGAAGGCAAAGAGGAGGCAAGCTGTGGGAAAGAGGATTCTCTCTCTTTCTGCAGGGCTAACTGCTGACTGGAGAGGGGAGAAAATGGAACACGGAGAGACAGAAGAAAGGTAGGAGTGTGTTAACACGTGGAATTCATTAAGGGCTGGAAGGGTGATTTATTTTAGGAAGAACAAGTTCTCTACCATCAAAGGTCACAAAGGATCAAGTCAGAGAGGACAGGCCTGCTTTTCAAGAGCCCACAACCAAAACAGAAAGGTGAGGGAAAATGAATCATTTTGCACTGATTGGGTTGGAACAGCAGAGTGATGCAAGAAATTCTGAGATCAATTTTCCTAGCAATTCTGGTGTCCAATGAATTGGCTTTTCAGCCAGATGGTTCACAGGTTCAGAAAAGGCTTGTTGATCCATTATCCCCTCAGGGAGGGGTTCCATAAGTGGACATTCCAGGGCCCAGAATCATAAGTTCTCATGCCAAGAGTGCTCTGGTGGAAAAATTTCCATCATGCTTTATATTTCCCTACTTTTCTTTAGCAAAGAACACTAAATATAATTCAACCTTGACTTGATGGCTGAGATTATCAATGCTACAGGACAACTTGACTGAGAAATAAAGTGTGTCCAGCTCTCTTGGCTTTTAATTGTCACCAAATAATAATAACAGCTTTTCCTCCCCACCCCAGGAGAGGAGTCAGAGCTTGTGCCCATTGCTTTCGGGGAGAGTTGAGACCTCTGACTTCTAATGAACTCCTGGAAGGACAGTGTGAGAGTCTCTGGGTAGTGGCCTGACCTTGGGAAGATCAGGACTCATGGTGAGGGGGGCAGGGCAGGGCAGAGGGTGTTGCTTGCTTTGTTGTGGCACTTGAAGGGCTGGCCCTTTGCCGGGGGTGGGAAGGTGACAGCACAGATACCTTGGGTCAGAGTACTCAGCTCTGTCCTCCCTCAGTTTGGGAGATAGGACAGAGGTTCCAGTGGCTGAATTGGCCCAGAGGGAAAGGATGCTTTGAATATTCATACTGCCCAGCCTTGTATAAAATGCATGGGCATAGACAGTGAACAGTCAATTGCAACCATGAAAAATGACAAGCCGGGAACCTTCCCAAATCTCTTGGACTGCATATCCCTGGGGTTCGTTACAGTGGGAAGGTTTGGTGGAATCCTTAAATACAACTGAGATTGGATTTCTCCTATTCCTGTTTGGTGGGGACTGACCAGGTGTAATTTGATTTGGAAAATCAAAAACAGGCACACTGAGCATGAATGTGAGCAGGAGGGCTGGTTACTGGGTTGGGATACCACACGGTGATGCTGGGGAGAGCTGCTGTTACCCTTGCCTTCCCAGCACCTCTCCACTTCTCCCTGCTGCCTCTGCCTTATTTACAAACAGCTCCTGTGGGCAAGAGCCTGCTTCTTCTGCAAACTCAAGTTTTTGGGCTTTGAGATAACTCCCTACTCCCCTCTCAGAGTTGTTTTCTGCCTGCTTTCAGGGTCCCATCTATATTCAGTAGTTCAAATGGTGAAAGTCTGGCCTTCTGATACATGGAGAGTTGCCTAGATTATCCCTTGTTGGTTAAGGCAATGCTAGGACAGAAGCCACAAACTTGCCAGAGATTTCTCCAAGTTATTAGGGCTGGATAAATCTTGACTCCACTTAACCTACTGATTTTTTTTTTTGTTTAATTTGGATCATTCTTTTCTAAAAAAATGAAATCAGCTGGGATCATCTATAATTGAGATGTTTCATTTTATACTTGCTCTTTTTCAGCAGAATCATAAAAATTTGAGATATTTTATATAAAAACATCTGATTTCTCTACATCTCCTAAAAAAAATCTGGCATCTTCAGGCTTCGCTCCTCCATGGCAGTGCTTGGCTGGCACTGGGCAGGGCTGCCACCTTTCCATGTGCCCTTGCTCCCCAGCAGGTGCAGGTGCTGTCCCTCCCTGTGATGTTCCACCTTGCCCTCTTCCCTCTGCCTGCCAGGCCCATGGCTGTATATGACTCATAGGCCCTGGCCCTGGATCATGGAGAGGTTGAGCTCTTAATCTCTCCTAGGCCTGCCTCTTCCTACTAAACTGTCAATAATTGCTCATTGCCAGCATGATTAAGGCCATCCTGGTCCTCCTTTCCTGATTTTTCCCAGGTTGTTTCTAATATTTTTTTTTTCATCATGATACCAAATAGCCAGCCCCTGGCACAGAATGTGTGAATGAAAAACACCAGCCCCGGTCAGTACCTTAACATGCCGGTTATCCAGGCTCTTTGTGTACTCGTCAAACTCTACTCCAACAGTGAAATCCACATCATAGTTGCGGAATGTGCTAGTGGTTTTTGTCTTGAAGTTATCACCATCTTGATCAATAACCTTCGTCTGAGTGAGACGTACTGCAATCTTGCGGGTGGCAAAATCAATATCTGTTGGCAAAGGGAGTTGTGGAGGTTATGATGTGCTCAGCCAGACTCATTCATTTCGTTAACAAGACCAAACATTCAAGACTAGAGACACAGATTGTGTGTAGGCCACCTGTCTTTGCTTAAGTGGGAAACAAGCATCTTACTCGTGGCCAAGTTGGGCATTTCAGTCAGTTGCTGGGAAACCTAGGAGTCTCCTGGCACCTCCTCAGGATCCCTGATGGGAGGGAGATGTAGCACGCAAGCCTCACCCCTAAGCTGCAGCTCCCCAACACACACACACACACACACACACACACACACACACACACGTCACAGCAGCTCTATTCTATCTGACCTGTTGGGCATCCTCCTAAGAGTTTGCTGAACAAAAAGATCTCATGATTTAAAAGAAAAAAGACTTTGGAAATCACTAGTTTTAATCATGGATAAAGATGAAACTTAGGAAACTTTTGTTAATGTCCACAGCGGGGAGGGATAGTTACAAGCTTTCATTTTAACAGCAGACTGTTCTGCCTCAGTTCTTAGCCCCCAGTATAGATTTGTTTTTTGTTTTGTTTTTTCGAGACAGGGTCTCACTCTGTCGCCCAGGCTGGAGTGCAGTGACATGATTTTGGCTCACTGCAACCTTGACCTCCTGGGCTCAAGTGATCCTCCCATTTCAGCCTCCCAAGTAGCTGGGACAGCAGGTGCACACCACCATACCCAGCTAATTTTCGTATTTTTTGTAGAGATGGGGTTTCACCATTTGCCCAGGCTGGTCTCAAACTCCTGAGCTCAAGCGATCCATGTGCCTCAGTTTCCCAAAATGCTGGGATTATGGGTGTGAACCATCATGCCTGGCCCCCAAGGTAGTTTTAAA